>NC_000017.11:77536800-77837210 GCF_000001405.40 Homo sapiens | reverse complement strand
AGGAATTCAAGACCAGCCTGGGCAATATGGCAAAACCCCATCTCTACAAAAAGTACAAAAATTAGCCAGCTGTGGTGGCACACACCTGTAGTCCCAGCTACTCGGGGGGCTGAGGTGGGAGAATCGCTTGAGCCTGGGAGCAGGAGGCTGCAGTGAGCCATGATCACACCACTGCCAGTGAGACAGAGTGAGACCTCATCTCAAAAAAAAAAACAAAAGAAGAAACCAACCCTGCTGACACCTTCTCTTAGACTTCCAGCCCCCAGAACTGTGAGGAAATAGGTTTCTGTGGTTGAAGGCACCCAGTCTGTTGTATTCTGTTATAGTAGCCCTGGCAAATGAAGTCACCATGTGACTCACCTGTTGTGTTTTTGGCAGGTGGTTCTTGGCATATTCACAGATATGTGCAATCATCACTTAAGTCAACTTTGGAGAATTTCATCACCTTGGAAAAAACCCAAGTCCTTGTGCCTTTTAGCTATCATCCCAGCTACGGTTTGAATGTGACCCCGAAAGCATGTGTTGGACATGTAATCCCCTAATGCTTGTTATTAAGTAAGTGCTGTAAGTCATTTCAAGGGAAAAGTGACAGCAGCAGCAGCAGCAGCAGCAAGACCTTACTGTTACTCAGCAACTGCAGAGATGGGCAGGCGGAGTGGCGGGGGTGGCAGGGTGGGGGTGGGGCGGTTCTGGGACAGTTTTTAAAGGCAGAGTCCTGGGAACTTCTTCTTTGTTTTTTTGTATTTGGGTAAAGACGGTTTCACCATGTTGGCCAGGCTGGTCTCGAACTCCTGACCTCAAGTGATCGGCCTGCCTTGGCCTCCCAAAGTGCTGAGATTATAGGTGTGAGTCACCACGCCCAGCCGAGTCCTGGGAACTTCCGAGTCGGTCTCAAAGGAAAATGGGCAAGGCCAGAGTTGGCTTGGAGGAGAATGTAGGGTCGAGGGTAGACAGGGACAGCTGCCCCCTTTCCCTCCCTGTTCCTGCTGGACATTCCAAATACAGAAACCCTTAAATGCTCCATCCTCCAGCTCTTACCCACAGAGCTTGAAAGACCACCAATTAGTGTGGTGGTCTTTCAAGCTTGCTAAAGGATCATTTCAAAATTTTTTTTAAAAAGTTTTTTTTTTTTTGCTGGGCACGGTGGCTCACCTCTGTAATCCCAGCACTTTGGGAGGCCGAGGTGGGTGGATCTTGAGGTCAGGAGTTCAAGACCAGCCTGGCTAACATAGTGAAACCCTGTCTCTACTAAAAATACAAAAAATTAGCTGGACGTGGTGGCAAGCGCCTGTAATCCTGGCTACTCAGGGGGCTGAGGCAGGAGAATCACTTGAACCCAGGAGGTGGAGGTTGCAGTGAGCTGAGATCACGCCATTGCACTCCAGCCCGGGGGACAGTGAAAGACTCCATCTCAAAAAAAAAAAAATTTTTTTTTTGAGATAGGGTTTCACTCTGTGGCCCAGGCCAGAGTGCAGTGTTGGAGCCATAGCTCACTGCAGCCTCAAACTCCTGGGCTCAAGCAATCCTCCTGCCTCAGCCTCCCAAGTAGCTGAGACTAAAGGTGTGTACCACCATGCCTGGCTAACTTTCTAATTTTGTAGAGGTGGGGTCTTGCTCTGTTGCCCAGGCTGGCCCCTAACTTCTGGGCTGAAGAGATACTCCTACTTCAGCCTCCCAGATTGCTTGAATTACAGGTGTGAGTCAACACACCCAGTGGATAATTTTGATAAAAGGTAAGATCTTGAGTCTCATACAAATATAAAATGAATACGTGCCAGTGATTTCATTTAACTTGTTAATTAAGGAAGATACCAGTGCAATGTTACAACTGGTTCAAAGAACCTCACATACATAGGCAGTAAGGAATGCTGAAGTCAATTCACAAACACGCAACAGGGCAACAGTCAATTGCATTCTGCAGGATACTCCGCTGTATTCAACCACATTCCACTGGATGCAATTCATTTGTGTTGCTATGGATAAGGGCCATTTGCATGATTATGAGTTTCCTACAACTTGCAGAGTGGCAAAATAGCTCAAAGACAATGAAAAATGAAGATAACCTCAAAAGGTGTGCTAGATAGATACCCATTCATCTTTTTTGCCTATTCCAAGGTCTTGCACTATTTTCCCTGACACACTTGTCTTCCTCCAGGCCTCCAGTTAAGGGGGGCAATGAAGAAATGGGGCTAGGGGAGGCAAGGACAGAGGGGGCTCCTGGGGGCATGCAGCCCCTGTAGGAGGAAGGGCTGATTGGGGTAAGGAGCTCAAAGAGGCTCCCCCACTTGGGAATGGGGTTGCTTTGGATGGCAAGAGGGTGGGAGGAGCTGGCAGAAGAGAGGGGTCTGGGACCATCCTTCACCTGCTCCATGGTTTTGCCTCTGGTCAGCCTGGTCCGTTTTGTCCCCCTGCCTTAGAGAGGCCAAGAGTAACTGCTACTTAGTTCTTATCTGTTCTGAGAACCTTCTCCCAGTGGGGTGGTCAGGGCAAGCGTGGGAGGAGCTACGCCAGTCACAGTAGGCTCTGCTGAGGCTGATGAGTCACTCAGCAGCCAGGAGGACTGCCGCAGCCAGCGAGACTTAGGGCAGCTTCCCTTCTGCCAGGGACTGGGGCGAGCGTGAGGAGCCCTGAGCATTTGGCTTTCCTTTCCTGGCATTCCAGAGGCCTAGGTAGGAAAGCCTCGTGGGATCTCAGGGCTGGGAGGGTCCGCAGAGTCATCTCAGAGGCGTGACCACCCTGCAGTATCCTCCAACAGAACCTTGGGGTTTGCATGGAGATTCTGGCCGGGGAAGATGCCTCCTGAGAACAGGGTGCAGCTTTGGAGGTCACCCAGGGAGGGAGGTTGGGAGCGCTGTCTGGACAGATCAGCCCAGTCAGCTCCAGTTATGGTTGAGTGACAGGCAGCAAAAGGTCCTTTGACTTCAGAGTCAGGAGCACTATTGCATCCCTGGGGCATTAGACTGATCCCCAAAGTGCAACAGAAAGCAGAACATGCTAGATCCCAGACTCTATAGGGACCCCTTATTTGTAGTGGGAAGATTTTTTCAATCAGCTGCTGGGGTGGTGGGGGCAGGGGGAATGGGGGACTGGGATTCCCCAGACAGCGAGGTAGGGGAACAACCTAACAGGTGAGCTGCCTTCTGTCGGGGAAGGTCTGATTACCTGCTGAACACGGAGAGGCTGAGGCTGCTACCATTCCCACCACACTCCTTCCCACACAGCTTTCTGCTCTTTCTCCCATGCAGGGCTCAGCCTCCCATCTGAATCGATGTTCAATGAGTATTATCACATGTCAGATCAAAGAGACAGTAATCCATCATTTTACCCATGGGGCCAAATTAAAACCTGCCAGGGAAAACCCCAAAGTCTTAGTCTTGAACTGAGTCCTCTTGTGCTATTCTCCAAAATTAGTTTTCCAGTATTCGAATGCCTCCTGTGATGAGGACCTCAGCAACCTTCCAACAGCAGCTGACGATATCTTGAGGCAGCTATGAGACTGAAAATCCATATTCCTAGAGCTTTCACTCACTCATCTTAGCTTTATCCCTCGTGAATGATGGCATCCCCTCCAGATTCCCATTGAAACTTAATCCTAGTGCAAGAGTATTAAGAGGTGTGTCCTTTGGGAGGTGATTGAATCATGAGGGCCCCACCTTCATGAATGGCATCAGCACTATTATATGGGTCCTGAGATTGAAGGGAGTGCTCTCTTGCCCTTCCACCTTCTGCCATGTGAGGGTGCAGCCCCAAGGTGCCATCTTGGAGAGACAGCAGCCCTCACTAGACACCAACGCAGTGCCTCGATCTTGGACTTGCCAACCTCCGGAACTGTAAGAAGAGTCTAAGGTGTTTTCTTATAGAAGCACAAATGGGCTAAGACGAGGCCCACAGAGTGCATCTATTTCTTTTTTTTTTTTTTTTTTTGAGACAGAGTCTCGCTCTGTTGCCCAGGCTGGAGCGCAGTGGCACCATCTCGGCTCACTGCAAACTCCACCTCCTGGGTTCAAGTGAGTCTCCTGCCTCAGCCTCCTGAGTAGCTGGGATTACAGGCACGTGCCACCACGCCTGGCTGATTTTTGTATTTTTAGCAGAGATGAGGTTTCACCATGCTGGTCAAGCTGGTCTTAAACTCCTAACCTCGTGATCCACCCACCTCAGCCTCCCAAAGTGCTGGGATTACAGGCATGAGCCACCGTGCCTGGCCTCGAGTGCATCTGTTTTCTTTGTAGCAGTGCAGCCCCTAGCATTCTTGAAGAGAGGCTTTTGTTCCTCCTGAGTTTGTCTTCTCCAGTCCTAATAATTTTTCAAGAAGCCTGATTTCAACCTTTACCTTCCTAGTTAGTTCCCTGTGATATGATTTACTCTCTGCTCTCCTGTTCCTCCTTTTACCAAAACTAAATAATAGGCCAGAGCAGTGATCCTCAACCTTTTTGGCACCAGGGATCATTTTCGTGGAAGACAATTTCTCCATGGACTAGGGGCAGGGGATGGTTTCGGGATGATTTAAGCGCATTACTTTGACTGTGCACTTTATTTCTATTATTATTACATTGTAATATACGATGAAATAACTATACAACTCACCATAACGTAGAATCAGAGGGAGCCCTGAGCTTGTTTTCCTGCAACTAGATGGTCCCATCTGGGGGTGATGGGAGACAGTGACAGATCATCAGGCGTTAGATTCTCACAAGGAGCGTGCAACCTAGATCCCTCACATGTGCACAGTTCACAATAGGGATTGTGCTCCTTTGAGAATTGAATGCCGCTGCTGATCTGAAAGGAGGCAGAGCTCGGGGGCAATGGGAGTGATCAGGAGCGGCTGTAAATACAGATGACGTTTCACTCGCTCACCCACAGCTCACTTCCTGCTGAAGCTCCAATGTCCAGTAGTCCCCCGGGGCTGGGGACCCCTGGGCTAGAGGGTGTCAGGCCAGAGTGGAGGAGAGTGAGTTATTCTCATCTCCTTTCTTAAGGAGACAGTACTTTTGGTAATGGAGCCCAGGTGTATTAGTCAGGGTTTTCCAGAGAAACAGAACCAGTAGGATATATACAGATATGTAAGAGAAGACTTATTATGGGAATTGGCTCATACGATTATGGAGGCCAAGAAGTCCCAGGAAATGCTGTCTGCAAGCTGGATGACCAGGAAAGCCTGCGCTGTAACTCAGCCTGGGTCCGAAGACCTGAGAACGAGGCGGGGGCAGGAGGCGGGTGCTGGCATCGGCCCAGGAGAAGCTCCAATGTCCAGTGTCCGAGGGTGGGAGAAGATGGTTGTCCCCGCTCCAGCAGAGAGAAAATGTGCTTTTCCTCTGCCTTTGTGTTCTGTTGGCTCCCAATGGATTGACTGATGCCCATCTACCTTGGTGAGGGCAGATCTTTACTGATTCAAATGCGAATCTCCTGGAAACATTGTCACACACTCTCCCGGAAATAATGTCTGGCATTCCTTAGCCCAGTCAAATTGACACTTAAAGTTTAACCATCACACTGAGACTACATCAGCAGCCCGGGTGCACGGCTGACTCAGAGTGAGCCAATTCCCTTCAACAAAACAAAAACCTGCACAGCCGTCCGTAACCATGGGGAGCACACTGGTTTTCAATCAGAGGCAAACCAGGACTTTTGAAGATAAATCCAGTCCCATTAAGCCGGACATCTGGAAAGAAGCAGGATACATTTGTGTGAAAGAGGACAGAGAAGCAGGTGGCTAGAGCATCGCCACCCCTCCCAACTTATTTTGGATTCCCTCCGAAGCAGACTCTGACTCAAATACTTGAGTTCCAGTAGTTTATTTGGGAGGTGATCCCAGGGGCACAGGCAGGGGCGTGAGAAATGAGCCGGGGAAGGGAAGGACCTTTGCACACAAAAAGTGGGCTGTGAAGCCGGTTACCACTGCAGGTGGCTGGAGCGCAGTCCTGCCAGAACCTTTGGGAGGCAGGTGGAGGCTCATCCCTCAGGACCCAGGGACCTGGGGCATTCATGCACCAAACCCTGCTGGGCTTTGACTGAGGGCTGCTTTGGCTGGGGGCAGGTGTTGCTTCCCTGGCACTTCTGGTCTGCTGCGCTCGTGGCCAGAGAAAGAGGCGCAGGCGCTGGCAGTGGGAGCTCAGTCAGCAAGCCCGGAAATGGAATGGGCTGCGGGCAGTGCCCGCACCTGCACCTTCCCCTTCGGCCCTGTATACAGCCCCGTTGGCCTTTGCCTCACTTCTGCCTTGGATTTCTCTGGAGGTGGTGGGAGGGGTGAACGTCTCCTGTTCTCTCCTCCCAGCATTTCAACTTACTATCGGCCCAGGCGTCAACCCTACCCACCCCTACCTGACCTCCCCAAATAGCAGAGACAGATGCTTGAAGACATCACCTGCCTGGGACAGGGAAGCAGGGAGCCAGGATGTGCCGAGCTGGGCCAGGCTGGGAAGGGACACTGGCCTGGGCACAGCAGGGTGCAGCCATCCACCCACAGGCTGGGGTAGGGGATCAAAAGCCAGTTACCCCCAGGGCCTTCCAAGAAGGGGAGAAGAGGGCCCATCTCCAAGAGTGGCTTCCCCCTCCTCCCAGCACTGTGACTCAGAGGAGGCCGGAAAGGGAAAATAGAACGCCCACAGCTCAGCGGCTTTCACGGTGAGCCTGAGTGGGCTGGTTCTCCAAGGAGAGGGAGGGAGGATAAACTTTAGGACTGACGGAGCCTTGGAGGCTGCAGAGACTCAATGACAACTTTTCAGAATCAGAACCCTAACTTGTGTGTCCAGAGGGGTGGGTGGGGTCCGGAGGTGGTCCTGGGTCATGGCTGTGCACTGGGGCCCTCTCTCCGGGCCCCTCCTGCTCACGCCCAGGTCGACTGGTCCTGCCTCTTTTTTGCTTTGGCTTCAAACTCCAACAAGGCCTGGGCCTTCTGAGCAGGAAGCGGGAAGGCCTTCTTTAGCTAAGGAGGAGAGAGGATTTGCCAGGCACAGCATCGGTGGCCAGGCCAGGCGAGGGCTTAATCAAGAGAATAACAATTCCCCAGGGGTGGGGGAGGCTGTTCCCATTTTAATTTTTTCCTTTTGGCAGAAACTAACTTTTCTGTAAAAACAATGAAAAATCAGGGTGGAGTTTCCTCTGCCCCACCCCCCCGCCACTCAGCACTCCTGGGAGGAAAGGTTTGTTACTGGGGCAGAGGGAGAAGGGACCGGCTCTGGGAGAGGTGCCCTGCTGGGCTGGGCTGAGTGGGTGGGCCGGTGCCCCTCCTGATCAGGACTTCCAGGGATGGAGTCTTCCAGGGTCTGCTGCCTGCTTGTGTCCCCAGCTGTGCTGAGGCCCTGTCAGCCTCACAGATGGCCCCATTGTGGCTTAGACTGCGGCTTTCATTCTGGGAAGGTTACTGTTCCTTCCCAGGGACTGGCCTTCCTGAGCAATGCTCCTGGTGACCATGTGGAGAGACAGGGAGCTGAAGAAACGAGGGCAGCCCCCTCTGTGCTGGGACAGAGGCTTCTGTGAGCAGGCACCTCTTCCCATCCTCCCTGTGTTTGGTACATTTAGGACCCCAAAGCCAAGGTGGTCGACATGTGATGCACAGCCTGAAGCTCTTTGCTGGCCTTATCCCTAGAAGCTGCCTTTGAGCTGCCTTTCCTGGGGACCACAGGCTCTCTCTGAGCTTCCTGAGTGTTCACTTTGTACCTTTGCACGTCTGCACTGAAGCTGGTGCAGTAGCAGACACCTGTGGTCCCAGCTACTCAGAGGCTGAGGCGGGAGGATCACTTGAGGCTAGGAGATCGAGGCTGCAGTGAGCTGTGATCACGCCTGTGAATAGCCACTGCACTGTCCAGCCTGGACAACATAGCAAGACTCTGTCCTGGAACAGGTGAGGGTCAGTGAAGGAAGGCAAATGCACACACGAAAGCATGCACATGCACACACACGTGCATACACGCACATGCATGCATGCACACATGAACACATGCGCACCCCACATGCATATACGTGGACACACATGGGTGCACGCACACCCCCACATGCATATACATGCACACACACAGGCACACATGGATGCACACACACGTACATGCACACACATGCACACATCATACATGCACACACGCACACACACGAATGCATACACACCCCACATGCATATACATGCACACACATGGATGCACACACGCATGGACACACACACACCCCACATGCATGTACGTGCATACACATGGACACACACACACCCACATGCATATGCATGCACACACATGGGCACACATGGATGCACACACGTACATGCACACACATGTACACATCATACATGCACACACGTGCACACACACAAATGCATACACACCCCACATGCATATACGTGCACACACATGGATGCACACACGCATGGACACACACACACCCCACATGCATGTACGTGCATACACATGGACACACACACACCCCCACATGCATATACATGCACACACACGGGCACACATGGATGCACACACACGTACATGCACACACATGTACACATCATACATGCATACACGCACACACACACGAATGCATACACACCCCACATGCATATACATGCACACACATGGATGCACACACGCATGGACACACACACACCCCACACGCATGTACGTGCATACACATGGACACACACACACCCCACATGCATATACATACACACACGGACACGCTCACACACATGCACACACATGAACGCACGCACACCCCACATGCATATACATGCACACACATGGGCACATGCACACACATGCACACAGAAGCCCTCACACACACAGGCACACACGCATACACAAAGCCTCCCTGCCTGTTCCTGTCGTCAGTGGAGCCGAGTGAGAGAGCAGGTGGAGAGGGCAGAGGCCTCCAGAGGCTGAGTGAGGGGCTTGCGGACCCTGAGCTGACTTGGGAGAGGAGGCACCGCCAAGCTCACGGCCACCTCAGAAGCCTCCCACAGACATTGTTCTTTGTTTTCATTACAGGAAGATCTCAATTAAAATAATTACAGTGACAACAAAAAAAATCACAGAAGAGAGACAGAAAAAAGGAGTTCAGTTAAATGCAAATATATTCAGAATGATGTTATGAACTCAGCTCGCCCCTGTAAAATTACCCATTAACCATTACACGCTAATTATCCACCTTTTTATTGTTTTAGAAAGGAAGAGATTCATTCTCCTTCCAGCTGAACAGACATCCAGAAAATGATGCCTGGCTCTTCAGGGTGGACCAAATGCCCCACCTTTTGATTAAATTATAAGGACCCTGGGATTGTTTTGCAGAGCTGAGAGCTTTGCCTTAAAAAACAAACAAACCAACAGAACTGAGTCATGGTTTTCCATTATAGAGATCTTTCACCCTTTTTTTCCCAATAGGGTGATTTGTAGTGGAAGCCCAGGCACCTGTTTGGGGTCTGTCTCCACCTGCAGTGATGCCGGGGCCGGGGAGGGTCTGATGCTTTTTATGAATTGCATCGTTTCCCTCCGCAGTAGTGGTGGATTCAGTTCTCTTCCTCTGCCTGGTGGGCTGCTCTTGGCACCAGCTCCATGCTGAGCCAGGGACGTTCAGTCCTTGTTGCTGCATCAAGGATGGGGGTGGGCACCCTGCAGCCCAGGCCTCAGGTAATGGGCAAGGTAGCAGGTGAGGGGGAAGGCTGGATATCTGGGGTCAGGCAGGACCAACCCTTGTGTCTGTGGAGGAGACTCACTCTGGAGTCCCAGAGCAGTCCTGTTTTCAAAGTCAGCTTCACCTGCAGGATGTGGATTTCCTGCCATTTTGACATTCAGATGGAATCCTTCAAACCCCCTTGTGTATCTAGCAAGAGCCCAGAAATCCTTTGTCAAACCACGTGTTTCAATTTTGGGTGCGGAAGATGTGATCACTCCACTCACGGAGCAGGGTGGGGCGGGAGGCTGTGGAGAGGAGGGGAAAGCTCTGTCTCAGGTGCTGTCTGCATGTCACCCTATGGCTCCCCTTCCCAGCAGTTCTGGGGGTGGGGGCGGTGTCATCCCCTCTGCGGAATAGACAAGCAAACCTCAGGCCTGGGAGGGTGGCTTGTTCAAGGCCAGGCAACTGTAAGTGCTGTTTTCCATCCCAGGTCTGTGAAGCCCCCAAGCTCACGATCCTGCCCTGCTCTGAGAGGCCTCTCAAGGACACTGTTGCATGGTCTGGGAAATTGGGGTGGGTGTGTGGGTGGGTGTCTGAGGCCCTGAAGGTCCCAGGGGCCATCTCTAGCAGATGCCAGCAATGAAGGTTCCCAAGAGTTGGCAGTGAGGTCTCCTTGACGTGGGAAGCGGCGGGGGGTGGGGGTGGGGGTTGCGGATAGAGATGATCACAGACACCCTGGGGGTCTAGGAATTCCTGGCTCGGGGAAGCCAGCCTCTGCTTCCTGAGTGGGGGCAGTGATGGGGAGGGGTGGCAGGGCGGGGGGAGCTACCCTGAGGGAGTGCCCTTCTAATGCTCCTCGGGCACTGACCACTGCTCTGTAGGAGAGACTTTGGGCTGTCAGCCCCAGCCAGAGTCCTGCTGCCTCGGTCTCTCCTCTACTCCTTTGGGGGTCAAGGTCACACCTTGGCCTTTATGCCTGGACTCCCCCAGTCTGCTCTCTGCCGTCAGCAGCCAGGCTTGGTGGAGCTGCCTACCGGTACTCATGTTCCCTGGCACCTGGACATGCCCCTGTCTAGTCCCCCATACCGGCTTATTCTATTTTGTTCTTTGGGGGCCATATGGCCCTACCAGCTCTCCACAGAGGGTTTTCTTACACAGATACACGCCAGGTTCTCCAGTCTCTTGCAGAGGAATGCTGGCCTTTAGGGAGAATTGAGACCATCTTAGAGATGAATGAATGAATGAATGAATGAATGAATGAGTTCACACACATTTGCCAGCATCTCCTACATGCCTGGCACTGTGCTAGGCACAGAAGGAGGAAGGTGGAAGTGGCTTGAGCCAGGTGAGCATCTTTGAGGAGCTCAGGGTTGGTGAAAAACTCTCCATGCCAGAGCTACCTTCCAGGTGGCTTTGCTGGTGAAGAGCCAGCAGCAATCTAGTGGAGAGGTGTGTATTGTCCAGGGAAGTCATTTCCTCAGACTTCTCTAAGGCACAGCCAGGAGGTAGGAGACTGGACTGTTCCATCCCAAGTGCCAGCAGGTCATCCATTGAACACAGCCACCCACATGCACACAAAGTCCACAGAGCGGGCAAGCTGACAAAGAACGCCTCTGTTCCCCAAAAAGTAAAGTCACCCAGGTCGGTAAAATACCTAGCTTGGGATTAATGTCCAATCAACACATGCAAAGTAACTAAGGCAGGGCCCCGGAGACTAGGAACTCATAGGCAGGGTGGGCCTCTTGCAGGGAGCTCCTGAGACGACACGAGGGAGGGAGGACCAAGCGCTCGCGTAGGTGCAGCCTGCAGTGTCTCGGGAGGAGCAGAGAGGAACGCGCAGGCTGGGCGTGCTGGTGTGCGTGCAGGGAACCAAGGGCTCTGCACTTCATTGAAGAGCAACTAAGCGAGTTCAAATCATGGTTTTTGAAAGCCTTCCCTTCTTCCTGGGCTGAGCGGATCCTGGCCTGGTCCTTGACCTCATCATGCTGTTGGTTCTGCACACACCAGAAGCAGCTAGGAAGGAGGGGAACACTGCAGAGCCATTGCAGGCACCTTTTGTTCTAATTTGAGTGGTGGGAGGATTTCCTTGCTATGCTCCACTGTCCGCTGATTCCTAAAGGTGAAACAAGTCGTGTAAGAGAACGAGTCCTTCCCACCCTCAGGGAACGAGGTAGACATGGTTGAATAGATGCTGCCAGTCTGAGATCAGACGGGCATCCCTAACCCACAGCAGGGACTCAGGTGTGGGGGAGCCCTGCCCCTTCTTCCCACCTCTTTTGCCTCTGGGATGTCCCTGGAGGATGTGCATTCAGTGGGGAGCTGGAGGGAGCCTGGAATTTCAGGCATTGCCGTTTTCCGTGTGACACAGCATATTCCATACATTTCTAGCTGTAACTTGGGTCTCGCTTGCTTGGGAAAATGTATCTTCGCTCTGCTGTGCCTAGCATGGCCAGGTGAGTTATGGGGAGGAGGGGCAGCTGGACAAGGTGGTCTTCACCCTGGAGGGCACCAGGCAGGCTCATGGGCCTGGTAAAGGGCGGCCCTGCACGCAACACATTTTACTGAGTCTCGCAGGGGCCATAGGCCGTGGAGGCTGCAGGAGGACCCTGGCCAGGAAGCCAGGGAGTCTGGGCCTTAAGAGCCCATATCAGCTCCCTTCCTGGGCTACGTGCTTTTCACATGGACTTCAGTGAATCCTCATAAGAGAGATGAAACAGCCTCAGAGAGGTTCAGTAATTTGCCTAAGGCCACACAGCTAGTATTCTGCAGTGCTGGAGTTGGAACTCAGGCAGTTTGGCTCAATAGCACTTGACACCTGCCAACCTCCTCAATGCTCCCTGGGCCCCTCCTCCTCAATGTGACTCAATCTGCCCCATTTCCACCCTCCAGACCAAGCCTTCCTCTGTCCCCCATTTGGTTCAAGCCATCTCTAAACTTTGTCTCCCGAGGCTGAGAACTGGCAGGGCCTTCTCCTCATTCCTGGCCCTGGCCCTCCATCCCCCAAGACCCAGGCCTGCTGATCCTCTCTTCCTGCTCCTTTTGCCTGACACTGGCGCCGGTTCAGGCTTCTTTGCCTCTTGCCTCCTGGCTGGTCTTCTGCCCTTCCTTCCTGCCCTCTGTCCTGCCTGCCTTTGTCAAATGCCAGTCCGATGGGGATTCTTCCCACTGCACAAAGGCCAAACACCGGACTCTGCAGGGCGCACTCAGCTTCCAACCTGACGATTCTGTCTCTCCCCCTTGGTGTTTTCCACCGGGACGCTGCTCAACAACCTGTTGTTCTCATAATGTACTTTGTTGTTGCATGACTCCATTCCTTACTCGTGCTTCCTCTGCCCAGAGCACCCTCCCTTACCCTTTGTCTGCTTGGCAAACTCCTATTCATACGTCAAAACCCAGCCTCCAAGTTACCCTCCTCCATTCTCTCTCCTCCCTTGAGCTACTTCTTACTACCTAGAACATATTCTATCTTTGTCCTTGTCACTTATTGTTAATCTGCTCACCAGTGTCCACTCCCCTTTGGACTCTGAGCCCCCCACAGAGGCAGAAAGTGGTGTCGGAAGCATCTCTGCTTTCCTAGTGTCTAGCAGGGCCTGGCCCTCAGGGCCACTGGTTGAGTGGAATCGAGCAACCTCAATCCTTCCCCACTCCTGCTGTCCCTTCGTCCCTCAAGGAGGCTCCTACTCGTCTGTCAATTTGCAGACATCTGGAGTCCACCTGCGGTTTATTACAGGGCTTGGGTCTCTCCTGCCATCTCCCGCTAGATGACCATCTCTCTTGTGGCCTGAGTCCTCTGGCCACTTCTCCACTCAAATATTTGGTCATGGGTGAGGTCAAAAACCAAGATGCAATTTTTGCTCTGTAGAAGGGACGTGTTCTAACCAAGTTGGCTGAAAAGTGATTTTCTGCAAAGTAGAATAATTGGACGAGTGTTCCCACGGCAACAGTGCCTTTTCTGGAAACCGTTTGGGGTGAGGCAGGGCCTGGCAGAAATTGTGATGCCACCTGCCTAACAGGCCACACTGCCTCCATGCCCTTTCCTGGCTCCGGGGCACCCTTTACGGCCCTCCCCTTGCTTCCTTAGGCCCCAGAGATCATTTCCATGCAATGCTGGAAGAGGTCCTGAGTGCACATACAGTTCCCAGAATCTGTCCTCTGCCCCCTCCACTAACAGAAAATAGGATTTTTTTTGAGACAGACTCTCCCTCTGTTGCACAGTCTGGAGTGCAGTGGCGTCATCTCGGCTCACTGCGACCTCAGCCTCCCGAGTTCAAGCAATTCTTATGCCTCAGCCTCCGGAGTAGCTGAGATTACAGGTGCCTGCCACCATGCCTGGCTAATTTTTGTATTTTTAGTAGAAACAGGGTTTCACCATGTTGTCCAGGCTGGTCTTGAACTCCTGACCTCCGGTGATCCACCCACCTCAGCCTCCCAAAGGGCTGGGATTACAGGTTTGAGCCACCACAACTGGCCAGAAAATATGATTTTTAATCATAGTATTTTACAGTGCCTGCATTAACAGTGTACAGGGTGCTTTCATAAGGGCTGCCATGGAATTCTCCGAAAACGACCTGGGAAGCTTTATGACATGAAAATGCCCATTTGACAGAGGCGGGAACCGAGGCTTGCAGTGATGAAGGGACTGGGAGCGCAGAGGCCAGAGGTGTGGCAATGCCAGGTGGGTGCGGCCCCAATCTCTCCTGAGCACAGGGCACAGGGCACTCTCCTTACTTTGCTGGGAGGGGTGACCTTCCCTCGACCTCCTTTGTCCAGCTGGGGAATTCTGGTGACCACACCCTCCTGGCAGAGGTGGGAAGAGACAGGCTGCTCCCACGAGTGGGCAGTTCTTGGCTGTTGCTTCTCATCAGCTTCCCTGTGAGATTTCGTCAGCACCTCCTCCCTCTCCACTGCCGGAAGAATCCAGGGCTACCAATAAAAATGACAATTGGGTGAGGAGGGCTCTAGCCCGTGCTTCACTGTTTGTCCTTTGGTCCGGGAAGGGGTCTGAGCAAGAGGCACCGTCTTGCCTGTTCGGAAGGGTCTGAGTGTATGTGTGCAAGGATGTGTGAATACATGCGTGAGGGTGTGTGTGTGAGTGTGAGTGGAGGAGCGGGGGGGCTGGGGTGTCTCCAGAGGGCAGCAGCGCATGGGCCTTGGGGTCTCTGGGATCCCCCTCTCGAGGCCCGCATTTGGTGTGGAGAGAGGAGATTAAGGGGAGGCGTGCGCCTCCAGGGAAGTGGCCGGGCACTTCATTTCCCTCTGACAGCTCATCGGTATTGAGGTCACACCGTTTCTCAGGTCAGGATGGAGATTGGGTCTCACAGCCACACACTCCCATCCCAAGATCTCTTCCCACCTGAGGTCCTAGATTCCCCAGCACAGACACAAACCGTCCATGCTGTGGATGGTTTCATCCAAATTCACGACCCACAGATGAGCATCATAAAATGGCCATTTGACACCACCAAGTTGGGGGCTGTTATTTGTGCAGCAAAAGATAACTGGGGCACATCTGCACCTGTGTCTCTAGGGCAAGGCTTCCCCTGAGCCCCTGGCATGTGCACCTTACTGCCTACTGGATGCCGACTCTTCCCAGAATCCAAAAGCTCACAGAATCTTCCCCAAGTGCATCGGCCCAGAGCATCCAAGGTGAAGCCATTATCTTCTCATCCAAATCTGAAACCACTGGTGACCTGGACAAAATTGGACCAAGTGAGGCCCATGACCACCTGGCAGGAGGGCAGGTGCGGGCGAGATGGGTTTCCAGCTGTCCATGTATGTGCTTGCCCTGTTTTTTGTTTTTTTTTTTTGTTTGTTTGTTTTTGTTTTTTGAGACATGGTCTGGATCTATAGGCTAGGCTGGAATGCAGTGGGGCGATCTCGGCTCACTTCAACCTCCACCTCCTGGGCTGAAATGATCCTCCCACCTCAGCCTCCCAAGTAGCTGGGACTACAGGCGTATGCCACCATGTCTGGCTAATTTTTGTATTTTTTTTGTAGAGACGGGGCTTTGCTATGTTGCCCAGGCTTGTCTCAAACTACCGATCTCAAGTGATCCTCCTGCCTCGGCCTCCCAAAGTGCTGGGATTACAGGCATGAGCCACCATGCCCAGCTGCCCTGACTGTTATGACCAGGAGAGGACATCTGCTGGAGACCGGCCGAGGTGAAGTCTTTGACCATGGCCAAAAGTGAAAGCCACAGCCCACTCTTGGTCTCTCCCCCTGGGCTGGCCACCTGCAGGGACCGTGTGGCACTGGGCTCCCTCTGTGCATGAAGGGCTGTGCTCCTTGGTCCCTGGAGGGAGTGGCGGCCGTGTGGTGTGCCTTGGCGATGAAATGTGAATACAGCAATGCTGGCCACATCCTCTAGGGAGCATTGAATGCTTGCGTGACACTCACCAAGGTCGTGGAGGCCCAGTCATGCCCCAGAGGTCACCCAGAGCCTGGTGCCCCTTACAGGAGCCAGAAATAAACCTGTGCTGTTTTCCATCCTTTGACTTTCAGCATTTCTGTGATATCATAAGGAGCATATAGTTTGATTAAAAAAAATCGAGTCTGAAAATCTTCATCTTTGAATTGGAGTATTCAGTCCAATTTTCGCCATATTAGTCCAACCTTTAACACTTGTTATATATTGTTTAATAAATGTTGGCATGTTGGTTGAACATTTAATCCAATAACTGATTTGTTTGGGTTTAAACATACCATCTTACTGTGGGTTTTATATTTATCCCATCTATTCTATGTTCATTTTTTTCTTTCCTTCCTTGCCTTTTTTTTGGGATGAAATGAGTAAATCCTATTATTTCATTTCCTCTGTCATTAGCTTGTTAGTGAGACTGTCTTTTACTATTCTTGCAGTGGTGATTCTACTTGAGGTTATAGCATGCATCTTTGATTTACTGAAGACTAATATAGAGCAAAACTTTTACCACTTCCCAGACAAGGCCAGAACTTTGGAAAGCTTTTACACTATTTACCCCTCCTGCCTTTTTATGCTATTGTTTCCTTGTCATTTAATCCTTTTTATGTTTTAACCTGAATTTTTATTGCCTATTCATTTTGTTTTATGTAGTAAAAATTCATTTATATTTGCCCAAATGTTTACCTTTTCCAGGGATTTTCTTTATTGCCTTATTTTTTTAGTTTCCATCTGGGATTACACTCCTTTGCTCAAAAATCTCCTCTTTACCTATCTTTTAGTGTGAGTTGTTGGCAATAAATTCTTTCCTTTTTTTTTTTGAGGGGAAGTCTGGAAATGTCTTTATCTTACCCTCACTTTTATTTCTTTACTTCATTATAACAAAGAAAAGTGTTTATTGCATGCTGCTAAATGAATAAGGTAAAAACACACACTTACACAACATTAGTGTACAAGTGTGCAAAAAGATGATCAGAAATAAAAACACTTTACATAAACTTGGAGTTGTGGGGTTGTGGGTATTTTACATTTTTCTTCCTTACTTTTTTTCTATATTTTTCTAAATTTCTTATAATAATTATATATTCCCTCTTGTAATTAGAAAAAACTTTAGGTATACTAAATAAAGGTGTGAGTCATTGCTTAGAGAAAAGCCGGGAACGCCGGGAAAGCCGGGGATCTGTAATCTTACATCTGAGGGTTCTCTGGGCTTTAAAAAAATTATTCACCACCTACTGTGCATTTGGCACTAAATATTAGCTCTTTCTCTCGAATTTGTCTTGTAAAAATTATAGTTTAGCTTCCATGTTATATGTAAATTATTTATTAAAGTCTAGCATACATACAGAAAGTCACATACATTATAAATGCACAGCTTGATACATTTTCACTAAGTGAATATAGCTATGAAACCAGATCCCAGATCAAGAAACAGAACGTTACCAGTTCCCCAGAACCTCCCCCTTCCCCCGCCCGCCTGCTGCCTCCCAAGGCTCTTCTCATCACTATTGCTCCTAAGGTAAACACTGCCCTGGTTTCTGACAACAAAGGTTAGCTTGTTGTTGTTTTTGTCTCTGCCATCTTCATTCAGTGTCTGAAAGATTCTTCCAGGCTGTTAGGTATAGTCCTAGTTCATTCATTCTCATTGCCATGTAGCATTCAATGTTATAAATCTTACCACAGTTTATCTCTTCTAATGTTGATGGGTGCTGAGCTGTTTCCAGGTTTTTTTGTTTGTTTTGTTGTTGTTTTTATTTATTTATTTATTTTTATTTTTTGACGGAGTCTCGCTCTGTTGCCCAGACTGCTGGAGTGCAGTGGTATGATCTCAGCTCACTGCAACCTCTGCCTCCCGGGTTCAAGCAATTCTCCTGCCCCAGCCTCCCAAGTAGC
The DNA here is from genome assembly GCF_000001405.40 of Homo sapiens. Taxonomy (NCBI): domain Eukaryota; kingdom Metazoa; phylum Chordata; class Mammalia; order Primates; family Hominidae; genus Homo; species Homo sapiens. Next base: position 77,819,311 of record NC_000017.11, on the reverse strand, counting down.
AGGGACTACAGGTACGTGCCACCATGCCCTGTTAATTTTTGTATTTTTTGTAGAGACAGGGTTTCACCATGTTGGCCAGGCTGGTCTCGAACTCCTGGCCTCAAGTGATCCACCCGCCTTTGCCTCCCAAAGTGCTGGGATTCCAGGCGTGAGCCACAGCGCCTGGTCTGTTTCCGGTGTCTGACATTAGTATAATAGTATTTAACATTGCCGTGAACCCTCTTGTGCATATCTCTTGGTGAACAAATGTTTGCATTTCTATTGGGTCCATTCACCTTGCTTTTGAAGGATATTTTAGTTTTCTAGTCAATTTTTGGTTTCTTTTGGAATTTTAAAGATGTCATTCCATTCCACGTTTGTGTTGAGAATCAGCTATCATTTGAATTCTTGATCCTGTGAAGCTAATATGTTTTTGTTGTTGTTGTTGCTTTTGATATATTCTTTTTGTCTTTGCCTTTCAGCAAGTTTATGATGATGTACCAGGGAGACTGTGAATATGTGTGTGTGTGTGTGTGTGTGTGTGTGTGTGTGTGTGTGTGTGTGTGTGTTTATAATGCTTCTGCTTGGGGTTCTAAGTGCTTCTTGAATATGTGTCTTGATGTCTTTTGTCAGGTTTGAAAATTCCCAGCCGGTATCTCTTCAGATATTGCCTCTGCCTCTCCACCTACCTCCTCGTGGCCTGTGCCACTTCGAAACCGCTGAGTGCCTTGCAAACAACAGTGGCCCAGTGTGTCGAACTGACTTCTCTGGGCATCTTCTTTTCTCTCTGGGATCCTGTTGTCTCCTGATCCCTATAAATCCTGGCTTCCTAAATAGATCTGAATTCCAATGCTTGGCATCCAGCCCCATGGGATGGCTGAAACGGCTCAGTTTCTCCGTCTCTTAGGGGCTGTTGTCTTGTGAGCTTCTTGGCCCTCTGTCCAAGCCATTTATGGATCAACAGACACCCCAGGAAGGAAAGAAGTGTAGAATGTCATGATTAGCCCATGGGGTCTCCCTTCACTCTGGGGTCCTGGCCTGCCTGTTCAAGTCCTCCTGCCTTGAGAGCTCCTGGGTGTCTCACGTTACCCAGCTTTCTAGCTCTCAGTGGGGGACTGGTTGTCCATAGCGAGCCTGTCCCCTAGCACATCCTGACGAATGCAGCAGGGATCTCTGGTGTGCCTGTGGGCTCATTAAAAGAGAATGTAACTGTGGTTTTAGTCACAATGCCAGGAGGCCCCTGCAAGAGCTTCTAAGCCCTGAGGTTGGTATGTCCTCATGGATTAGTTCAGGGGGTTACAATGGAAACATTTGTTCCCTGAGAATCATGCCAGGGTCTTCAGTCTCCTTTAATTTATAGGAGAGTCTATTTCGGATTTTGGAAATCCACTTGATTTTCTGTATATTTATGAAGTGGCATTATCTATACAGCAGAAATGATAATTTATCCACAAATATTAAGCATCATGAAGTCTATCATATAAATCTGATGAGCAACTTATGGTTGGTAATTTTAGGATTGGCACAATACATTTATTTTTAATTTTAACCTTTTTTATAATTATAAAAGGAAGCTATACTCATTTATAAGAAAATTTTAGGACAACAGATATATAGGAAGAAAAAGTGAAAGCTTTCACAATCCTATCAATTTCAGTAACTATTAGTAATATGACATTTTAATCTGTATCATTTTCTGTGGATAGTAACACATATATGTATTGAAAAATAGAATTAGACTGTATATATTGTTCTGCAGTTTGCTCTTTTCATTCAGAAATACACTGCAGACATCTTCTGTGCTCAAGATCTCTTGATCTGTTTAAAGGTTATATAGTACTCCACTGCATGGCTGTGCCATAACTGATTAAGGGAAACCCTTATTGATAGACATTTATTGTGCATAAGTTAATATAAGGCAAGATTTAAAAATAATTCCCTCGAAAATAAAGATTATCTTACATTTCCTCTATTAGACTTTACTCAATGGTATTGTAAATAGAACTTTAAATAGTATTTTAAAGTGCAATACATAATCCCAGCACTTTGGGAGGCCTCTTGAGCCCAGGAGTTCAAGACCAGCCTAGGCAACATGGAGAAACCTGGTCTCTACCAAAAAACATACTAAAAATTAGCTGGCCTGGTGGTTCGTGCCTATAATTCCAGCTACTTTGGGAGGCTGGGGTGGGAGGATCACTTAGACCTGGGAGGTTGAGGCTGCAGTGAGCTGTGATCGTGCCACTGCACTCCAGCCCGGGTGATGGAGTGAGACCTTGCCAAAAAAAAAAAAAAAGCAATATGGTAAGTAAGTAGCTACCTCTCTTGTGGAAAGCATGAATATTCCCTTGCAAGATGAATGGATGAAACAAAACCAAATGAAAGCCTGTCCTCATATGAAGTAAATGTTCCCCGATGGCCCAGAATAAAATCTCCACTGAGATGGCACATTCTGAAAATTACTCAATGACCCAAAAGGGGATTTGTGGTGCCCAGGACGCTCAGTTAAAAATGAACGGAAAGAGGTTATTTCACAAAATATAGGGGTAGAAAAAAAGCAATATTTCTGAATTATTATTTTATATAACATGCTTTAAAATATGTAACTAAATAAAAAATAAGTATTATTAGGTAATATTTGAGTATTCTATTCTCACCCTAAAAAGTGTGAATTCTAATTGGCCAAAAAAATCCCCAAACAAACAAACTGCCTTTCTTTGGTGCCTTTTCATTTTGTTCACTTGCTCTTTGGGTCTGCCTTGTCCTGGGGGCACAGATGATCCATCCCTTGCTCCCAGTTTCTTTTGTTATTATGAGCAACACTGAATTAAATATTATTTATTATTATTTTTTTTTTGAGACGGAGTCTCGCTTTGTCGCCCAGGCTGGAGTGCAGTGGCGCGATCTCGGCTCACTGCAAGCTCCGCCTCCCGGGTTCACGCCATTCTCCTGCCTCAGCCTCCCGAGTAGCTGGGACTACAGGCGCCCGCCACCACGCCCGGCTAATTTTTTGTATTTTTAGAAGACACGGGGTTTCACTGTGGTCTCGATCTCCTGACCTCGTGATCCGCCCTCCTCGGCCTCCCAAAGTGCTGGGATTACAGGCGTGAGCCACTGCGCCCGGCTCAATTAAATATTCTTAAACTTTGTATACTTGAAGGTAAATTTGTAAAAGTGCTATGTCAATGGAATGACCACTTTAAAATGTTATATATATTGTCAAATTATCCTCATAAAGCTTACAGCAACTTACACTCCCGAAACAGTGTTTGACTGTATCTAGGGGCAACATTTTGTTAAAAGCAGTAGTTTCTGAGCATTTCTCATAGAATTGGCTTAGGCCTTTGGGACTGAGAGCAGGGGAATAATTCCAGGTCCCAGGCATTCACAGGGGCAGGAGGAAGGCTTCCCTGGGACCAGCCACCAGGCTGGAGACTGCAGGGCCAGAGGTAAGGCACCAAGCCTGGTGCAGACCCAGATCCCAGGCATGGCCTATGTCTAACCTGCCCGTCTCTGGCAAGTAGCTCTGAATGTTGGGCTGCTTCAGAATGAAAGCCTGACCTTGGACCCCGTAATCTCTGAGAAGCTCTCCCAAGTGGTGAATGTAGAGGATGGTGAGTTAAGCGCCCTGTTGTTATGGGGCCAGTGGGAGGCAGGCTGGTATTTCTCAGGCTCAGATCACAGCACAGATTATAAAAAGTCCCTCAGGCTGCCACGAGAAACTTTGGTCATAGCTAAGTTCACTCAGGCCCCAGCCAGGGGAAAGTCTCAACTGTGTAGACAGAGGTAGTTCCAGCAGCTGGCCTGGGACCCCATAAGTTCTACCCCTGGAAAAGGAATTAAGGGGGGTGGTCTCTGTTGCCCTGTGAGGTCTCCATCACCACCTCTTGCAGGTCTCATCGCCCAGCTAGCCGAGAACACGCTGACAGCTCTTCCCCTCCGCCACCTGTCTATGGTGTTGAAGCATTGGAAGGGGAAGGACCGTGTCCCGGTCAGGATTTAGAGTGACCTTCTCTAAAGCCTGAGAATGCAGGGCGTCTACACCTGCTGTCTGGGGCTGCCAGGCACTGACAGTGCAGTGAAAAATCCCAACAGGAAGTTGCAGAAGGGATGCTTGAGATTCATGCAGCTATGTTCTTACTTATAAGTGAGAGCTGAACACTGGATTCACATGGTTATAAAGACGGAACAATAGACACGGGGGACTCCAGAAGTGGGGAGGGAGGGAGGGAGGGAGCCGAGGCTTGAAAAACTACCTATTGGGTGCTATATTCACTATTTGGGTGACGGACTCAGTAGAAGCTCAAACTCCAGCATCATGAAATATATCCACATAACAAACCTGCACATGTACTCTCTGAATCTAAAACAAAAATTAAAAAGAGGCCGGGTGTGGTGGCTCACTCCTGTAATCCTAGCGCTTTGGGAGGCCGAGGTGGGTGTATCACCTGTGGTCAGGAGTTCGAGACCAGCCTGGCCAACACGGCGAAACCCTGTCTCTACTAAAAATGCAAAAATCAGCTGGGCGTGGTGGCGGGTGCCTGTGAGCAGAGATCGTGCCTTTGTGCTTTGCCTGGGCAACAATAGCAAAACTCCATCTCAAAAAAAAAAAAAAAAAAACTAAACTAAAAAGAAAGAAATTCGTGTCTACAATTAATTTAGGAGTTAAGCATGTGAGAGAAGTGTGTGTGCATACATGTTGCATGTACATGTGTGCATGTTTCTATGTGTGTGTGTCATGTGCCACACATGTGCATGTGGACGCCCATACATGTGTACAGGGCATGCAATGGAAATACACATGGAAAGACATGGAATGGAAATGCAAATGTAAATAAAATAGAACCTTTGTCCTCCAGCAACACATGGTGGGATAGAGGTTGGAAAGTGTACGCGTAACAAACCACCTCAACATTTAATGGCTTAAAATAACATTGATTATTTCTGTTTTCTGTGGATTGGCTGGGCAGTTCTTTTCTAGGCTGTTTGGCTGATTCGTATGGCAAGCTGTTGGCTCGGCTGGCGCTGGGGCTCTGGGGTGGCTTCGCTTGCCTTCTGGCAGGTGGCAGGCTTGTTGGTCTAGAATTGCAGCTGAGATGGCCCATCTCTGCTCCATGTTGCTTCTCATCCTCCAGGAGGTGACCTGGGCTTCTTCTCAAGGTAGTTTCAGGGCTCCTAGTACACAAGCACTTTCGAAGCCTCTGATGGTGCCACACTTGCCATTCTTTCATTGGCCAAAGTCAAACACATGGCCAAGCCCAGAATCAGTCAAGGAGGGGGCTACTCAGGGCACGGGTACAGGCAGGCATGAATTAATTGGAGGCCATTATTCCAACGATGTATCCCAAAGGGGCAAGAAGATAGAATCTATTTTGGCAGGCAAATGATAAAAATAACATTCTAAAAGTTCACCATCTTAATAACAAAAAGTCCTACTTAACGCCCAAGTTAGACAAGGAGTGGTCAGTTTAGGAATTGGCTTTCTGCCAGGATGTACCCCTCTCTGACTCAGAGGTTTAATTATGAGCTTTTCTCTGTCCTTGCCCCTTCCAGCCTGTATTATTAGTCTGTTCTCACACTGATAATAAAGACATACCCAAGACTAATTTATAAAGGGAAGAGATTTAATTGACTCACAGTTTCATATGGTTGGGGAGGCCTCACAATCATGGCAGAAGGCGAATGTGGAGCAAAGTCACATCTTACTTGGCGGCAGGCAAGAGAGCATGTGCAGGGGAACTACCCTTTATAAAATACTCAGAACTCGTGAGATGCATTCACTATCACGAGAACAGTATGGGGGAAACTGCCCCCATGATTCAATTATCTTCTCCTGGCCCTGCCTTGACACATGGGGATTATTACAATTCAAGATGGGATTTGGGTGGGGACACAGCCTAACCATATCACAGTCTCTATCCTGTATGTATAATTAAAAGGCGATTACAGCTGTTTTTGGCTTAAAAAATTAAACATGACCATCTTGCTCTAAAAAACATCCCTAGATGGCCCCAAATAGAGAAAATCACAAGTAAAGTGGCATAGACAAGAAGAACTAGATGGAAAAGACAAGGCAGGTACAGGGAAAAGGACTATAAGGTGGGAGGCTCGGTGAAACACCTGCTTCCTAGGGTCAAGTAAAGATCAAAGCTCAAGGAATGTCTACCTGAACGGAAACTCCTTTTATTCATTATCTATGGCTGCATCACAAATTTCCTCAAAACTTAAGGGATTCAAATAATAATAACTATTTGTTATTGCCCATAGTTTCTGTGATTCAGGAAATTCAGGAGCAGCTTAGCTGGGTGGTTCTAGGTTGGCATCTCTCCTGAGCCTTTTGTCAAGATGTTGGCAGGGCTAGAGTCATTTGAAGGCTTAACTGGGGTGGGAGAGTCTGCTTCCAAGATGGCTCATTCATGTGGTGAGCAAGTAGTTGCTGGCTGTTGGCTGGAGGCCTCAGTTCCTCTTCATGTGGAATTTTCCATGGGGCTCTTGAGTATCGTCACAATATGGCGGCTCTTTCCCTAGAGGAAGGGATGCAAGAGAGAGCAAGTGAAGGCTGCAATGTGCTTATGACCTAGCTTTGGAAATCACAGGCCTTTGGGGTAAAGAAGGCCTGGAAGGTGGCTATGGTCTTTGGGTTCTCCAGGGTACAGTCCATAGGCACCTCCCACCCTAGAGCCCAACCCCATTGGTGTTGGCCCTGAACCCAACCTCCACGTTCTGGCTGATACCCCAGTGGCTGCTCTCTGGGCCCTGATCAGCCAACAAGTACTCTATGACCTACAAATATGCTAGTGACACACAGACTCCAACGGCTGGACTAGCTCAGACTTCAGTGAAATAGACATCAGCCAGGTGAGGAGCTCAGCTTGCCATCTGTCTCCCTGGGCCATACTCATTGATGACGAGGTCAATTTCTGCTTTTGCCATCTTCCCACAGAGGGCCCAGCAAGCTTGGCCGCTGAGCTTTCTTGGGACATGGTGACTTCCTTCCTAGAAGGAAGTCCCTGCTACTTTCTGCCAGTGCTCAGGTTAGAGATGGGATTGCTTGTGTGTGGTCTCATTTCCCTTCCTGACCCCCAGGACAACCTTTCCTTATTCACTGTGACACTGAATGCCACACCTTAGACAGTAGTTGCTTGACGTATTTTGCCGAATGGATGAAAAGCACCCCAGAGACCCCACAGTGCCCTGGGGCATCATTCTCACTGTATTCTATGTGGCTCTACCCCAGCCCCAACCCATTTCCAAATCCCTCTCTGTACACTGACCACAGAGAAGTAGAATGATTTGCAGGGAGGCTGAGCATTTGGGGAGGAGGACATCTCAGGAGGAAGGAGGTGGTGGCCCTGGCAGATGGTCTTCGTGCATGGGACCGGATGTCCAGTCCCTCAGCTCCAGCCAAGGCAATACAGATTCTCCTGGGGACCTGAGGCGGACTCCTCCACATCTTATTTCTAAGCACAAATCCATCTCCATCCCCTTTTGCCTCCTCCGCATGCTCGTTCCTGCCGGCTCAGCACCCTGGAGGGAAGTGGGATATGGCCCAGCAGGTCACCTAGAATAAAGTAAGTCATCAGAAAAGGTCCCTGATTCATCAGAGGGCTTTGGCTGCCAAGCAAATGCTCTTGAAAGCTTGCTTTCTTCAGCTGCTGCGTCTCAGGGGCAGGGACTTACAGTGTTTGCTTTTCAGCCAACCACCCTCTTGACTCAGAGGCTGAAGTGCCCAGGAAGCAGGGGCAGAAGGCCCCAATGTAAGGTGAGCATGGGGTGAAGTGAGCCCCGAATTTGGGAGAGCAAAGTATGGCTCTGCCTAGCCAGACGACCTCTGGATTTGGGAACACGAATATGATAATAAAAACAATATGTGCTCCTCAGTGATGACACTGATTGAACCTTTCCCTGGGTCAGGCATTGGGCTGATGGTTTTGCAGGTTGTCTCTTCCTTAATCCTCACATCACCCTCAAAGGGTGTCTGTTAATGCTCCCATTTGGATGATAAAAAAGCAGAGGTTGCCTGAGCCGGATTTGCCAGTTCTAGAGTTTGATCTCTTCACTGGCATGAGATGCTGCTTCTTGGCCCCAGGGTCTGTCCTTGAAGCAAATGAAGTCCAACCTGCACAAGCATCCCCAGGGTAGGGACACGTGGACTGCTGGGGGAAATCACAGGGAAGGGGTGAGAATGGAGCCGTCTTCCTTTTCTGAATGAGGGTGGTGCCCTGAAGATTTATCCCGCCCCTTGCTGGTGCAAGGTTGTGGAGGGCCCAAGAGTAGCAGGCACATCTGGGCACATGGAGGCTGGTATGAGCATGTGGGTGTGGAATACAGAAGACCCTAAACAAGAACTGAGATCTGAACCTTTCACAAGGTAATGCCCCAAATAGCAGAGCAAGTGATGCAAAGGATTTCATAACTGTGGTGTCATGCCCCAGAGATGCAGCTGACCAGCCTGGAGCCTTCTGTCTCATCTGGGCCTTTTGTTTTCTGTCCTTCTGCAACTGGAGACAAGCTTATTCTCAGCCCCTCAGCCTGGATTGGTGTCCTGGCTGGGCTCCGAAGAGCAGAAAGGCCATGCATGTTCTCTTTCCTTTACCCATGCCAGAAGCTGTGTGAGTCATGTGTTTGTATTTTTAGCAACACATAGGAATTGCTGCATGACAAATAATTGGGGGGGGGGAGTGGAGACACTTGCAAAATTAACATAACAAAGGCAGTTATTTGGATCTAACTCTCAGGGATAGAGGCAGCCTGGCAGTGCTCCTTGATCCAGGAAAGGCAAGAGAAATGAAGGGCTGACGGTGGGGTTGCCGGTGCCCCAGGAGTGGAGGCACCCAAAGGTTTTCTATGGGTAGCAAAGGAAAATAGCTTTTCCGGGTGGGCAGCTGGCATGGTCCTGGAGACCTGGGCATTGTATGTGCTGTTCTAGTGTGATCACAGCAAGTTTGCTTCACTTAGAAAGGCTAGAGAATGTGGATTTCTTCCTGTGGACTCCCTAGGCCCCTAAATGAGCCCCACAGCCTCCTGGGAGTCTTGCCCATTTCAATCACTTGTTATCTTCACCATCACCCCGTTACCACCACCATCATCGCCACCATCACCATCATCACCACCATCACCATCACCATCACCATGATCACCACCACCATCACTATCACCATCATCATCACCATCACCATCATCATCACCATCACCATCATCACCACTATCACCATCACCACCACTACCATCACCATCACCAGCATCACCTCCATCACCATCACCACCATTATCATCACCATTACCATCACCACCATCATCACCATCATCACCATCATCACCATCACCACTATCACCATCACCATCGCCATCACCATCATCACCACTATCACCATCACCATCACCTTCATCACCACTGTCACCATCACCATTATTACCACCGTCACCATCATCATCACTATCATCACCATCACCATCATCACTAACTACCATCACCATCACCACTACCATCATCACCATTACCATCATCACCACCATCACCATCATCTTTACCATCATCATCATCATCATCACTATCATCCATGGAGAGTTTGACATGTCCATCTTCCTGAACATGTTGCACACATTATCTGATTGAATTTATCCTTCATAACAGCTGTGGGGAGTACATGAAAATGATCCCATTTTGCAGAGGCAAAAACTGAGGACCAGAGAGATTTGGGTCTGACCTCAAAGATGGATAATCCCGAGAATGGGAGGAATTACCAAGGGCTCTCTGGATGCCCTAGTCTCAATCATGGCCTCCTCAGAGTTATACTGAGTTATGCATGACCACAATAGCATGGGCAGAGAAAAGGGGAATGAATATTCCTAGAACTTGGGGCCTGCCTCCCAACCACCCCCCTATTTTTTCTTTTGAATCTTTACTACATTGGTGAAAATCATATGGAAATATCTGTAGATCCTGAGCAGGGTCTAGGTAGCAAATAAACAGAGTAGGGTGTGAAGGGACAAAGTTCTTAGTGGCTGCGGCCCACCTGGCCTTCTGGAGTTTGGCGAGGGAGAACCTGGGATGCGGTGAGGACACTCAAGCCCTGGTCCCACCTTGGCACTCACCCACCTTGTGACCTTGGGTCAGGCCCAGAGGCTGGCTCTCTATCAGTCCAAAGAGGTGAGCAGGGCCTGCCCTGAGTGTGGAGGGAGCAGCAAATGAAACCAAGCCCATACCCCCAGCATTGCACATTTCACCCTGTATGAGTGTCCTGTGGCCGCCGTAACAAATTAGTGCAGGCTTGGTGGCTTCAAACAATGGAAGTTTATTCTCTCACAACTCTGGAGGCCTCAAGTCTGAAATCCGGTAGGGCCATGCTCCCTCTTGGAGGCTCTAGGGGAGAACCCTTCCTTGCTTCTTCCAGTTTTTGCCGGCTGCTGTGTTCCTTGGTTTGTGGCCATATCACTCCAATCTCTGCCTCCGTGGTCACATGACCTCCACCTCTGCTGTCTGCATAATCTCCCTCTGCCTGTCTTTTATAAGGATACCTATGATTGGACGTAGGGCCCACCCACAAATTCCAGGATAATTATCTCATTTGCATCACACTTTAATTCACAGAGCACTTTCCCATCTTTCATTTATTTTGTCCCCTCCACAAGCCCGTCAGATAAGCAGGGAAGACATATGTTTACCCTTCTTGTATGTGCATCACGCTTGGACAATTCACTAGTGGGTTGTCAAATGACTATAGAGGGATACTGAGGCCCAGAAACCTTATACCAACTGTCTAAGGGGCCAGAGTTTGAGCAGACTCAGAAGGGTGGTCTCCTCATCTCAAGACCTTCCACTTAATTACATCTGCAAAGACCCTTTTTCCAAATAAGAGCTCAGTCACAGGTTCTGGGGATTAGGACATGAACACACCTTTTTGGGGACCATTATTCAATCCACTACATACTTCCTGCTGAAGACATGTGGGGTCCCACTGCTCCTGAGAAAAGTGGAAACTTCTGACCTTGACACCCAAGATCCTCTTTAGCCTGGTTCTTCATCCCCTCTCCAACTTTATTATCTATTACGAACCTGCAAAACATGAAGCTTATACAAGCCCCCATCATCATCATCATCATCATCATCATCATCATCATTAGGGATGTCTTCTAGAAGGTAATAGTATCCAAGTAGAGTCCTGACTTAGAAGTTAGTCTTCTAACTCCTTTTGAGCCTGCTCTGACTCTGGCCTCTTGGACAGTTGACCTAAGGTATTAGGGCCTCAGTTTCCCTCTGCAATCACTTGACAACCCATTTAGTGAGCTGTCCAAGTGTGACGCACATACAGGAAAGGTAAACGTATGTCTTCCCTGCTTATCTGACAGGGTAATGGAGAGGACAAAATACATGAAAGATGGAAAGCACTCTGTGAATTAAAGTGTGACGCAAATGAGGTGCATGCACGATCATTCTCGTCTCCTGGGATTTGGCCACCTGGATGCTGGAATGATCCTGAGCTTCCTGAGGCAACCTTGGCATTTATAACAAGTCAGCACCCTTTGCTTCTGGGAAGAAAAGCACGAGGTTTCTGAGGGTTGGAATAATGCAGAGAGGTAGCTCCTAAATTGTCTGCTTCTGTGAGCTCAGGGCTGTTTCACTGTCTCTGGCCGCTTGGCATCGTTGTGTTGAGGGCCCCCTCACAGACATCAGTGGTGTCTGTACTAGGGTGGCACTGGAGATCCAAGCCAGACCCTCAGAGCCAAGCCTTTGCTCCAGCCTACCTGGAGAAGATGGCTGTGGCCCTAGAGACCCTCCCGGTCACCCCCAAACCAGCAATGCAAAATTTATTCCTACTGTTATTAACAGTATTGGGCATTGCAGGAGCCGTTGCCAGTCTCCATCACTTGGTCACACGTGACCTGAATCCCTAGAGGAGGTGAGGCAGGAGCTGATGGCTGGTCACTGAAGCCCATATCCAGCCCAGTGCATATCACAGCCAAGTGGAAAGATGGGGAGGGAACTGGGGAGACAGGATGGGAGGCATGGCGACCTGGGCTGTTCCAGCTCCACCTGCCCTGGCATCCTCCCAGTTTCATCATCTTGGTGGACTGTCCTTTGCAAAGCCCCTTGCCTCTGTCCAGCCTGCACACCCACGTCGGCACCCCTGAGTACCCCAACCTCTCAGGCCCCACAGCATCTCAAAACGGTTCATTGGAATTGCCCTGGGTTTTCTTTTTTTTTTTTTGTAAGTGTGAAAATAGCATAACGGCCTTGCGGGTGACCCTTGAATAATGTGGGGGTGAGGGGCGCTGGCCCTTAGAGACCCCGATGCAGTGGAGAATTTGAGTATAAATTTCAATTTCTCAACACTTAATTACTTGATCAGAAGCCTTACCAATATCACAAGCAGTCAACGAACACCTACTTTGTATGTCTTTATGTGTTATATGCTCTATTCTTACAATAAAGTAAGCTACAGAAAAGAAAACGGTATTAAGAAAATTGTAAATAGCAGGCTGGGAGTGCTGGTTCATGCCTGTAATCCCAGCAGTTTGGGAGGCCGAGGTGGGTGGATCACTTGAGGTCAGGAGTTTGAGACCAATCTGGTCAAAGTGGTGAAACCCCGTCTCTACTAAAAATACTAAAATCAGCTAGGTGTGGTGGTCGGTGCCTGTAGTCCCAGCTACTTGGGAGGCCGAGGCACGAGAATTGCTTGAACCTGGGAGGTGGAGGTTGCAGTGAGCCAAGATCGTGTCAATTCACTCCAGCCTGGGTGATGGAGTGAGACTCCGTCTCAAAAAAGCAAAGAAAAGAAAATTGTAAGAAACAGGAAACGTATTTACTAATCATTAAGCAGAATTGGATCATCCTAAAGGTCTTCACTTTGAGTAGGCTGGGGAAGAAGAGGAAGGTGTGTGTGTTGGGGGGAGGCTGGTCTTGCTGTCTCAGGGGTGGCAGAGGCAGAAGAAAAATCTGTGAATAAGTGAACCCATGGGGTTCAAACCCATGTTATTCAAGAGTCAACTGTAAATATATGTTTGAAAAAATAGATCACCCGTGAGCCCCTCTGCCTGACTGTCCATCTCAGCCTCTGCTCTTCGTGTTCTCAGCTGTATCACACACATATTCTCATGGTCTCTGTCTTTTTTTTTTTTTTTTTTTTTTTGAGAAGGAGTCTCACTAGGGTAGAGTGTAGTGATGCAATATTGACTCACTGCAACCTTCACCTCCTGGGTTCAAGTGATTTTCGGGCCTCAGCCTCCCGAGTAGCTGGGATTACAGGCACCTGCCACCACGCCCAGCTGATTTTTGCATTTTTAGTAGAGATGGGGATTTGCCATGTTGGCCAGGCTGGTCTCAAACTCCTGACCTCAAGTGATCCACCCGCCTCAGCCTCCCAAAGTGCTACGATTACAGGTGTGAGCTGCCACACCTGGCTCTCATGGTCTCTTTGCTGCCTGTTTCAGTCTCTTCTGATGTGAAATTAGGTGTTCTCGAGTATCACCTCCTTGGGGTCATTCTCTTTTCTTCCCCACGCATGTTCAGGGTGTGAGCCACTGGCCTCCCCTGGCCAGTACGGCAGCTACCCCTCATCTGACATCCCCTCCCCCATCTGGCGTCCCCTCCCCCATCTGGCATCCCCTCTGTGCCATAATCCAGGCTGCACTGTCCTGACCCCTTGCCACGTCCTCTGTGGCACCTCCCAAACAGTCCCAGTTCATTTCCTCCAATTTGGAGCCTGACCGTCTCTCTGCATTTTTTTTTTTTTTTTTTTTTGAGGCAGAGTCTTGCTCTGTTGCCCAGGAGTACAGTGGCCCGATCTCAGCTCACTGCAAGCTCAGCCTCCTGGGTTCAAGCGATTGTCCCGTCTCAGCCTCCTGAGTAGCTGGGATTACAGGCGTGAGGCACCGTGCCCGGCCCCATTTTAATCCTTTAGAATGTTTCTAATATATCACTGTAAAGATTATGAAATGAATACATTTAAAATCGGTCCTTCCTCTCAGCCAGCGGCTTTGCTCCTTCATGCAGGGATGTCGTCATGCATGTGGACAAGCGTTCAGGATGACGACAGTCATGTCCTCCTTTTTACTACAGGAGATCTGTCTTTCCCCCTTCCGGGGCCCACGGCGAAGACAAAAAGAGAACATTTATGAGTACCTGTGACATGCAATGCACTGCACCTCGTGCTGGGGGTGCAGGGCAAGGTGTCAACCCCCGAAGAGTGCTCAGACCTGTGGGGCAACAAGCCTGTAACCAAACCGAAGGCGTGGTGCTCCACAGAAGAGGTGAGTGTTGAATGGAGGGGACCCCAGTTCAGCCAGGTGAGGCTTCGACTGGGACGTGGGTCAGCATTTGCTGGGCTGAGCAGGGATAAGGCAGAAACTTCCAGGTTGAGGACACGGAGGTGTGAAAGGGCTTCCAGTCTCTGCGTGGCAGGCCTGGTCAGAGGGCCGGGCGTAGAGGGAAGGAGCTGGGAAGCTCAGTCAAGGTCAGGTGGCGAAGGGCATTGGGTGCCAGGCTCAGGGTTTTGCATCTGCTCTTAAGCAGAATCACTGCGGGCTCCGCAGCAGGGCAGGTCCCTGTAAGGAAAGATGACTGCTGGCAGCAGCTTAGGGGAGGAGAAGGCATGGAGGGGTGGTTGGGGGGTGGTGGCAGATCAGGAGGCAATTGCAACAGCTCAGGGAAAACTGTGGGAGCCTGGGCTGCTCAAGATGGGAGCAGATGGAAAGAGTGGAAATACTCAAGAAGTAGGATCTGAAGTTCGACGACGTATAGACAGACCCGGTGTGTGTGTGTGGGTGGCGGTGGCAGAGGAGTGGGGGATGGACTGCACTGCAGCTTTGACTCAGGAACTCTGGGTGAAGGAGCCAATTTGGGGAGAAGGCAATGAGTTCTGTTCTGAATTGATTGAGTTTGATGGGCTCACTGGGACGTCCAGGTTGAAAGGCACAAAGGAAGATAAAAGTGCAGGCCTGAAACTCAGGGCCAAGGCAGGGCATTTTACATCATTCAAATGGCATATGAAAGAAGGTCTAACGCTGTGCAAACACATGGCGAAAAACGCAGTATAAATAGTGACCGGTGATTCCTGGTGATGTGTCGCCTGCCTTGAAGATTGAGGTCTACAGGATCAGGAGTGTGGGGTGTTGGGCTGAGTTTTTTGGGGTGAGATGGGCAGAGTCTGGTGGAGGTGGTCGTGGAGAAGAGCAAGCCATTACTCAGTTGCTTGGGGCGGAAGTAAAGGTGGAGGAAAGAGGAGTGGAAAAGAAACAGGGTGTTGCTTGTGGTGGCTCCCCAGTAAACATTGCCTGCTTCCCACTGGGCTCACTAAGGCCCACCCAAGTATGCCCATGTGTTTAGGCACTTGTGCACACACACACTCACACACGCACACACACGCACGTGCACAGACATGCATGCGCACACACACGCACACACATGCACACACATGTACATACACATGCACACAGACATGTACGCACACACGCATGCACACACACGTACACACACGCATGCACAGCAAGGGCAGCTTTGAGAAGACCCAGGGATGAGTGACAGCTATCTCTGTCTACCCAACCCTAGTAAGTTTTCTGAAAGAAGAAGAGGACACCCTCCCCTCCCTTCTCGCCTGCCTTACAGTTCAGCCATTTTCTCTCAAACTCCAGCATCTGGCCTCCTAGCTGCCTGGGGAGCAAGCGTCCCTCAAGATTAAAACAAAAAACAAAAACCCTCTAACCTTTTCTGAAGGATAGGCCTGCGCGGTCTCCAAATTGGAGACGGACCCCATCACTTCCATTAGAGCGTCTTTTAGCCTGGAGGGTGATTCAATCCGAATAGCTCCCCTGCACCTCAATAGAGCCCAGGTTCCCTGTAGCTGGGCTGAGGCTTGGCTGCAGAGATTTTGGCTTCATAGAAGACGTTAGGAGGTAGGGGTCTGGAGGTCCAGTTTCTCCTTTTTTGCACATCAAGGAGAGAATCAGACCTTTCAGGAAGGGGGCTGGTTTTGTCCAAGAGTGTGAGATTTTTCTAGGATTTTTATTTCTTCTTTTACTCTCCCATTAACCTGGTGGGGACCCCACCCCGACTGTTTCCCACTTTAGCCTCCTCTTCTGTATTGTTTTGGTTTTTTTAAGCCTCCGTGCCCAGCTTCCATTATGGAAAGTGCTGTTTATGTCCAGGGCGCCTTAAAAAGGCAGCTAACAGCTCTCTGGCTGCGGTCCTCTTCGCTTGTTTCCCTGGCAACCAGAGGCAGGGAAAACAGAACCTGTCAGATGGAAAATGTCAGTTACAGCAGATCTGGGAGCGCAGGAAAGAAGTGGTGGGATGGAGCGAGGGAGGAAGTGGGAGGGCCGGCAAGGGCTCACCCTCCTGCCCACCTGGGCTGGTGCCCTCCTCCCAGCGAGCCAGGGGATCAGGGAGGCTGGCTTCTTGAACGAGAGGGGCTGCTACCAGAGCAGGCAGCTTCAGAGATGGGGGAGGGGAGGGGACTGCCACCTAGGATTAGCAGGATGGTCTTTGGCAGCCGTCCCGCCCAGCTGATTATCACATTGTTTTAAAGGTCATTGGGCTTCTTGAGGCCCCCAGCAGTGCGTTCTAGAAGCCCCTCCAGTCGAACTTAAAGCTCTGGGTCTAGGTAGCAGAAGGGGGAGGGTCGGGGAAGAAAAAGATATCAAACCCCAGTATCCAAAGACCCCGGAACCGTATCGATCCCGACCCCTGCTTGGTATCGATTGATCAATGCCCCTGCCGAAAAGAGGAATTGCCCTTTAAAATGGTTGGGAAAGAGATTGGGAGGGAGGGTTGATATTAATCAAAGCAGGCCCCTCAGAAGGACGGCAGAGCAGCACGGGGAAGAGGAAACAAAAGAAGGAGGTTTGCCGAACAGCCTCGAATATTACGGCGGGAGAAGCGATCAGTTAATGGCACTGGATGCAATGAGGTGTGGGGTGTGGGGTGGGTGCTCCTGAGAGTAAGGAGGGCGTGTGAGAGAGTGTGTGTGAGAGTGTGTGTGTGTGTGTGTGTGCACGCAGCATTAGACACATGCTCTCTGCAATCTCCTGCTGTTGTCCTCAGACATTCCAGGAGCTTCCCTAATCTCCTGATTTTTGGGAGAAACTCCCGCCCCCCTGGCCCAGTGGACCTGAGAGAGTGAAGGGAAGACAGGCTGCTGTCCACAGTCAGCTGAGCCCCTGCTGTGCGTTTAGGGTGACAGATGGTGTTTACTTCAAATAAAAAAACAACAGCACCGTTGTGTGCGTGTGTATGCGCACGTGTGTGCATGCGAGTGTGTGTATATTTATGTGCATGCGCACACGTATTTGCGCGCACATATGTGTGTGTGCATGCATGTGCACGTGTGTGTACGTGTGCGTGCATGTGTGTGCATGCGTGCGTGTGTGCACACCGGCTTGCATACGGCAAGCTTCAGAGCAGGAGGAGCCAGAACAAGATCTGGGTTCTGTTCATCCTCAAAGGTGGGAGTTTAAGCCCCTGAACATGGGATTTGAGAAGGAGGCAAAGGAGGTAAAGGATGGTCACCAAATGCGGTGCTGGGTTTCCTTGAGGGACACATGGCAGGGCACCTTCTGCTGAACACCAGACATGCCCAGACAGTTGAGTTTGTTCTGCTTCAGGGATTTTTCTAACCCCAGACTGGTCTAATTATTGGCTTTAGGGTGTCTGAAAATGTACCCTCCAGTTTCCTGGTTAGGGAATGGTGTGTGTCGAGGGGCAGGGTCTAGCCCATAAAGCTGCCTTAGTTTATGTGGGTGGGGCTGGGGGTGGGGGGAGGGTCCCTGAAATGACATTTCCTTCTGGCAAAAGGAGTGTAGAGGTTCCTCAGGCCCTGGCTGGGTACAGGTTTGAGGGCATCTCTTATCTTCTGGTTTCCAGGGCAACCTCAACAATATATGGCCACCTTAATACCCATTCCCACTTAAGCATCCTTAGAAAGGAAACAAACAAAACCTCCAAACGTAAGACAAAAAAAACACAGCAATGCAACAACCAACCAGATACGACTGACCCCCCCGCGACATCCAGAATTTATGGTTTTTGCTATAAAGGTTAAAGCTGTGGGCAACTGTGGGGCAGAACCCCTCCCTCACCCCCCATTTTAAGGCCAGGTCCTCTTTCTCTGTCATTTTCTCTCCTCCCAGTGTTTTCTGGGTGGCAATCATCTCTTTATATCATCTTTCTTCCTGCGCCGTGGGGACTCACCAAGGACCTTACAGTTGTTGGCGTCATCTGGTCAGGAACTCTCTGCAGCTGAGAGTGGAGTGTGACTCGGTGGCCCTGCCACCGAAGGTGAGTGTCCAGCCCACGCGGTCCTTGAATGTCTCGGAGACAGCGCTGGGCTGGTGACAGTCATAAATCACCGCTCCACGCGCCTCACTGAAAGACCATATGGACCTTCTTGTCAGGCTGGGACACGCTTAAATTATGACATTTTTCATTTTGATTGACAATTACCTTCCCCTGGAAGTTTGCGAACAGCCCGGCTACAATTACATCTCATACCATAAAATGAGGGGAGTAGAAAGGGAGTCATTATTTTCTGAATATGGTCTCTGGCAGTTGGCTAAGGAGGTAATCTTTATTCCCACTGCTCCTGCGTTTTATTATTTTATTAAGAGTTAACTCTCGATTATCCACATGTGAGCCCAAGAGACAATCGTATTCCCACAGCTGTTAGGCCTTATTATTTTATTGTTATTGGTTCAGATTTTCCCCAGGCTCTATGTGGGACATGAAAAAGAGTCCCGATTGCTCACATGTTTCTTAACTGCCCCTTTTGAATTATTTGCAGTAAATGTTTATAATCTCAATACCGCTCCTCCCTTCTCCTGGGGTAGAGGATGGGTGGCTATTTTTTTTATGACAAAATATGCATTACCTAAAATGTATCATTTTAACCGTTTGAAAGTGATACTTCAGTAGCAATTAGTACATTCACAGTGCTGGGCAACTGCCATTCCTAATTCCAAAACATTTTCATCACCCCAAAAGGAAACTTGTGCCCATTAAGCAATTACACCTCATTTCTTTTTCCCACCACCCCCCACCCCCCGCCCCGCCCCACCTCCGCAGCCCTAGGCAACCACCAATCTGCTTTCTGTCTGTGGATTTGCCTATTCTGGACGTTTCATATGAATGGAATCGGCAGTAGGAGGCCTTTTGTGTCTGGCTTCTTTCACTGAGCATGGTGTCTTCAGAATTTACCCATGTTATAGCATGTATCAGTATTTCATTCCTTTTTGGTTTTTTTGAGATGGAGTCTCACTGTGTCGCTCAGGCTGAAGTCTAAACCTCCAGAGTAGCTTGGATTACAGGCACGTGCCACCATGCCCAGCTAACTTTCGTAGTTTTAACAGAGACGGGGTTTCACCATGTTGGCCAGGCTGGTCTGGAACTCCTGACCTCAAGTGATCCGCCCGCCTTGGCCTCCCAAAGTGCTGGGATTACAGGAGTTGCCGCTGTGCTGGGCTGCTTTATGACTTTTTATGGCTGAAATTGCGTTTGCTCGTATTATGACTACACCACATTTTGTTTGTCCGTCCATCAGTTGATGGACATTTGGGTTGTTTGGTGCTGCTACACACATCTGTGGACAAGTTTTTGTTTGAACCCCTGTCTTCATTCTGGGGGGGTATATTTCTTGTTTGTTTGTTATTTTATTTTATTTATTTTTGACACAGAGCCTCACTCTGTCCCCAGGCTGGAGTGCAGTGCTTGATCTTGGCTCACTGCAACCTCCGTCCCCCAGGTTCAAGCAATTCTCCTGCCTCAGCCTCCCAAGTAGCTGGGATTACAGGCACCTGCCACCGCACCTGGCTAATTTTTGTATTTTTAGTAGAGATGGGGTTTCACCATCTTGCCCAGGCTGGTCTTGAACTCCTGACCTCGTGATCCACCCGCCTTGGCCTCCCACAGTGCTGGGATTACAGGCATGAGCCACCGCGCCCGGCCTTTGCGGGGTATATTTCTAGGAGTGAAATTGCTGGATCTTACGGCAAGTCTATGTTTAACTTATTGGGGAACAACCAAATGATTTTCCATTTTACAATTTGGTTGGCTACACGACTTTCCATTCCTACCGGCAGCGTGTGAAGAATCCAACCTCTCCCGTCACCAGCACTTGCCAGATCTTCGCTCAGTCAACTCTTCGGATCTTTGCTGGGAGACCACAGGGTTTTCAACGTCAGCCTCCGGCCACCTCCTCGATTTTGCCTGAGGCACTGGTTGGAGCCTTCCCCTGTGTGGCTCTCCACGGGGTCAGGTGATGGAGGGGGATGTGTTCACAGCAGGAGTGTTGCTAATCCCTCTAACCTGGGACCCCGGGTCCTGTGGGGAACCCATTGACAATGGCTCAACTGGGAGAGTTGCCAGGCTGGAGGCCTTTTGACAGAGTCATGAGGGTTTGGGCCTTGGAGTTGGAGTCTCCTGTTGGCCATGAAGAGCTGCATGGCCTTGGCCAAATCGCAGCTGACCTTTCCTCTCCTCTCTATGAAATGGTGTAGCAGACCCTGCTAGTACCCCCACCCCAATGCCTCATGTCCCATTGATCTTCACCTCTGTTATTTAGAACACCTGGGACTCAGTCCGTGAAGCAGGATCCCACCAGGTGGAGGTGCAGGAGACAGTACTGATGAGTGAGTACCTGGGAGCAACCCTCAGCCAGGTGTGCGCAGGCCATTGGTGCACCACCGTAGCTTGTGCTGTCTGCCGGAGCTCCCAAGCGGGATGGAGCGCCTGGCGATCATGGTGATAATTGTATGAATAAGGCATTTTTATTGGTTGCCTTCCTGTCCTCATCTCCTGTCCCCACTCCTGGATTCCTCTCCCAATTCAATGACTTGCAGTCAACTCCTCGTCTCAAAGTCTGCCTTCTGGGGAGCCCAGCTGTGGGCTGCACAGATGAGAAAATCCACCCAAATGGACTCCATGGCCAGGAAGTGAGTGAGCCCTTGATGGATAGCCAAGGTCCTTGTCTCTGTTAGAGTGGATTGTGGCAAAATTGGTGGTTATCAGTCTGTTTTGAGGGGCCCATCTCCCCACAAGGAGAAGTGAGCTAGAAGCAAAGACAGAGACCGCTTCATTTTAGGACAGTTTCCTTCCTCTATCCACAGCTCAGCATCAGATAGAAGCCTGGGGCGTTTATCTGTTGAGCATGGGACGCAGCTTGGACAGTGGTTTGCTTTCCTCTCTGAAATGCACTTTTCCAAGGCCAAATCGCAGATAAGCAGCTTCCCCCTGGAGTACCCCTGTTTTATGCGGGGTAGGGAGGGCCGTGGGTGCGATTATGCTGGTCTGGAAGCACACATTGACTTTAGATAGTCCACACAGTGCATGCTCAGTGGAAAATCGAGAGGTGTTGTGCATCTTGAGTCACCACCCTCTCTCACCACAGGGTCAATCATGAGGGGAGGAAGGGGAGGCAGAGGGAGGAATGGAACCTGATGCTGTCGGTGAACCTGAACATGGACAGAGTGTGGGGGGCTCAGTGGAGTCCACAGAAGCCCCCTCCCAGAATAAGGAGGCTGCTGGCCGGAGCTGAGTGCAGGGAGGGAGGCATCTTATCAGCTCCCGGACCACACTTGCCGTCCTTCCCTCTGGAGGCACCACCCATTTGCTGTGTGCCAGTAGCAGCATCATTGAGACCAGATTAAAAATGTCTGTGCCCTTTAAAGGTGGGATGTTTTATTTTTTTATTTGATTTTTTTTTTTGAGATGGAGTCTCACTCTGTCACCTGGGCTGGAGTGCTGTGGCGTGATCTCGGCTCACTGCAACCTCCACCTCCCGGGCTCAAGTGATTCTCCTGCCTTAGCCTCCTGAGTAGCTGGGATTACAGGAATGGGTCACCACACCCGGCTAATTTTTGTATTTTTAGTAGAGATGGGGTTTCACCACGTTGGTTAGCCTGGTCTCAAACTCCTGATCTCAAATGATCTGCCTGCCTTGGCCTCCCAAGGTGGGAGCCACAGCTCCAGGCCCAAAGGTGGGATATTTTAAACTTGGGCTAGTTTACCATCGGCTCAAGAAAGAAGTTAGGTAATCAAAGCGGTAAATGGTTCTCTGTCTACCCAATTTTAATTTCCAGTACTGGCTTTTTTTTTTTTTCAAGAGTGAGGAGGGCTCAAAAGTACAGGGGGAGGAGATGGAAAAAGAATGGAGGGGCAGGGTCAAGGAATTGATCAACGGCATAAAACGACCTGCCGTCCCTGAGCTCCCCCTCTTTGGCTCCAGCTGGCAGGAGCTCAAGACTGTTCACCAGTTACCCCAGGGCAAAATGAAAGAGGATCAAATTTCTGCTACAACCTACTCTATCCCCCCACCTAGTAAATCCATCATGTGTGGAAGAGCCTCGGGGCCCTGCCTCCCAGACCTCCATCTTCTCATGGTAGCTGCGTTTGCCTCGTCCCCAGTGAGATGGACACCCTGGGTCCCATCTGGACCCTCCCTCTGGTCCTCCAGCTGGCCCCTGCCCCGGCCCTGGCCCCTCCTCAGACTGGGTCAGGATCCATTCCTGGGCCTGGCCCATTTGCTGGTCATGTCCACTCATCACTTGCTGGCCCTTTATTCTCTGTGGATGAGTTTCCCCATTCCCAGCTGTCCCCAGCTGCCCCCAGCAGGCATGGGTGTGGAGTGTTTGCCAGGGTTGGGGCTAGCAATGGAAACCTCCCCTCTCCTCCCAGAATCCAAGGAGGAGGACCAAGATGCAGGCTGGGTCAGAAAGTGGGTGATGGATGACTCAGGCCTTGGCGGCCAGGGCAAGTGGGTGGGAAAACATCTAGGTTTTTGCCCATTCCGAGTGCTTCTCATTCTTTCCAGTTTCTGTGTGCCAAGTTGCACTGCCAGGGCACTTCAGAACCAAAGAATAAAGGGTTTAGGCTCACTGGGCTCCTGCCCCTCAACCCTCCAGGGTGCCCAAAGCTGCAGCGGTCCTGGGTGTATGCAGCTGCCTCTCCCGGGTCAGGGTGGCCTCCACCAGTCTCCCTTGCTGCCTGGGAATATGATGTTCAGGGCCGCAGGGCTGAATTCTCCCTGAGTGCTTTATATAAATACCCGCTTCAGGGCCGACACGTACTCCATCATAGGGACCCGTCAAATGAACCAGCCAAGCCCATAAATTATTGCAAAAACCATTCCAAACAATAAAGGCAATTTTACTTACTGAACCATTAAATGTACATACTTAAATTAGACCCAACAAGACATCGCGTGGGGATGTCTCAGGGCCAGGCAAACAATGAGTTTCGAGGAAGGGCTATCTTGTGTTTTCCCCACCTCTCACATGAAATTAATGAGGTGCTTCATATTTAATCATCATTACAATCATATCTTTATTTAGTTACTTAGCTGGGTTTGACCTGCTGCCTCGGGTAGCCTGGATGTCACCTCTCTGCCCTGGGCTGTCCTGACAGCCGGTGAGAGGTCAGCAGGAGGCTGGTGCACAGATGCCAGGCTGCTCCAGCCCAGTGAGGCAGGCTTGGTGGATGTCGCTTCTGCCTCTGGGATCTACTGAGGCCAGCCTGCAGTTTTCTCTGACCTGGAGATCAGAGCCCATATCCGGGAGACACACAATGGCAGCTCTTCCTTGCCCACCATGTTGACTCTGATGCCTGGTCTGGCCAGTTACATCTTTTAAATATTTCTTAGATATTTGTCTCTTTTCTCTTCCTAATACCAATGTCCTAGTTCAGGTCCCAAACTTTGTGCCTTTGGTGTTAATCCTCCTTCATGCCCTGATGCCGGAGCCATTTCTGGAAACTCTAAATCAAAGCCGCTCACCCAGCTCAGAGCCCTTTGGTGGCACCCTTTGCCTATTGGAGGGAGATCGAATCCTGAGTATGCCATTCAAGGCTCCTTCTGACCTTCCCCAGACCCCAGTGACTCTCCCGGCCTTGTCTCCTGCCGCTCCCTGCCTTAGCCTGTATAGTCCACCGTCACCTGCACTACAGACTGCCCACAGTTGACCCTCCCACATTCATCAGCACTTACTTCTACAATATCCTGCCTCTATGCCCCTCCCACTTCTCTTTTCCTGTGTACCTACAATTTGTCCTTTAAAACACCCAAGGTGCCAGTTTCTCCATGTCCGGCAGGTACATTTTCAAATCCTTAGGTTGGGCTAAATGCCCTTAGGAATCCCAAGACCCCCTTTGGTCTCTCATGATGGGTTTGGGATGATCACTTCACATGCTGGTCCAGGGGTTATGCGTTTGCTGTGAATCCTCAGCACCTAACACTGGATCTGGTGCACAGGGACTCTGCCAAACCGTCTGACGCCGCCAGGCTGGGATGCTGTTACTCTTCCTGTGTCTGCAATGGGTCCAGAGTGGCTGTGATGGAGAGATGCTCCCGTGTGGTCACTGGGGAGATTGGTGAGGGCTGCAGGGGGGACCAGCACTTCCCACATCCTTCCTCAGACAGTGGTGGAAATTGGGTTATATTTGCATGTGGCTTGGAGGCCACCCAGAAAGTGTCAGGACATCCCTGGGGTCAGCAGTAGCAGCCGCTTGGTGCAGGTTTAAGAAGTCCACCAGGACAGAGCCAAGCATCAAACTGCGGGGGAGGGGAGGTGGGGGAGGGAAGATTAGTGCATCATCTGGGTGGGCACTGCTGGTTGTCTGTGCCCACTGCCCGCTGCCTGCTCCCTATCCCCATTCCCTTCCAAAGGGGGACTCAGGACACCCCTTGCTCCCTCTGCCTGTCTCCAAAAGCATCACTAAATGTTGATTAATAAAGTGCGATGTGTCTTGGCTTTTCCTTGCCCCAGTGTCAGGCCTGGAAAACACAAACAGACCCCAAAAGGTGCCAGTTGCACAGGTGCTTGTGTGAGCACTCCTTCCCCGCAATGGGATTGGGAGCACCCTGCCCCCAGGGCATGGAAGGGCCTTCTCTTCTGTCCTTCCATCCACTTCTCCACTCCCAGGGTGGGTCTCTGCATGGGTGTGTGGCCTGAGCTTCTGACAGAGGTAAGATGCAAGCCACGTCGGCAATTTTAAACTTTCTAGTGGCCACAAGAAATAAGTCAAAAAGAAAAGGTAAAGTTAAGTTTAATAATACATATGATCTAACCCAGTATCTCCAAAACATTATCATTTCAACATCTAATCAGTGTGAAAATTATGAATGAGGTAGTTTGTGCTTTTTATATCAAGCTTTTGAAATCCTGTGTGTGTTCTGCACACCCAGTGCCTCTCGACACAGACCAGACTCATTTTCTCGTGCTTGGGACCCACAGGCGTCTGGGGGCTCTCTGACTGGGGCTGTGCAG
Organism: Homo sapiens; assembly: GCF_000001405.40. Classification (NCBI taxonomy): domain Eukaryota; kingdom Metazoa; phylum Chordata; class Mammalia; order Primates; family Hominidae; genus Homo; species Homo sapiens. The sequence continues at coordinate 77,794,090 of NC_000017.11, read as the reverse complement.
GTATTAACTGGCTGACCCTGGAAAATGCCTTTTTGGAAGTAAAAATCCTGAATTCTATCACTTCCCTCCAATCAGGCCGGCGCCCAGCATCAGCCATTCCCCTACTGAGCAATGCCCAGCTCTGCAGCCGGGAGAGGGAGGGAGAGGGGCGGCATAGCCTCCAGCATCTGAGATGCAGTTCGTGGGCACTAAATATGCAGGCTCAGCAGAGGCATCCAAAATGAGTTATTTATCAGCTCCAAGGACACAAAGACACCTTAAAATAAGGAGCCCGTGGCCACTCCTGTGAAGGTGCTGAGAAGCCAGGCTCTTTTGCAGGAGCCCCCGGGGGCCACCCAGCCCAGGAAGCCATCGGCGGTGCAGATCCTAATGAAGTCAAGGTTCACACACAGCCCTTGGCCCGCCAGGAATCTAACGTGGGGCTCTAGGATTTTCTAGGCAGCCCCTACAGTCACTCATATGCAGCATGATTAATGGCTGGATACCCCGGCGTGAAAACCATTTAAAAAATGGCATTTTTGTCACGGACAGTGTTCCACATATCGTAAAGGTCATACGTGCTAAGAGCATTATCCGTATTTCTTGGGCAAACATGCTTAACCTTGTAGAGCACATTCCCCGGCAGATCAGCGATCCGTCTCCCGCACTTCAGAGGACCCGATGGCGCGGGTTCTTTGCCAAAAGGGATGAAAGACGGCGGCAATGGCACCACGCAGGGGTTTCAGACAATGCCGCGAATTGGCTGCCGGCCTCTCACGGCGTCGGGGGGCAGAGGGCACGAGGCCCCACAGCCTGTGAAAGGCTGCCGGGATAAGAGACTTCTTCTGAACATCCGCGTGGCTCTCGCCAGCTTTGATTTCCTCTGGAGGGCTTTGGGGCATCAGGCTGGGGTCGGGAGGGAGGAAGAGCGCTCATCTCAAGCCCCGGCGGCCCAGGCTGGCACTGGGTCTCTGATACACGGAGGCTGCGAGGGAATTCAGAAGCGGCTTCTGTGTGCCTGATAAAGACAGTTCAAATGAAAACCGTGGATGTGAGGATAACCAAGGGCAGATGACTGCAGCTGGTCTACCTGTCCAGCGTGGAAGCCTGTACTTTGGAATGCCTTGCTTTGGAGGCTGGGGCAAATGTCTCCAAAATAAGATCACCCCGGGTCTTGGCAACTCACAGCACGAGTGAGCAGCCACGGACCCGGGAGAATGACCTCACACTCACTGAGACCTGGGTAAGGAGCTCCAGGCTTCTACCTGGCAGGCCGTGAGAGTGGGTGGGGGGCTTTGTTCATGACTTCTCGGTGGCATCCTCCCCACTCCCCACCCCAGGGCCACTTATCCCCCCCACATCGCGGCTGTCAGTGCATGGTGTCAGGACAGCCTCCTCACGGGTCCCCTGCCTCCTAGCTTGTGGCCTCCTGTCTCTTCCCCACCTTATCACCAGTGTCCAAAACCCAAATCCAATGACAGATCCCTTTGTGCTTTCTTTTCTTTTCTTTTTTTTCAGACAGAGTCTCACTCTGTCACCCAGGCTGGAGTGCAGTGGCGTGATCTCGGCCCACTGCAACCTCTGCCTCCCGGGTTCAAGCAATTCTCCTGTCTCAGCCTCCCGAGTAGCTGGGATTACAGGTGCACACCACCACGCCCAGCTAATTTTTTGTATTTTTTTCTTTTTTTTTTATTATTATACTTTAAGTTTTAGGGTACATGTGCACAATGTGCCGGTTAGTTACATATGTATACGTGTGCCATGCTGGTGTGCTGCACCCATTAACTCGTCATTTAGCATTAGGTATATCTCCTAATGCTATCCCTACCCCCTCCCCCCACCCCACAACAGTCCCCAGAGTGTGATGTTCCCCTTCCTGTGTCCATGTGTTCTCATTGTTCAATTCCTATCTATGAGTGAGAACATGCGGTATTTGGTTTTTTTGGCCTTGCAATAGTTTACTGAGAATGATGATTTCCAATTTCATCCATGTCCCTACAAAGGACATGAACTCATCATTTTTTATGGCTGCAATTTTTTGTATTTTTAGTAGAGACGGGGTTTCACCATCTTGGCCAGACTGGTCTCAAACTCCTGGCCTCAGGTGATCAGCCCGCCTTGGCCTCCCAAAGTGCTAGGATTACAGGCGTGAGCCACTGCACCCAGCCTGTGCTTTCAATCCTAGCGAAAGCCATATCCCCTTCACCCAGGATGAAGTCCACACACTGAATGCAGCTTTCAGGCCACGGCGTGCTGGTGAGTGTTGGACAGCCAGCTTCCTGAAAAACAAACGTGTAGACGTTGAGTATGCGTTTTACTGATACGCAGGACGAGTGGCCCCAATTTACAAATAATAATAAGATATATAATATTCCTTAATGTAAATTCCATACAGCCAGTTACACAGAATGCTTTCACAGGTTTTTGCTGAACTCTTGTGACTGTAGCCAGCCTATGGCTGCAATTCAAGTGTAATTTGACTATCTTTTTTGTGATATTCACCATGTAAGGGCAGTGAACCTGTTTTAGTTGAATCTGTGTTATTAACATTTTCTCCATCACATTCATAAGTCTAGACAATCAACAAAACTATACAAATCAAGCACTGATTTGTATAGTTTACCAATGTCTGTGTTGTAGCTATTCCTATTGCAGCCAATTTCTTTTTTTCTTTCGCTCTTTTTTTTTTTTTTTTTTTTTGAGACAGAGTCTGGCTGTGTTGCCCAGGCTGGAGTGTAGTGGCATGATCTCGGCTCACTGCAACCTCTGCCTCCCGGGTTCAAGCGATTCTCCTCCCTCAGCCTCCCGAATAGCTGGGATTACAGGTGCCCACCACCATGCCCGGCTAATTTTTTGTATTTTTAGTAGAGACGGGGTTTCGCCGTGTTTGCCCGGATGGTCTCAATCTCCTGACCTCGTGATCTGCTCGCCTCAGCCTCCCAAAGTGCTGGGATAACAGGCGTGAGCCACTGTGCCCAGCCATATTGCAGCCAATTTCAAACCAACGACATGACATCTCTGAACCCATGGTGGGAAAGAGATGTAGCCCTCATTTCATAATAGTTCCACCATGCGAATACAAGAAATGTCACTCGCCTCCAGAATACAGCTAATAACCAAATAGAGCAAAATCATTAGGAGGAAAGGACTTTGGGGTTTTTATTACCATTGTTTCAAGTAAAATTTATTTGATCGTAAGTTGATATAAATTAATGTTTTAAATGGCCCAGTTTAATAGCCAGTTCATCACATTTCCGGAAATTGAGTAATGAGATCTCTTGGGCAGGTGGGAGCTGGCTTCAGCACACTGTGGCCTCGGCACCTGTAGGCTGCCTGTGCCCACCCCACACCTTCACCTGGGCCTGCCCCCTCCTTGCTCTGGCTGGCCTGCATTTCCCTGAGCTCTCCTTGCCTTTGGAGCCTTTGTACATCCTGTTTCCTATGCCCGGAATTCTCCTCCCCTCGTCTCCTTTGCCCAGCCACCTGTCTCCTCTTCCCTCCCCTTCCCTTCCTTTCTCTTTTCACTGCTGGAGACTTCCTTCCAGCCTGGAGCCTGCAGTTTAAATGACTCACGTTGTTTTACCTCCAGTTGCAGCAAGCACCATGGCCTGGTATTTGTGCTTCTCTACATTTGCCCCCTGATTCCTACCACCTTCATGCAGCAGCCAAGGTGCTGGCCGGGTGGAGACAAAGGGGTCAGCAGAGTGGGCTGGGAGCCTCCCCACTCTGGCCCCATGAGGCTTGCCCTGAGGTGCCACCTTGCACTGCAAGGACTGGAGAGCGGGTTGGACAAGAAATGGCATTGGAATGGCCCTGGGGCTCCTGCAGCTTTTTGCACGTCAGGAACGTGGCTCAGAGGAGAGTAACCAGAGGCCAATGGATTAGGAAAAAGGCACTATGACGAAGCCCACAGAAACTAGGGTTTCCACTTCCTCCTTCTAGATTGGAAAAGCATCACAATGCTTGGAAGATGCAAATGTGGGGATGGAAAGAGAAATGCTTCCTAATGAGAAAGTGCAGCGCATACTTCATTACTGCGGTGAGAGAAAGGAGGTAGGGGATTGACGGCTTCCTTCCTCCATTCATTCAGCATACCCTGAGTTCCACCGCTGGGCACTGAGAAGGACACCAGTGTGGACCGGCTGTGCTTCCCATCCAGAAGGACCATCGGCCCTCTCTTCCCACATCTCCAAGGAAGGGAGATGGGAGAAATCAACCTGGAATGTGAAGGACAAGGAAAACTGCATTTTCAGTTCCAACTTTTGATTTAGAAGTTAATTATGTGGGCCAGGCACAGTGGCTCACACCTGTAACCTCAGCACTTTGGGAAGCTGAGGCTGGTAGATCACCTGAGGTCAGGAGTTTGAGACCAGCCTGACCAATATGGTGACACCCCATCTCTACCAAAAATACAAAAATTAGCCAGGTGCGGTGGCATGCTACTGTAGTCCCAGCTACTTGGGAGGCTGAGACAGGAGAATTGCTTGAACCCGGGAGGCAGAGGTTGCAGTGAGCCGAGATTGAGCCACTGCACTCCAGCCTGGGCAACAACAGAGTAAGACTCCATCTCAAAAAAAAAAAAAAAAAAAAGAAAAGGAAGTTAATTATGTGAATTACCCTCTGTCAACTCGATGTTCCAGATTGAAATGCTGAGTGAGGCCTCACCTCACTGAAGGCCCAGATAAGATGAGGCCTGCCTGCGAATCAGGAACATGTGTCCAGGGAAAGGGTTACCTGAGCAAAGGAGCTCCCGAAAGATTCACCACGGTGTTCACGGGCTCTGCAGAGGGAAGAAGGTGCCCAGTTGTCTTGCTTCCACTGGGCACCAGGTAAGATCAGCTTAAGCAGAAGCACAGGGAAGTAGACCAGGAAGGAAGGAAGATTTTTGTTTGTTTGTTTGTTGTTGTTATTGTTGTTTTTTTAAGACAGGGTCTTACTCTGTTACCCAGGCTGGAGTGCAGTGGCATGATGATAGCTCACCGCAGCCTTGAACTCCTGGGCTCCAGCGATCCTCCCACTTCAACACCCTGGGACTACAGGTGCATGCACCACCATGCCCAGCTATTCTTTTTTTTTTAATTTTTAGTAGACATGGGGTCATGTTATGTTGCCCAGGCTGGAAGGAAGGTTTTATAGCAAAGCCTCAGTGTGGGTGCTTGAGAGAAGCCGCGGAGACCTCTCAGGCTGCCATTACAAAGGAGAAGAGAAGGGTTCCTCCCTTTCAGCCTGGGAGACCTGTTTCTGAGGCAGAGATGGGTGTGGGGGTGCTCAGCTCATGACATAGTCTCTTATTTGGGGCTCCACGCCTTGTGTCGTCTGTGAATGGTCACGACAGGGCTCTGTTTCCACCTGGGTAGTTGGGTATCAACAAGGGTGCAGATCTGAACAGAAGACACAGGTTGGACACAGAAGGCTGTGACCCACATGAATGAGTCATGTGAGTGGGGCCTCTTCCCAGCTGGCCTCGACGGTCCCATCCCATCGACGCAGAGCTCCCCCAGCCTCCTCCCCACATCCACGTGGTCATTCTGGACATCTCCTCCCTCTCCCTTCTGCCTGACATGCAGGCAGTCAGGATTTCTCTCCCGGGGAGTCCAGCATCTGTCATTTCCCGTTTGGATCCATGCCTACCCTCTTGGCCTGGGGGTAGGAGACTGTCCACCCCACCTGGATGGGACAGTGGCATCCTCTCCAGCCACCGACACTGACCGTGCCTCTTCCATACAGTCTTCTCTCCTTTCCCGACTCCCTCTTTTTTTTTTTTTTGAGACAGACTCTCACTCTGAGGCTGGAGTGCAATGGCGCGATCTCAGCTCACTGCAACCTCCGTTTCCCAGGTTCAAGGATTCTCCTGCCTCAGCCTCCAGAGTAGCTGGGACTACAGGTGCGTGCCACCACACCCAGCTAATTTTTGTATTTTTAGTAGAGAAGGGGTTTCACCATGTTTGCCAGGCTGGTCTTGAACTCCTGACTTCAAGTGATCCTCCTGCCTCGGCCTCCCAAAGTGCTGGGATTACAGGCATGAGCCACCGCACCAGAACCCTGATTCCCTCTTGCTCGATCCATGGCCCAGCCCCTGAAACCTGCTACGACCTTCAGCCACCAGCTTCCTCAGGCCCATCTCCTGTGGCTCCTTCCTTCACTCCTCTGCACTCTGCTGCGAGGTCCCTGAGCACCCGCTCCTTTTCTTGCCTTTGTGGCTTTATCCCACAGTGCCTACCTAAGCACTCTTTCTGTTCTTCTGACCTATGTCCACCCACTATGACCAACTTCTTTTCATCCTCAAACCCAGCTCTGCAGTCACCTGGTTCATGAAGTCTCTGATGACCCACCCACCCCAGGACGAGAGAGGCCCTCTCTCTTCTGTGTGCCCTTTGAGCCAGGCACGGGCTTCACCACCTAGAAGGCATCCAATACCTCATGGGCGTGACATTCTTGGTGATGGGTGCTGTCTTGTTCTGATCTCTGCACTGCACCACCGGGCCCAGCACACAGAAGGCAGCATGAAATGCAGGTTAAACACACCCAACCAGACCCTTTGGGTGCAAGGACCTTGCCTTTCTCACCTTTGCACCTTCTGAACAAAGCAGCAGGTCCAGTCGCTGACATTTGCTGAATGAATGGATGCTGGATGCGCGAAGACCTGGGCGAGGAGCGTATGAACGGGCGTGTGTGTGTGGACGCGGGGAAGGGCAGGAGGCAGGCTGCAGCGGTCAGCACAGGGGCGGTGTGGGCGGGGAAGTGCTTGCTTGCTTGCTTGCAAACACACATGTCACGCTCGGGTTGAGCATCCCTCATAATGGCCTTATTTTGGCTTCTCTAAATTGATTCCTGATGTGCTCAAGTGTGGCCCTGGCATCTTTGGGGGTTGGAAATTCCGGATGCTGCAGTAATTGTTCTTGCTAATTACCAGGAAGCATCAAATAAGAGGAGCTTGTTTTCTCTTCCTGGCTGGATTTTGTTATGCTAATTAGACTTGTGTAAGCTGTTGCTCTTGAACCTGGAGAGTTAGAAAAACATTTGCATTAATACCTGGGAAGCTGCTGCAGAAGCCAGTTATTATTTTAATGATGGCCATTGAAGAGTGCTCCTGTTTGGGGGCTGAGTTCAGGTGTGTGCATGTGTGCGTGTGAGTGTGCATGCATGTGAGTGTGCCTGGGTGTGAGTGTGCATACGTGCATGTGCGTGGTGTTCTAATGGCCTGTCCCGTGCTATGCACTTGCTTGCTTGGTGAGACGGCAAGTCTCATTGCCTCTGCAGCACAGACCCTCATTCATCCCTCATCCCCTCCTGGGTAGCCAGGAGCCAAGATATGAAGGCAAGAGGGGTAATGAGCTCTTAAATTCTGGTCTTCGCTTTTCAAGTCAATACCAATGTTAATTAAACATCAACCACCCAGATTTCCAGTCTGGAAGGCAAGGAGGGAAGCCACCTCTCTCTGGAGTTCTCAGGGACTAATGGAGGCTCTCCTGGCCTTGTCTTCCGGCCACCTGGCTCAGTCCCTGCCCTTCCCTCCTCAAAACCGCAGGTGCTTCCCACAACTTCTTGGCCACCTTCAGCCCACAGTGGTTCCCTGTGTGAAGGGAGATGTGGGTGGAAACACTTTTGGAAAGACATTGGCAGCAAGGGGAGTGGGTAGGGTCCTGATGCTTTTTGCACAGACCCTTGAGGGAACTGTGAAAGGAAAATAAATCTTGGGGCCTCAAAATCACTGAACTAAAGGGAAAGTCAGGCTGGGAACTGCTTAGGGCAAACCTGCTTCCCGTTCTATTCAAAGTCCCCCCTTTGCTCTCTGAGATACATGCATTGCCTCCTTTGGAGAGGCTCATCAGAAACTCAAAAGAATGCTACCATTTGTCTCCTCTCTACCTATGAGCGGAAGCCCTCTCCCTGCTTCCAGTTGTCCTGCCTTTCCGGGACAGAACCAATGTTCATCTTACATATGTTGATTGATGTCTCTTGTCTCCCTAAAGTGTATAAAACCGAGCTGTGCCCTGACCACCTTGGGCACATGTCATCAGGACCTCCTGAGGCTGTGTCATGGGCGCACGTCCTCAACCTTGGCAAAATAAACTTCCTAAATTAACTGAGACTGTCTCAGATATTTTGGGTTCACAGAACCACAGGCCGCCTGGCCCTGTGCTGCCCACCTGCACCCGCTGGGCCTTCAGCTGATGAGAGGAGTGTGAGGGCCAGGGTGGCTTCACCTGCTGGGAACCTTGCTCGGCCAGCTTCTCTCCCCTGGCCCAGGGACAGGTCCTCGAGTCCCTGGCACAGTGACTCTCATTCTCTGGCTGAATACCTCCTTCTTCCCTCCCCTTGACACCCCCACACGCACCCCACATGCCCAGCGGCAGCTTCTGTTGCAGAGAGCCCGGCGAAGGGAGCTCACGGAAGCTCCAGGAGCCTGAGAGCCTTAGGAGGCCCTGGGTGTCAACGTTGCCTGATTTTCTCATTTCATCTCTTATAAGCTTTCAGGACGCTAACATGATTAAGTTCTTCACACAATTTATTAGCATCATGTTGGAAATCCAGTAGTATATTATACTGTCTGAGTAATCCAATTAGCAAAATGTATTTATTTAACAGGAATATCAGCCGCATGCGATCCCACACCATGTCCCTGCCCAGCCTTCTCTACTCCTGATGCATGTCCCCCATGGAAAGGATGTTCTGTGCACGCAGGAGGCAATGAGGGAGGGTGAGGCAGCCCAGAACCCATGGTGTGGGGTGGGGAGAGAGTGGTGTGGGTGGCCGGGTCACCCCCTAGAGCTGGGATCGAGTGAGCCACGCTGAGTTGCAGGTGTTCAGTTCTGAAGCAGGATGTTCCTGTGGGAAGGGTGAGTCCACACAGCACTAGGTCTAAATTCTGGCTTTGCCCTGGCTTCTCACTCTGTGAATCCTGGGCAGGCTCTTGAAAGTTTCTGCACCCAATTTCCTTAATATCTGTGAAATGGAGACAAAATCCCCTCCTTGCAAGCCAGGCCAGTTCTGAGGATGGGGGTTGGGGGACGGATGAGACTTTTCTCTGCCCGTCTGGTCCTGTAAGCCCCCTCACTTCAAGATATCCCACCTTTTGAGGCCAAACCAATGTATAATGTTCATGTACTGATTAACGATTTTGCCTGAAACTTCTGCTTTCCTGAAATATACTCCCGCCTTTGAAAACCCTTGCTTGTGGCCGGGTGTGGTGGCTCATGCCTGTAATCCCAGCACTCTGGGAAGCCCAGGTGGGCGGATCAACTGAGGTCAGGAGTTTGAGATCAGCCTGGCCAACAAGGCCAAACCCCAACTCTATAAAAAATACAAAAATTAGCTAGGCATGGTGGTGCATGCCTGTAGTCTGAGCTACTTAGGAGGCTGAGGCAGGAGAATTGCTTTAACCCAAGAGGCAGAAGTTGCAGTGCACCGTGATCTCACCACTGAACTCCAGCCTGGGTGACAGAGTGAGACACAACAAGAAAAGAAACCACCAACAAGAAAAAACAAAACCGTTGCTCGTGAGCCATTGAGGATGTTGGGTCTTAAGTGTGAGCTGCCTGATTCTCCTTGCTTGGCACCTGGCAAATAAACGCCCTCCTTTCTCCTGCTGCAAACCTCAGTGTGGGTATTTGGCTTTACCAACCTGGGTGAGTGGAGCCAGTTTTGTTTTGGTAACAGACCCTCCTAGCTGTTCCTAGCTCCTCCATCTGCTTGGAGATGGTGCCTGGGCTCTGGATGGGGCTCCCCATCCTTGGCATAGCGCTGGGTGCTCAGAGCAAAGATCAGCCAAAAGGAGTCCACGCCTCTGCTGTTCAGTGCAAGGGCGATGACAGTGTAAACAAGAGCAGTGCCCTGACACCTGAGGAGCTGAATGAGGATGCTCGGCTGCTCGCGGGTGGCTGGGAAATCACCTCCTTGAGAAGGTGTGGAGAGGCGGAAGACACTGCGTTCTCACTTCTAACCAGCTGCCTCTCGAGAGGCACCACCGCTGTGGCAGCACCGTTGAGCCCTCCCTTGCCATGGTCACCAGCATCCGTCCGGGCACCCGGAGGCCCCTGATGAAGGCAGGTGTGGTGGGGGCTGCGCGTGTCCATCACTGCCTCATCCTGCCTGCCCACCCCCAAACTGGGTGCCAGAGTCCTTCTCGTGCTGATTTCACTCATCACAGTTGTGGTCCTGCCAGGTGGGCACCCTCAGCCATTCTCCCTGGACCATCACCATCAAGGCTGTGGCTGCAGGAACCTGGGCCTACCTAGGCTGGGGGGGGTCCCCTCCCCAACTTCCAGCCAGTCCCCAGCCACCATGTCCAGGAAACATTAGGCTGTCTTTCTCACTCCTTGTACTTGATTCTTTCATTTGCACAGTGGGCAGGGAGCAAGACCCTTGCTTCCTACTCTAGAAATTCTTAGCAAGAACGACTGCTGTCCGGAAGTTTTTCTTTTTTTTTAATTTTTTTGTTTTTTTGTTTTTTTGTTTGAGACAGAGTCTCCTTCTGTTGCCCAGGCTGGAGTGCAATGGTGCAATCTTGGCTCACCGTAACCTCCGCCTCCCTGGTTCAAGCGATTCTCCTGCCTCAGCCACCTGAGTAGTTGGGATTACAGGCACCCATTATCATGCCTGGCTTATTTTTGTATTTTTTTAAAGATGGGGTTTCAACATGTCGGCCAGGCTGGTCTTGAACTCCTGACCTCAGGTGATCCTCCTGTCTTGGTCTCCCAAAGTGCTGGGATTATAGCCGTGAGCCACTGCACCTGGATCTGAAATTCTTAGTACTTTATTAACAAGGTCTCCCCTTGTCATGTGCACTGGGCTCCACAGATTAGGTAGCCCGTCCTGCATCCAACTTCTAATGACCCCAAGCAAGCAGGTATTAGCACCCTGTTTTACAGACAGGAAACCCAGGGGCAGAGCTAGGGAGCTGCCCAAGATGACTGGGCAATGAGGGCCTCTGACCTGAGCCTGCCTTATCCCTGGGGAGATCCCCTTTCTCCCTTTGTTTCATTCTCTGGGGGGCAGAGAATGGAGGCCAGAGGTTAACGCTGTCATGTGCCAGCCCTTCTTTCAGAGTGGAAATTGAAAGGGACCTGGCAAAGTGACAAGAACCCCAGCTATGTGAGTGCATGGTGGGGGATCTGCCGTCTCCCCCAGCCCTGTGGGTCTTTCTCCCTTTTGAGGTGCGGGGAGCCAGTGTGGCCCAGGGAGGGAGCGTGGCAATGCCTGGGGGCTGTTCTGGAGCCAGCAGGAACAGTGGACTTTGGGAGGAAAACAAAGGGGTCCCCACTCCTCCGGCTGGCAGGCTCCAGGCACCCCCTACCTGTGACGGTCAGGCCCTGTCCACTGCGCTGTGGTGAACGCCCCCTCCGAGGTCCCTTCTCTCCAGACTCGGGGCCCTGGAGTCGGGGCAGACACCTCGGGTTCCTCCTTCTCTTCTCCCAGTGGAACTCTTAGTCCCCCTTGTATAACTGAGATGTCTCCACCACGCACCCCGCCACCCCCTACTAATAGCTGCAATGTTGCGCCTTCCACATTAATGACAGGTGTGCAGGGACAAGGCTGCCTGCCTGCCAGTGGGTTCCCTGACATCACACCTGCTCGCCGGAGAAGCACACCCTGAGGCAACTGAAATCCTAATAGGTCCCTCTAACTGCCTCCTGCATCAATCCTGACACCAGGCGCTTTCTTCTTCTTCCCCACGGCTCGCCTTATTACTCTGTCATTGTCATTGATTTTGACTAAAAGAGAAAAAAACCCACTCATGCTATGACTGTTCCAAGTTAGCGAGGCAGAGAGCTCTGTGGAGCGTCGGCTGGGGGCAAGGAGCCAGGGCTTGGGTGGCATCAGTCCATGCAGGGTGTGCCTCGTGGGTCCCCTGGGGGCCAGGAGGGAGGTCAGCAAGCGGGGATGAGGGAGACTGGAAGGCTGATGGCAGGTGAGACCCCTGGGGGGGCCGTCTGTTCCGCTCCTTCCCTCCCTCCCCCTGCGCTAGGAAGCATCTGCCAGGCACTAGGGGGTCAGGGGAGGTGGGTGGAGGGTCCAGTTGCAAAATGCTTTCTGTGGCAGGGCCAGAACCAAACAACAATAAAAGAGAGGCTGTGCCCCCTTCCCTGTTCCCTACCCCAGCACAGGTAGCCGGAGGCCTGAGCCACACCCACCTGGCTGGATTTGAGAGTTCTGCAGGACCCTGGACGTTGAAGGGGTTGGTGGTGAGCAACGGGGGGTGTGAGCAGCTCGGGGTGCTCTCTGAGACCCCTGCCAAGCAAAGGCTCGCTCTCCAAGAAGTGGGGAGCAAGCGTCCTCTCCTCCTACCGGGACCCACCACCAAGGTCTTTCTAACTCTGAGGAGGAGAGAGGAGGGGAAAGAAAGGGCGAAGAGAAAAGGGGAATGAAGGCGAGGGCCCAGAATGGGAAGGGAAGGGAGGGAGAGAAGGAGTGGAGAGGGCCTGCTGGAGTGAGGGGCACTTACTGGAGTGGGGGGGGGCCTGCTGGAATAGGGGGAGGCCTGCTGGAGTGGGGGGGGCCTGCTGGAGTGGGGGGGCCTGCTGGAGTGGGGGGGCCTGCTGGAGTAGGGGGGCCTGCTGGAGTGGGGGGGGCCTGCTGGAGTGGGGGGGCCTGCTGGAGTGGGGAGGGCCTGCTGGATTGGGGGGGCCTGCTGGAGTGGGGAGGGCCTGCTGGAGTGGGGGGGACTGCTGGAGTAGGGGGGGCCTGCTGGAGTGGGGGGGGCTGCTGGAGTGGGGAGGGCCTGCTGGAGTGGGGAGGGCCTGCTGGAGTGGGGGGGGCCTGTTGTAGTGAGGGGCACCTACTGGAGTAGGGGGGGCCTGCTGGAGTGGTGGGGGCTGCTGGAGTCGGGGGGGGGCACTGCTGGAGTTGGGAGGGCCTGCTGGAGTGGGGGGGCCTGCTGGAGTGGGGAGGGCCTGCTGGAGTGGTGGGGGCTGCTGGAGTCGGGGGGGCACTGCTGGAGTTGGAGGGGCAGGAGTGGCCATTCTCTTACTTCTCCCTCCACTGTGTTTTCTTTGCCCCCTGCTACTGCCAGGCCAAGCACCTTTCTCCCAGGATTATAATTCGCGTGGAGTGAACCCCCTTTCTATTTTCAAGGTGTCCAGCTCTTGCAGGGCACTGCACCTTAGGTGGATCACCCAAGAGTCTGCTGAGTACCCCCGCACAAGTCCGGAGAGACACACAGAAGCGGGGCGTTGTCCTCAGGGACTCGAGACTCACAGACGAAGATTGGAAACCCACCAAGCCCTCTGTGAAATCTGGGCCACCAGCACCCTGCTCCTGTGGGGTGAGAGTTGTATCATGGGGACAAGGATGGTGCCCTGTAAATGCTGACCCACCGATGGGGACACTGGGGATCGGGCAGTTTGGGGACAAAGGCAGACCCAGGGGAGTGGCTACTTGGAGATTAGGAAGAGAAGTGTGGGTGGGAGGCTGCCTCCTGTGGCCCAGGGTATCCTGTCAGTGTGCTGTTTGACCCAAGCCATGTGGTGGGGTCCCCAAGAAGCAGCAAGTTCAGGGGATGCTGTTCTCATGCAATTATATTCCTCTCAATAGCAGCTTTCAGGAAACACAAGGCCAGAGGCACTTTAATTGGAATGGCTTTATAACACTTTTCACATCAGATCAAACCCTGTGATGACCAATGCATTCCACTGTTTGGTTTGAAAAGCACGTTAACAGAGGGGTGCAGGGCTGGATTCACTGGAGATGTACAGAACTGCCCCAGTGCAGCTCGGATGGTTCTGCAGGCCCAGGGTGAAGGAATGAATTGGCTTCCTCATGTGTTTTAAATCCATCACTGGTTGCAGCAAATCAATCCCCCAGAATACTAGCGTCCTTGGTGGAGTGATAAGATCAGGTTCTGGAATGCACTCTAGGCTCTGGCTCAAGATGGCCCTCACCCCACAGAGGCGTGGCGCCAAGGCCTCAGCACCCCCACCGTCTGGGGCAAGCAGCGGTGCCTGCCTTTGCCTTCCGGGAGGAAAGTTCTTCATCCAGATCTGTGGCCCCAGGATCCACCTTCCCAGGCTGCTGCAAGTTCTGCCTTGGCTCCATGCCAGAGAGTGTCACTGTGCCTGGGACATGGGGACCTGTCCCGGGGCTGGGGGAGAGGAGCGAGCAGAGGAAGGCTCCTGGCAGGCGAAGCCATGCTGGCCTCACTCCAGACCTCACATCCTCTCATCAGCTGAAGATGCACCAGTGCAGGCGGGCAGCACAGGGCCAGGCGGCCCATAGTTCCCTTAAGCGGGAGGGGTGGGAAATCGGGACAAGCTCCCTGAGAGCCAAGACCTCCAACTGCGGTGGGTCAGCCACACGGTGCCCGGGAAAGCAGGCGGTGGCCTCCCTGTTTCCCCCGAACCACAGCCGCTGACTCCACATGACGGGGCCATCTATGGGGCTTCTCTCAAGACCTTGCCCCAGGCGGATCCCCCTCATCTGCAGGCAGGGCCCCAAGCCCAGACCCCCAGGAAGGGGCCACCCTAACTGCCCTCCTCTAAAACCACAGCCTTGTTTTCCAGCAACCCCTGCCCCCTTCTAAAGGAATCCTTCCTCTCCCCTTGAAGTGCCTGCGGACAGATTAAAGCCTCCTTCTCTGTTCCAGATTTTTCTCCCAGAGGAGCTGAATTTCAGCCGAATACCCATGGGCAGTTAGGGTGGCCTCTAACAGCTCTCAGGGAGCCAGTCCCGATTTCACACCCCTCCCGCTGTGGGCACTGGTAAGGAGGCATCTCACTGGTCCACTGGCAATCCCGTGGGGAGCCGGCTCTTCTTGCGGGATTTGCTGAACCCAGGCTGGCAGAGCTCAGGCTGGCAAATCCCTGCATTGCAAAGCCAGGGCACTGAAAGGAGGCAGGGAGGGGCTGCTTCCGGGACCCAGAGTCTTGGCAGCTGTTGCTGGGCAAGAATCCACCCCTGCCGCTGCCATTGGTCCTTCTGCCTCTTCCTGGCAGAGCAAGAGTGATGCCCACACCCAGGGGTCTGGTCCGTTTCATCACCCAGGCTGCCTAAGGAGGCCATGCCCACTGGCTTAGGCAGCCTCTTGGGGTCCAGCGCCATCCCGGCCAGGGCCACAAAGACAGACACAGAGGAAGCAGCCACAGCTGCTTGGCCATGGCCCCCATGCCAGGGCTCCTGGGCACAGCTGCTCTGTGATTCTCCTGCCTGCTGCTTGCCCGGCTCCCTTGCCTTCTTTCTCCCCAGGGCCTCACCCTTTCCCAGTGCCTGTTGCTGCTGGATGGGCAGGCGGGCGTCCAACTCCTGCTCTCCTGCTGTCCTGTCTCCTGGGGTGCAGTGCTGGGCAGCCTCATGCAGCCAGGGTCTGTCTCGGGCTGTAGGGCACTGGGCACCCTTCGGGCACATTGGCCTCAGGCTCCCCAAGGGCAGGCCCCACCTGGCTTGTTCATCTGCACCTAGAGCAGCACTTGGCACACAGTAGGATCGAATAGATTAGTGATCTGAGGGACTGTGGCACCCACTCCTCCCCACAGCAGGAACTGGCCTGTTTGCACCCTTCCTGCGGGAATGGAAGCCTGACTTCTGGGAAGCCCTGGAACCCTGGAAGAGGAAGGGGCAGATCCTGGGGTGAACAGGCTGTGCGGTACAGCAGCAAACAGCAGAGAGGCTGGGGGTGGGGTGAGGGTGAGTGGCAGGGAAGTGAGGGCAGACCCTGCAGAATTCCAGAAAGGCCAGATCAGCAGTGACCCCTGTTTATCAGGGGTCCCCCTCCAACCAGGAACTGGGACCAAACCGTCAGAGTGTCTGCAAGAGTCATCAGGGCCAGAGGCAGTGTGGTGTCATGGTTAGAGCACGAGCTTTGCAAGGGACGTACACCTGGGTCCACGTCGCCGTGTGACCTCGGGGAAATCTCTCAACTCCTCTGTGTCTGTGAAACAGAAACAACAACAATAACAACTCTCACAGAGTTACTATGAGGATTTGATGCGATGATGCAGGAGAAATGCTTAAAATAGTGTCTGGCACGTGGTAAACTTTTAATCAGTTTTAGTTAAAAGTTGCAGTGGTGATAATTATAGCAAAGGTTTGGAGGGGTGGAAAAGCTTCAGAAAACGAGAGGCCTGGGTGTTCCATGTTGCTGTGTGAACTTGAGGCACGTGTGTGTCCCTCTGGTCTCTGCCAGTTAGGGAGGGAGGAGCCGGGGATGGACGCCGTGGAGCACTGACTTTGTCCTGAGATTTGTGGGGTTGAATGATGAGATGCTTTAGGCTCATGGTACGGTTCTCTGAGTCCAATTGCATTTCATCCTTGTGCCACCTCTGGGCAGTCAACTGGCCAGTGACTATGACCATCATGTTTCTGGTAAGGAAATCCAAGGCCCAGCGAGGGAAGTGAAATGGCCACACCGCACCTTTCTGGCCAACGAGGGCAGAACCCACATTGCTAACTTCTGCCCTGAGTTCCTGGGGCCTTCACGGTCTGCTGGGCTTATGAGGTTGTTTGTTGATTGGTTGTTTTTTTTTTTATTTTTTTTTTTATTGATCATTCTTGGGTGTTTCTCGCAGAGGGGGATTTGGCAGGGTCATAGGACAATAGTGGAGGGAAGGTCAGCAGATAAACAAGTGAACAAAGGTCTCTGGTTTTCCTAGGCAGAGGACCCTGCGGCCTTCCGCAGTGTTTGTGTCCCTGGGAACTTGAGATTAGGGAGTGGTGATGACTCTTAACGAGCATGCTGCCTTCAAGCATCTGTTTAACAAAGCACATCTTGCACCGCCCTTAATCCATTTAACCCTGAGTGGACACAGCACATGTTTCAGAGAGCACAGGGTTGGGGATAAGGTCACAGATCAACAGGATCCCAAGGCAGAAGAATTTTTCTTAGTACAGAACAAAATGAAAAGTCTCCCATGTCTACTTCTATCCACACAGACCCGGCAACCATCTGATTTCTCAATTTTTTCCCCACCCTTCCCGCCTTTCTATTCCACAAAACCGCCATTGTCATCATGGCCCATCCCCAATGAGCCGCTGGGCACACCTCCCAGACGGGGTCGTGGCCGGGCAGAGGGGCTCCTCACTTCCCAGTAGGGGCGGCCGGGCAGAAGCGCCCCTCACCTCCCGGATGGGGCGGCTGGCCGGGCGGGGGGCTGACCCCCCCACCATCCTCCCGGACGGGGCGGCTGGCCAGGCAGAGGGGCTCCTCACTTCCCAGTAGGGGCGGCCGGGCAGAGGCGCCCCTCACCTCCCGGACGGGGCGGCTGGCCAGGCAGGGGGCTGATCCCCCCACCTCCCTCCCGGACGGGGCGGCTGGCCGGGCAGGGGGCTGACCCCCCCTCCCCCCTCCCGGACGGGGCGGCTGGCCGGGCGGGGGGCTGACCCCCCCACCTCCCTCCCGGACGGGGCGGCTGGCCAGGCGGGGGGCTGACCCCCCCACCTCCCTCCCGGGCGGGGCGGCTGGCCGGGCAGAGGGGCTCCTCACTTCCCAGTAGGGGCGGCCGGGCAGAGGCGCCCCTCACCTCCCGGACTGGGCGGCTGGCCGGGCGGGGGGCTGACCCCCCCACCTCCCTCCTGGACGGGGCGGCTGGCCGGGCAGAGGGGCTCCTCACTTCCCAGTAGGGGCGGCCGGGCAGAGGCGCCCCTCACCTCCCGGACGGGGCGGCTGGCCGGGCGGGGGGCTGACCCCCCACCTCCCTCCCGGACGGGGCGGCTGCCGGACGGAGACGCTCCTCACTTCCCAGACGGGGTGGTTGCCGGACGGAGGGGCTCCTCACTTCTCAGACGGGGCGGTTGCCAGGCAGAGGGTTTCCTCACTTCTCAGACGGGGTGGCCGGGCAGAGACGCTCCTCACCTCCCAGACAGGGTTGCGGCCCAGCAGAGGCGCTCCTCACATCCCAGACGGGGCGGCGGGGCAGAGGTGCTCCCCACATCTCAGACGATGGGCGGCCGGGCAGAGACGCTCCTCACTTCCTAGATGGGATGGCGGCCGGGCAGAGACGCTCCTCACTTTCCAGACTGGGCAGCCAGGCAGAGAGGCTCCTCATATCCCAGACGATGGGGGGCCAGGCAGAGACGCTCCTCACTTCCCAGACGGGGTGGCGGCCGGGCAGAGGCTGCAATCTCGGCTCTTTGGGAGGCCAAGGCAGGCGGCTGGGAGGTGGTTGTTGCGAGCCGAGATCACGCCACTGCACTCCAGCCTGGGCACCATTGAGCACTGAGTGAACGAGACTCCGTCTGCAATCCCGGCACCTCGGGAGGCCGAGGCTGGCGGATCACTCGCGGTTAGGAGCTGGAGACCAGCCCGGCCAACACAGCGAAACCCCGTCTCCACCAAAAAAAAAAACGAAAACCAGTCAGGCGTGGCGGCGCGCGCCTGCAATCGCAGGCACTCGGCAGGCCGAGGCAGGAGAATCAGGCAGGGAGGTTGCAGTGAGCCGAGATGGCAGCAGTACCGTCCAGCTTTGGCTCGGCATCAGAGGGAGACCGTGGAGGGAGAGGGAAGGGGAGGGGGAGGGGGAGGGGGAGGGGGAGAGGGAGAGGGAGAGGGAGAGGGAGAGGGTTGTTTTTTTTTTTTAATCAATGGCCATGAACAGTGTTGGAAACCCAGACAATGAGTAGTTCTGGGGGCAAAGCCCTACCCTAGGGAAGGGACTGTCCTGGAGTTTAAAGAGGAATGTTCTGGAATCTGCTGTTAGGAACACATGATGGTCACATATTGGGGCCTGATGCCTGAGACCTTACAAAGTACTTTCACAGACCTTATGGCTTTGGCGCCTCTCAGCCCGTGTGCTTTTCATCCCGTGTATTAGTGAGGGTTCCCTAGAGGGACAGAGCCAATAGGATAGATAGATAGATATAAAGGGGAATTTATTAAATATTCACTGACACAATCACAAAGTCCCACAATGGGCTGTCTGCAAGTTTGAAGAACAAGGAAAACCAGTCTGAGTCTCAAAACTGAAGAACTTGGAGTCTGATGTTCACGGACAGGAAGCATCCAGCACGGGAGAAAGATGTAGACTGGGAGGCTAGGCCGGTCTCGCTTTTTCACGTTTTTCTGCCTGCTTTATATTCGCTGGAAGCTGATGAGATGGCGCCCACCAGATTGAGGGTGGGTCTGCCTTTTGCAGCCCACTGACTCAAATGTTAATCTCTTTTGGCAACACCCTGCCAGACACACCCAGGACTAATACTTTGCATCCTTCAGTCCAATCAAGCTGACACTCAGTATCAACCATCACATCCCACTTGGCAAACAGTCTCAGCAACAGCAAGGTTGTAAAGTCAGGACTTGAACCCAGATCTTCAGGTTCTGAGCCCAAAGGCACCCTCTCTGAGGGCACTAGAAGTGTCCTATGACCTGACTAGGTGCCCAGGGTCATCGAACTTTTGCTCCTCTGGAGAGAAACCTGAGGCAGAAGCCACGTCCTGTTTTCCAGGGAAACCTCATCGTTGACCTGTCACAGCCCAGGGCCTGCTGGGAAAATCTCTCTCAGGTACAGACCACCCCCCGACGTTGTTCTAAAAAGGGAGCTATCTACCGGAGGAATATTCCCCAGGAATAATTGCTAAAAGGCCTAATTTTGGAGATAACCGCGATTATAAATGTCTCATTACTTTAATTAAAGTCTCATCCATCACGGATGCTCTGTTCCCTGAAGCACAAGGGGCTAATGCGGCGGCAGCCACTGTGAGAGGCCGAGCGTGTATTCACACAGCAGCCTCCTCCCAGCCTCCTGGGTCAGATGCTGGCAGCCCTGCCATCCCACCCACCAATGCCCCATTTCCTCCTCCATGGCCCAGATACCGCATGCCCTTTCAAACACTCTTCTCTGTTCCAACTGCTCAACTGTGATGTCCCCCGTCCCAGAGCGGGAGATTCGGCAAAAGCTGGCATTTGTCAAGCCAGAATGCAACGGGGCCCGTCAGAAGCAGAGGACGCCCAACAGCTGGTGTCTCGGGAAAAAGGTGGCAGGGCCCCAAACAGGATTTGTGTATCGGGGCTGTGTCTGCCACCCTGGGGGTTATCATGCCCAACCTCAGTGGATTGAACTCACTGTGTGCAAGGCCCTTGATGTATGGTGTCCTGTTCAGTCCCACGACAGCTCTGTGAGGTTGTGCAGTTGACTCTTGGACAATGTGGGGATTAGAGTGCTGACTCCACACAGCCGAAAATCTGGGTATAACTTTTGACTCCTCAAAATGTAAGTGCTAAGAGCCTCCTTTTGACCAGAAGCCTTACTGATAGCACCAAGAGCTAATACACATATTTTGGATGTTATATGTATGATATGCTGCAATCTTACAATAAAATAAGCTACAGAAAAGAAAATGGTATTAAGAAAATCATAAGGAGGCTGGGCGCGGTGGCTCACACCTGTAATGCCAGCACTTTGGGAGGCTGGGGGTGGGGGATCACCTGAGGTCAGGAGTTCAAGACCAGCTGGGGCAACATGGTGAAACCCCATCTCTACTAAAAATACAAAAATTAGCTGGGTGTGGTGGCGGGACCCTGTAATCCCAGCTATCTGGGAGACTGAGGCAGGAGAATTGCTTGAACCCGGGAGGCAGAGGTTGCAGTGAGCCAAGATCACGCCACTGTACTCCAGCCTGGGTGATAGAGTGAGACTCCATCACAAAAAAGAAAAGAAAAGAAAATCATAAGGAAGAGAAAGTCTAGTATTCATTAAGTGGAAGTGGATCATCATAAAGGTCTTCATTCTCCTTGTCTTCACATTGAGGAGACCGAGGAGGAGAAGGAGGAGGAAGAGGAGGAGGAGGAGGAGGAGTTGGTCTTGCTGTCTCAGGGGTGACAGAGGCAGAAAATCCCAGCATAAGGGAACTCTTGCAATTCAAACTCTAATTGTTCGACTCAGCTGCATAATCACTGCTGCTTTATCAGATCTGGAAACTGAAGGTCTGCAAGGGAGGGTGGACCCGCCCAAGATCACTCAGCACATCAGTGGCCCAGAGGCAGGCTTTGAGATCTGTGCACCTGACTCCAGAATCTGACACCCAAACTGTGAGGCCAGAGGTGCCATTCACCCAGGTGAGGGGTGGAGGCTGGGTGAATCTCGGCCAGAAGAGGGCCTGAAGGGCAAGGCTCTAGCGAGGAGAAGCGCAGAGCTGGCCTTTGCTGGAGAGGGGTTGGGGAGAGTGGAGACTGGGAACCCGTAGCTGGGACTGGCTGGGGACAGCCCAGACTCTGGGTTGGGCAGGGGGATCAGGGCATCCTGGTGGGAAGAGGAAAAGGGAAGTGAGGGGGGCAGGGTGGTCCCTGGAGATGCAGCAAAATCCGATGTGGCCCCAGGTGGCAGGGCCCAGCCAGAGGGCTGCCTTCCAGGACGAGAGGTCTGAAGCAGTGGGCAGGACTCCAGTCTCCCACCCTACACAAGGCAGGGGGTGAGGATAGACACAGGGAGAGATAGGAGGAGATTCCATGGGTGGAAGGAGACTGAGTCACATGGGATAAGGGGAGAGGGATCTGAGATTCCAGCAGGCTCAGACACAGCGGCTGACCAAGCCCTGCAAACGCGGGCTAGGAGGGGCCGGGCTGCTGTGGGCGGGTTGAGGGCAGACAGCGGCCTCATCTGGAGGGCCTGGGAACAGGCAGATGGGGGCAGGAAGGGGAATGCCTTCAGTCGCCTGGTAGAACAAAGCCCTGGGGGACCTTGGACAGGCCTGGGATGGGCAGGTGGCTTGCAACCCAGGGAATAACGTTCTCCAAGAACTCAGCAGTCTGGGATCAGAGTTAGGTCCAGGGACAGGAAAGGAACCAGCATGTGCTGGGTGGCTCCTAGCACCCGCACATTTTATACACATGACCTTATTTAAAACTACATGACATGTGACATTTCATTGCCACAGCAGCCTTGGATGGAAGAGCTCATTATTCCCTTTCCTTGAGGTAGGACCTGGAGGCTCAGAGAGGTTATGTGACTTGCCTGAGGTCACACAGGAGCCAGGACTGGAGCAGGAGCCTGTCTGCCCTCCCTTTGCCCTTGAGGCCCTGAGGCTGGGTTGGGATTAGCCTGTAACGAGCCTGTGAGCCTGCGAGGAGAATGATGTTTGCAGGGAGGGAAGGCCCTGAATCCTGGGGATTGGGGCATGTTGGGTGGGGCTGCCCAGGTTGGAGCTCCCCTGGAAGATGCCCGTCCCACCCCATTCTCGCTCCTAGACCCATTCCATTCTGGGGTTGTCTTGTGCCCAAGATCTCACTGCAAGGAAGAGGCAGAGGTGGGACCAGGACCCACATCGCCAGACCCCAGGGTCACCTTGGGGTTACCTGCTCCAGCCCTCAGGCATCCTGAGTGAGAGACCACGTGCAAAGAAGAAGGAGCCTCAGATATGAGGGCCAGCACTTGAGGTGGGTCCAGGGAGGCGCAGGCTGTGTTCTGCCGTGTCAGCCCTGTCAGCCCCAAGGCCGAGGCCGTCTGTCTCCCCAGGCCCCTGAGAGGGCCCCTGAGAGGGTGCCCGGTCCTGTCCCCAGCTCAGCAGACATCTCTATCTCCCTGTGCCCTGTTAGGGTCCCCTTTAGCCTCAGGAGAAACTCCTGACCCCTTGACCTTGGCTTGCCCCGGAGTCCAGCCGTCTTTCTCCATCTCTTGACTCCATTTGAGGCCCCCTACAAGCACCCGGCATGTGCCAGGCTCTGTGCCGAGAGAAGCCCTCGCAACAGACCTGGGAGTCTGGGACCCTGTTTTGCAATGAGGAACCCCAGGCTGGGGAGATCGGGGAACCTTCTGTCAGTCATACAGCTGCTAAGGGGTGCAGCCGGGGCTCAGCTCGCATCTCACCAGGGCATCATTCCACCTTCACTCGTCCCAGCCAGAACCGACTTGCACTCAGTGCCTCCACAGGGCACGTGATGGAGGTTTGGGTCCCGCTGTGGTGGGCCGGGCTCCCTTCCTGACATCAGAGGCGTCAGATGCCGGGAGCCTCCACACAGGGGAAGACCCCAGCCTCTGCCTTGCTCAGGGCTCACCCTGTCTTAAGTGGCTACAAGAGATACCATTTCCCGCCACGGAATCTAGCTCCATCCAACTGTCCCTGCAAACAGCCCAGCAACTCAGCCCCTCCACACACACAGGGAAATCACCAGGGAAGGCAGTGAGCAGGGATTTCTTTCTTTTTTTTTTTTTCCTGTCCTGGGGTTAAACATCCCAGTTTGAGGTAAAACAAATTCCTTGCTGAAGCTCATCACCTCCAGCTGGGCCTTGGGAAGGCCCATTTCATCTGATCATTTAGCACTGAGTCATGCTGACGAGGTGCCTGGGCTGAGCCGTCCCACGCTTGCTGAAGGCTGGTCTCAGGGGATGGAGCCTGGCAGGCTGGGGCAGGCTCTAGAGGGTCGGCTGCAGCCGGGGGTGGGCTGGGGGAAGCCCTCCCTCCCTGCGTCATCAGATGACGCAGTGGGGGTGCTGTCCTCAGTCCTTCGGGGTCTGCGTCAGAGGTGAGAAGAAATTCTCCCTGGGCCTCTGCCTGGGGCCCACAGTGAGTAGGCGAGGTGAGAATCAGACCAGGAGAGGCCACCATGGGCTTGAGAATCCTGGGGCTGGGAAGACTGCTGCCCTGACCTCAGACAGGAGGAGGCGTCCAGCCCTCCCTCGGAGAAGTGGGCGCCCAGGGATCCACTCATCCAGGTTCACGGTGATCCTGCCAACCTGGGCATCATCCCGCCCAACGCACCCAGCAGGCCCATTGCCCCCAGCACCGCATCCAGCCCCCCCTGCTGCAGTCTCCACCTGCATCACCAAGTCAGCTGTCAGTCAGGGACTGCTTGGCTCTAGGGATTCCTCAGTTCCAGAACATGGGGAAAGGAAAGGAGAGGAGGAGAAGGGACAGAGGGAGGGAGGTAAGGATGAGAGAGAAGACGGGAGAGAGAGAAAGAGAGGGAGTGTGAAAGAGGAAGAGAGGAAGACAGGGGAGGGAGAGAGAGAGAGGGCACACGTTTCCTGCATGGGCGACATGACCTCTTACTAGGGTGTTATAATTTGAAGAGACTGGAAAGACTCCACCTTAATAGGTCCCTGCCACAGAGATTCAGCCTGCCCAAAATTGCCAATTCTTTATTCCTTTGGGCAAGCCCACTGAGACCCAGCTTAAAATGTAAGCGTGAGATCTGAGAAGGGCATTTGTTCACTAGCACCCGTTAATTCGGCAGCCCTGGTCACTCGGCTGAGGCTCAGAAGGGCTGGGGACGCTCTCAGGGAAGCTGTGGCAGGAGGCAGGCTGGCGTTAGTCGTGGAACCTGTTTTGGTGACACCTATTGACCTAACGGCTGCTGTCTTCCAGGGAATGCGTCTGGGAAACACTGGCCCAGTAAGTGGTCAAGACTTCATGAACCGCAGCTATCACTGCCTCAGAGCACCCTACGGAGAAGCAGTGGGTGAGAAAGAGTCCAGTGCACCCTATGGAGAAGCAGTGAGTGAGAAAGAGTCCAGCACGCCCATCTCCGCGTTTTGTTTTTCTGGAGATCCCTTCCCATCCGCTGCTGTGGGTTTGCAGGTCTCAGTCCTCCTGTCCTCCAAGTCTCAGGCCATGCTCCCAGCTCCGCAAAGATCCCCTGATTTCCTCCCTGTCCTTGCTGAAGATCAACTCTTCAGCCACCGAGCAGATGCCCACAGCTGTGGTGTGTGCCTCCCCTCCCCGGGCCCATGGTATAGACAGGTCCCGTCCACTTCTAGTTACTCCCAAGCTGGCCTTCCCACCACACACCGCTGGCATCTGTACCACTGGGTCCCTGTTGCATGAGCTCATAGTATGCGCCAGGCATCCTGCCAAGCACTTCAAGTCACCTGCTCGTTTAATTCTCACGACAGCCTTCTGAAGGGGATGTGCTATCACCCCATTTTACAGATGAGGAAACAGCTCCCACCATTCTTCTGTGAAGACACCAGCTTTGGGATCTTCCCTTAGGAATGGCTCCCTGTGCCATGGACCCACTCCCACCTGAGCTGTGACCTTGGTCAGCACCCCCAGCCCTGCTGCCCCTGGCTGGGGCCAGCCTGGACTTGAGTGGGGATGTCTGGGGCTCCCAGGTGGTTTTGTCCCTGCAGGTGGCCTCTGGCCAGCCCTCTGGCCCTTTCACTTGCAGGCAAAGGTTTTTGCTGTTTGCTTCTTGTTCCTCTGGTGAAGGACCCTGCTTTTCCTTCCAAGTTTTCTATTTCTTCTGCTTGCGGCTCAGCAGAAAAGAGAATAAAACTTCAGAGTAACATAAAAGCTTGCTGGTTTGGTGGTGTGCTGCAGGTGTCCTGCACAGGTGTGTGACCTCACCTTGACAGCTGGAAATGAGCCCCAGGGGACCGTTTACACCTGGGAATCGGCACACGCTCCAAATCAGGGCCGTTTCACTGGAGACCTGGCCATGGAACCTTCACCAGTGCATACTGCGGGGCCCTGTAGAGGTTCCTCTCCAGTTAGAGGGGACAGTCCTGCCCAGGAGCCCTTGGCTGCTAGCTTCTCCTGGCTCTCCTGCCTCTGCCCAGAGCTCAGGCTGCCACACCCCCCTACAGTTAGTGTGTAGCTGGTTACACAGTCTGTACTGCTCTCAGTCGGCTTCTTGAGATTATTCAACTCCTGGCCAACACCAGAACTTATTTTTTAAATAAATACTTGCAAACTGAAACCAAGCAAGGTCCCTACACGGAGCCACGTAGTGTGATTTCTCTACACAGTGAACAGGAGGCAGATGCCGGTCAGCATCACCACTTACAAAATCCGGCCCTGCATTGCTCTGATCTGTCTCTCTCCCCCAGGCCAGCCTTCCAGGGTTCCTGGATGTGTGAGTGTGTATGGGAGGAGGGTGGGATCCCAATGTGTTCGAGGACCTTCGGAACTCCTCACGCTTGAGTTAAGTACTCTGCAAGTCAGAGCCAGCGGTGCCGAGCAATGCTGCCGACTCTTCATTGACATAGTTGCATTAAAGATTCAGGATATAAATTTGAACAGGGATTAACCATTCCTAGAACAAACAGCCCTGGCTGGCACTCCTCCCTGCACACACAGCCCACTGCATTATCCAAGTGCAAACAGGTATGGAGCCTGCCATTTTCTCTCTTCTCGCTCTATCTCCCTCCTCCAGGCAAACAGCGGTCCAAGAACAGAACCCAGAGGTGGGGGATCTCCAGCTTGAGTTGCAGGGAAGGCAGCTGGCGATGGTTTATTTTACGTGTCAGTTTGGCCTGGCTGAGGAGTGCCCAGCAGGGAAAGCATGCCTTTCCGGGTGCGTCTGTGAGGGTGGTCAGTGGGCTGGAGGAAGCAGTTCGGCCCCCACCAGTGTGGATGGGCATCATCCAATCTGCTGCGGGCCCGGATGGAACAAAAAGGAAATGGAAGGGCGGACTCTCTCTCTCTGTCCCTGAGATGGGACATCGATTTTTTCCCTGACCTTGGACATCGGCACTTTTGGTTCTTGGGCCTTTGGACTCCAGGACTTACACCAGTGCCACCATTGGTTCTTGGGCCTTTGGACCTGGACTAAGTCACACCACTGGCTTTCCTGGTTCTGGGGCTTGCAGATGGCAGATCATGGAACTCTTGGCCTCCATAATTGCATGAGCCAATTTCCATAAGAAGTCTATCTATCTATCTATCTATCTATCTATCTATCTATCTATCTAATCTATCATCTGCCTGTCTGCCTGCCTGTCTGCCTATCTATCCCCTTGTCTGTCTATCTGCCTATCATCTATCTATCATCTATCTGTGTGTCTATCTCTCTATCTGCCTATCTATTATCATCTATCTGTCTATCTATCTATGTATCTATCATTTACCTGCCTGTCTGTCTGCCTATATGGCTGTCTGTCTGTCTACCATCTATCTATCTACTTGTCTATCTGCCTTTCTATTATCTATCTACATCTATCTATCTATCTATCTATCCATCCATCCATCTACTTATCTATTATCTGTCTGCCTATCTCTATCTGCCTATCTATTATCTATCTATCTATATCTATTACCTATCTATCTATATCTAATCTATCTCTCTATCTATCTATCTATCTATCTATCATCTATCTATCTATTCATCCATCTATCCTATTGGTTCTGTTTCTCTGGAGAACCCTGACTAATACAGAGCCCAAGTGTTGGGGGAACAACAGGGGATCCTGATACTCCTTCTGGAGTAGGCAGTGGCTGGGTGAAGCCCTTGTCATGTTTCCCTTTTGTTCCTTAAACTTGAGAGAGGCACAACTCGGCCCCATATAACCCTTGACTCAACAACAGCAGATTTTGAAAGCTGAGAACCGGCCAGAGATGAGCCTCAGTTGCCCCCACTGGCCTCTTTCCTTTAGACAGATGAGTCCAAGAGATGACAGACTGGCCTGGGGGATCCTGGGAAATAAAGATGAATGAGAGGGACGAAAGAGAGACAATCATGTTGGCTCCATCCTGTGGAAGACCAGGAAGAGTGCTCCTAACCAAGGACATTCAAGTGCACTTTGGGGGAGTCAGGATCCTCCACGAACAGAAGTGTGGCACATTCACCCACGTTCAGGGGCCTGGCAGGTACAGGTGGGTGGGCCTGGGCTCACCTGGAGAATGCCTTCATGCAGCAGGGCAGCAACTACTCACTCTGGGGACTGCTGCCACATGGAAGAGGGAGACTGCAGAGTACCCGGTTTCTCTAGAGGAGCCAGACATAGAGATTTTTATGTGAAAGCTTGATTTTTAAATGTTAGAATCCAAATTTTAAAATCAAAAAGCATGATATAGGCCAAACAAAACTGTTGTGTGCTGGCTTCTCCTTCCTTACCCAGGTACTTTGCAAACTTTGCTCTAAATCTTTTTTTTTTTTTTTTTTTTTTTTTGAGACGGAGTCTCGCTCTGTCGCCCAGGCTGGAGTGCAGTGGCGGGATCTCGGCTCACTGCAAGCTCCGCCTCCCGGGTTCACGCCATTCTCCTGCCTCAGCCTCCCAAGTAGCTGGGACTACAGGCGCCTGCCACTACGCCTGGCTAATTTTTTGTATTTTTAGTAGAGACGGGGTTTCACCGTTTTAGCCGGGATGGTCTCAATCTCCTGACCTCGTGATCCGCCCGCCTCGGCCTCCCAAAGTGCTGGGATTACAGGCGTGAGCCACCGCGCCCGGCCTGCTCTAAATCTTGAGCAACTGGTGGGAGAGAAGGGGTGGGGAACCCTGCTCCAGGCTTTCTGCTTTCAGTTTCTCGAGACATGTTTCTTCCTGGAGCTGCTGCCATCCAGGGTAATTTGATTGTGCTTTTCTCTTGCTGCCTTTGATCCTCTGAGGTTGCCAGGCATAGTTACTATTTTATTTGCAGGCTCTGATGATGGGAGAATGATTCTGAAAGCTGCAGCCTGAAGACAGAAACTCCCTCTGGGCTGTTGTCAAGTCAATTTCCATGGTCTCCAGGGCTGAAGTGGGAAACACTGCATGGAAACAGAGATGCTGTTGAGGGAGAGGTCCCCACATGTTCTCAGGGCCTCCTTGGGCTGGAATTATCTGTTCCCATTTGCTGACACTAAGCTGCCAAAGCCAGGAATTAGCTGTCTCAAGTGGGTGCTGTCACCCACCCATCCAGCCACTCATGTATCCACCCACCCACCCATCTATCCATCCATTTATCCATCCATCATCTAACTTCCCATTTGCATATCCATCCATCCATCCATCCATCCATCCATCCATCCATCCTTCCTTCCTTCCTTCCATCCATCCATCTATCCATCCATCCATCCATTCATCCACCCATCCACCTACCCATCCAACTTCCCATCTACTCATCCATCCATGCACCCATCCATCTAAGTTCCCATCTGCACATCCCTCCATCCGCCCATCTGCACATTCATCCATCCATGCATACATGCATGCCACAAATATTTACTGGGTATTGGTCATGTGTTAGGGCTGTGCTGGGTGCTGGGCTAATAATGATGAGTGGACAATAGTCTTTGCCCTCACAGAGATTGCATTCTTGCTCCCATCACTCTAATGCATACAGCCAGCTTGCAGCAAGTGGGAGGAGGCTGAGGAATCCTGTCCACCTTTTGGGATGGCAGACCGTGGAGAAGGCTTCACCAGAGCAAGTGGTACATATGCTGGGTTCTTATGTTTTTGGTCAGAGAGAGAAGGAGGGAACGGCATTTCGGGAGAGGGCAATAGCATGAGAGAGAGGGAGGGACCCTCCCCCAGGCCCACTGCAGACTCTAGGTGAGGAAGTAAGTGGGGACACAGAAGGGTGTCTTTCCTGCTCCTCTGGGCGTGACACTGACAGGGCCAGGTGTGTCTCGTCTTTGATGCAGAAAATGTCCCTGTAGGTGGCAAGCTGAACTGGCAATGGAAGAAAGCAAACTCCAGCAATGGATGGACAATGGGAAGATGAGCTCCCTCAGAGCAGGTTATAAAAAAGGTTATATAATGAGTATTGCTGGATGGAGATTCCCCCTTTCAACCTGAGCTGAAGCTTTTCACTCCTTTCAGCCAATGCCCAAGACAATTACTTGCTCGCACAACACTTTGAGGTAAATACATCCTATAGATGAGAACACAGATGCTCAGAGAGGTTTAGCGACTGGTCCAAAACCACACAGGCCTGTCCACCCTCAAGCCCATAGTCTTTCTCTAATACTATTGGGCCTCGCTAGGGCATCGTTGTCTAGGACAAACTCAGAGGAGGTCCGGGTTTCAGGCTCAGGATGGCCCTTCAGAATGAATAGCAAGCATTCTCTGTCCCCAAGTGGGGCTATGTGCTCGCTCACTGGGGTAGAATCCTCAGCACATCCTATCGTTTCTCTTGGATCTTCCCAGGTCTGTGTGCACAGACACCTGCAGACTTTGGAAATCCACACCTCTCCTTAAATGCACACTTCTCTGATTGCAGTGCGGGAGATTGGCACCTTCTGTCCCCACAACCCCTCCAGCACCCCCAGCTCCTGCCCTACCCCAACCTCTCCAGGCATGGGTTCTTGGAACAGAGTTAGAAAACCATGGGGCTTAGCTAACCTCACAGGCCCCTCCAGCATTCTAAGATCTGTTCTTCATTCACTTGTTTGACCATTTCACCTGCCTTGTGCCAGATGCTGAGCCAGGAGCCACGAGGGGCAGCCCCCAGGCACTGGGTGCTTACAGTCTTGCGGACTTCTTACACCACTGGATCACTGCAAGGCTCTGATCTGTTTTTCCTTTTTGCTGACAGGCTCCCTTTGCATGTAATTATTTTGCTGGGCTGGTGTTAATGACATGTCCACTCCACTTAGTCTGGTCATCAGTATCTCTGGGCATGCCTGGGTTCCTGGTTGCTGTGGTTGTTTCGTTCCTCTGAAGGTCTCTCCATCATCAGCAAACCTGTTCTCTGCTCATTATTGATGGTGCCTGAGCCCTGCTCACCTGGGCTTACCGCGGGGCTCCTGGCAGATCCAATTTCCAAGCCCAAGAGACTGGGGATGCTTCCATGTAAAAGAGAAGAGGGTGGGGAGAGGGAGGTGGCTGGCTGATTGTTTACAAATTGCTCTGTCTCTCTCCACTTTCTTTTCTGTACTGTCCTCAAAGCCATGGAAGACGGCACTCTGTCCTGTCCGTGGTCAGCAGAGAGGATGCAATGAGCCAAAGTTGAAGAATTGCAGGGAGAAGGAGGTACTGAGCCATACCCCAACATTCTCCCTCTGCAGACTTTTCTGGAAAAGGTAGAAACTAGGTCTTCAGGTTTGCTGTTTCCTGGAGGCGAGCTGTGGGGTTGGGGGTGGCTGTTGCAATTCTCCATGCACAAGAATTCCCTGGACTGGAGTTTTATTCCCTGTTCCCTGTTGTCTTAACTTATGACCTTGACCACGTGTCTAGGCCTCACTTTACTTGCCTATAAAATGGAAGAATTTGACTAGATCAGGGGTCAATGAGCTTGTTCTGTAGAGTAAGATAATAAATACTTCAGCCAGGAAATCTCTGTGGCAACTTCTCGCCTCTGCTGCTTCACAGCAAACCAGCTAGAGACAATCTGCACATGAATGGGTGTGGCTGTGTTCCAAAAAATCTTTATTTACAAAAGCAAATGATGGGCCGGATTGCTGTGGTTGTTCATTTGCGGTGGAACTCTTTCACCCGATCAAATCTTGCTTGAGACTCCACTATATAGAATAGATAAAAACAAAGCTTCTCCGATTGCAGTAGGAGAGATTGGCACCTTCTCTCCCCACAACCCCTCCAGCACCCCCAGCTCCTGCCCTGCCCCCATCCCCTCCCGGCATGGGTTCTTGGAACACAGTTAGGAAACATGGGGCTTAGCTAATCTCACAGGCCCCTCCAGCATTCTAGGACCTGTTCATTCACTTGTTTGACCATTTCACCTGCCTTGTGCCAGTTGCTGAGCCAGGAGCCACAAGGGGCAGTCCTCAGGCACTGGGTGCTTACAGTCTCGTAGACTTCTTATACCATTCGATTTTTTGAAAACCATTTATATGTTACTCGAAGGGGTTTATCTTAAATAAACTTGTTAAAATAGTACAAACACCATATAATCTCAATTTTGATGTTAAAAACTCGTATCCAGTACTAGCTATATAATTTTGGGGGCCAAGTGCAAAATGAAAATGTAGGTTCCCTTGTTCAAAAGTGATTAAGAATTTGAGGAGCTGAGCACAGTGATGTGTTCCTGTAGTCCCGGCTCCAGCTACTCAGGAGGCTGAGGCTGGAGTCCAGGAGTTTGAGGAGTCCAGCCTGGGCAACATCGTGAGACCCCATTTCTAACATAAAATAAAATAAAATGGAAAATTTCAAGATGGTGATAGCAGAACATTAAACCCAGCTCGGGGCGCCTCTGAGCACAGAGCCCAGCATTGCCCAGGTCCACGTGCATGAAGCTGGCCCTGCATTTTTCTATAAAGATGTTTCCCAAAGTGTTAAGGGACACACTTCTGGGTGGGATAAGAGGGATTTACTTTAAAAAAAAATTTTTTTTTTTGAGATGGAGTCTCGCTCTGTCACCCAGGCTGGAGTGCAGTGGTGCGATCTCGGCTCCCTGCAACCTCCGCCTCCCAAGTTCAAGCTATTCTCCTGCCTCAGCCTCCCGAGGAGCTGGGACTACAGGTGTGCGACACCATGCCTGGCCAATTTTTGTATTTTTAGTAGAGACAGAGTTTCACCATGTTGGCCAGGCTGGTCCCAACCTCGTGACCTCGGGTGATCCACCCGCCTCGGCCTCCCAAAATGTTGGGATTACAGATGAGAGCCACCACACTCAGCTGGGATTTACATTTTCTTCTTCATGTTTTCTGTAAGTTCTAATTTCTCCACATTACATGGATTGTTCTCATTGCAGAAGAAAAGGATTATCAATGTTTTCTCCCATACCAACAGAAACCATAGTGCAGATGCATCTGAGGCTGCGTCGGGGGGCTGGTGTGGGCAGGGCGAGCCACCTTCCCTCTGGGGTTTACCCATGGGGGACTCACTTTTTTAGACTCATGTCCAAGCAGAATAAAAACTCTGTTCTCCTCATTCTTCTTAGTAGAGCAGAAGCCAGGCTGGTGTCCTCATTTCTAAAAATGAAGGGAGAATAAAGAGAACTGGGCAGAGAGACTCATAAGGCCCAGATCGAGGCTGGGCCCGAAAGCAGGGCTCTGTGTCCTCGTGCCCCTGGCCCAAAGGGGACTCCATAATCACCCCCAGGCCCATGCAGGGCTCTGTCCTCATCGGGAGGGCTCATTTGGAAGGAAGTTTGGGAGGAAGCAGGGTGTACTCACCCACACGCCCATGGAACGGCGGTTGAGGGAGATGGGGGCTTGTGAGGGACATGCGCCTCACCTCTGCAGGTCTCAGCAAAAGATTACCACGGGTTCCCCAGGAAACGTCTCTGGACACATTACGCTATATAAATGTAGATCCAGGAAGCATGTTCTAATACACAGATGGGTCATTGGGAGGAATTAGGGATGCTTAGGGATGGAGCCCTAACCTTTTAAGGAAAATGTCATGTGTTCCCATACAGCACCCTGGGGCGTGATAGGAAGAAACAGGATATTCGGGATGTGCAGATTTGTCACGGTTTTTGACCAGTTTGAATATCCTCTGTGGCCTCCACCTTGATCCCCGTCCCCTACTTGGGGCTCCCCAGTCCCTACCCCACCCCCAGACAGCACCCCACCTCCCCGCTAGGCTCCCCAGACCTGACCCAGGGCCGTCTCCTCCATGGGTGCCGCCAGCTTCTTGGTGGATCCTGTACTCTCCATGCAGCCACTTCACGATGCCCCCACATCACTGCCACCCTTCTCTGGCACGCTGGAACACGTGCTCCTCCTGTGTGGGGTTTCCCTTGAGGTTCTGGCCACGAAGGATCCCCTCTTCTCCATTAATTGAGGCGCTGTGGTGAGTTGTTCCAATACCAGGGACCATTAGGGTGTCTAGGTGTCTCCAGACGTCTGGCCGAGGGGGGAGTGCAGTGATGGGAACACATGAGATGATAATCCACAAAATTTGACACCTGGAAGGGGTTTGAGGGACCAACTCATCCCTTTTTTTCTTATATGAAGGTAAAATTTACATAAAATAAAATGAACCATTTTAAAAGTCAACAATTTGGTGGCATTGAACACAGTCACGGTGCTGTTGAACGCCGTCACGGTGCTGTGACAGTCACAGTGTTGTTGAATGCAGTCAAGGTGCTGTTGAATGCCGTCACGGTGCTGTGACAGTCACAGTGTTGTTGAATGCAGTCAAGGTGCTGTTGAATGCCGTCACGGTGCTGTGACAGTCACAGTGTTGTTGAATGCAGTCAAGGTGCTGTTGAATGCCGTCACGGTGCTGTGACAGTCACAGTGTTGTTGAATGCAGTCAAGGTGCTGTTGAACGCCGTCATGGTGCTGTGACAGTCACAGTGTTGTTGAATGCAGTCACGGTGTCGTTGAATGCCGTCACGGTGCTGTGACAGTCACAGTGTTGTTGAATGCAGTCAAGGTGCTGTTGAATGCCGTCACGGTGCTGTGACAGTCACAGTGTTGTTGAATGCAGTCAAGGTGCTGTTGAACGCCGTCACGGTGCTGTGACAGTCACAGTGTTGTTGAATGCAGTCAAGGTGCTGTTGAATGCCGTCACGGTGCTGTGACAGTCACAGTGTTGTTGAATGCAGTCAAGGTGCTGTTGAATGCCGTCATGGTGCTGTGACAGTCACAGTGTTGTTGAATGCCATCATGGTGCTGTGACAGTCACAGTGTTGTTGAATGCCATCATGGTGCTGTGACAGTCACAGTGTTGTTGAATGCAGTCAAGGTGCTGTTGAATGCCGTCATGGTGCTGTGACAGTCACAGTGTTGTTGAATGCAGTCAAGGTGCTGTTGAATGCCGTCACGGTGCTGTGACAGTCACAGTGTTGTTGAATGCCGTCATGGTGCTGTGACAGTCACAGTGTTGTTGAATGCAGTCAAGGTGCTGTTGAATGCCGTCACGGTGCTGTGACAGTCACAGTGTTGTTGAATGCCGTCATGGTGCTGTGACAGTCACAGTGTTGTTGAATGCAGTCAAGGTGCTGTTGAATGCCGTCATGGTGCTGTGACAGTCACAGTGTTGTTGAATGCCGTCATGGTGCTGTGACAGTCACAGTGTTGTTGAATGCAGTCAAGGTGCTGTTGAAAGCCGTCACGGTGCTGTGACAGTCACAGTGTTGTTGAATGCAGTCAAGGTGCTGTTGAATGCCGTCATGGTGCTGTGACAGTCACAGTGTTGTTGAATGCAGTCAAGGTGCTGTTGAATGCCGTCACGGTGCTGTGACAGTCACAGTGTTGTTGAATGCCGTCATGGTGCTGTGACAGTCACAGTGTTGTTGAATGCAGTCAAGGTGCTGTTGAACGCCGTCACGGTGCTGTGACAGTCACAGTGTTGTTGAATGCAGTCAAGGTGCTGTTGAACGCCGTCACGGTGCTGTGACAGTCACAGTGTTGTTGAATGCAGTCACGGTGTCGTTGAACGCCGTCACGGTGCTGTGACAGTCACAGTGTTGTTGAATGCAGTCAAGGTGCTGTTGAATGCCGTCACGGTGCTGTGACAGTCACAGTGTTGTTGAATGCAGTCAAGGTGCTGTTGAATGCCGTCATGGTGCTGTGACAGTCACAGTGTTGTTGGCGAGTGATATTTCTTGTATTCGCATGGTGGAACTATTATGAAATGAGGGCTACATCTCTTTCCCACCATGGGTTCAGAGATGTCATGTCGTTGGTTTGAAATTGGCTGCAATATGGCTGGGCACAGTGGCTCACGCCTGTTATCCCAGCACTTTGGGAGGCTGAGGCGAGCAGATCACGAGGTCAGGAGATTGAGACCATCCTAGCTAACACAGTGAAACCCCGTGTCTACTAAAAATACAAAAAATTAGCCTGGCGTGGTGGTGGGCGCCTGTAGTCCCAGCTACTCGGGAGGCTGAGGCAGGACAATGGTGTGAACGTGGGAGACGGAACTTGCAGTGAGCCGAGATCGTGCCACTGCACTCCAGCCTGGGAGACAGAGCGAGAGTCCATCTCAAAAAAAAAAAAAAAGAGAAGTTTATAAACTTCAGTTATGTATTCTGGCCAATTAATGGGAGGGAGACAAAGAGAAAAGCTGAAATAGAGGAGAAAAAGGAAGGGAAAGGAGGAAGCAGAGAAAGAATGAGAGATGAGAGTGAGGGAGAACTTTGAAGAAGGCCAGAGAAAGAAAACAATAGGCCGGGTTCAGTGGCTCACACCTGTAATCCCAGCACTTTGAGAGGCTGAGGCGAGCGGATCACCTGAGGTCAGGAGTTCAAGACCAGCCTGGCCAAAATGGCAAAACCGCATCTCTACTAAAAATACAAAAATCAGCTGGGCGTGGTTGTGGGCCCCTGTAATCCCAGCTACTTGGGAGGCTGAAGCAGGAGAATCGCTTGAACCCAGGAGGTGGAGGCTGCAGTGAGCTGAGATTGCACCATTGTACTCCAGCCTGGGCGAAAAGAACGAAACTCCATCTCAAAAAAAAAGGACCAAGCTGCTTCCTTTGGTTGCCTCCATCCTGTTGGTGGGTCCAGCCACCTGAGCGTTGGAACCCCAGCACTGAGGGCAGCATGAAAAGGTGAGGTGCTGACCTTGTCCTTCCCCACCCGAGCCCAGAGCCTGGGAGAAAGGAGTATGTTGCAGCGGGGGTCTTCCTGTTGTGGAGGGTGCCGTGCGGGAAGTGGGGTGACAGTAGCAGTTTCCAGTGTTGGTGTTTGTCAGCATTTCCAAGAAGGGCAGAGGAAGGCCAGGCTGGGCTTACTGATGTCCCTACTTCCTGGTCCCCAGGGGGAGCCCCTGAAATTTATCCCCAGTCACCTGCTCTTCACGATCCTGCTCTTGATGGGAGAGACAGAACACCAGTCTTCCTCTGGAGAGACGTTTCTCCAGACACTCAAGGGCCCATATACATGACAATTACTGCTTAAAAATGTATCTGTTTGCTACATGCCTGCAAGTGGGTGTAAATCATACAGCGGCCATAAAACCAGCCATAACCCACGCATGGCCGGGACCCCAGGAGCTCCTGCTACAGGCTGGGCGGCTTTATCTCAGCGGCTCAGAGGGAGAAGCCCTGCCTTTATGTTGGGAGGAACTAGAAGAGCCTAATTTTATTTATTTTTAATCAACCATTTCAGCATGTTCCCTCTAGTCAAAGGCAGAGCTGGAGTGCGACACAGTCACATCATTTATATTTAGCTTTTATTTACCCAGGGAAGTCTTGGGAGATGTAGTATCTCGTTTGTAGAGACACCCCAGTGGCAACATTCCATTACTCAGAGCCCTAAATGAGCTTTGCACAGACCCTGGGAGGGAGGGCAGGCGGACCTTCCACCGTCAGGAAGACTGAGCCTGCTGGGACCAGCTGCCTCCTGCCTTTGATGGCATTGGTTGGAGCCTTCAGCTTGGGCACTGGAAAAATACAAGGTAGACTCTTCCCTACAGCCTGCAGTTGGGAACCCTGTGTGTGCAGCTGGTCTGCCTTCCTGACAGGGTGGTCTTTGCTGCTCAGCCTCTCCTGGCCTCACCTGGCAGCCTGGTCCAGTCCACTACTCCTGTTTGCAGATGCCAAGAGGCTGGCTGCCCCTCCTTGGGTCAACTGCAGGACCTCTGTCCCCTACCACGTGGTTAACGCCTCCCACCCTGAGTGGGACTCCAGGATACCACTCTATCCTCACTCATCTTATTTTCTGGGGGAGGCGCAGGTTGATGGTTTCTGAGTCAGAGGCAGCAAGGCAGGGTGGGTGGTTTTTTTGTGATTCCTGCAAACTATAAACAGCCAGAAGCTTCTCCAGCCAATGTCCCTTGTCTCTCGCCTCTGTGGGCTCGGGAACACCCGAGCATGGTGGAATGGGGAGGGAGGAGGTGGGAGGGTTGAAATTCACTGGGGTCACGCGGAAATGAAGGGAGAAGTGGTTCATTTGAGCTCAAACGTCCTTCCCGTCCCTCTGTTTGGTAAAGTGAGGCCTGAGTGCCGGGCAAATGACCAGATCCAATATTCATTAGCGCTCCTGAGAGATGGATGGAGGCACCTCATTATGGGGTGCTTCACCTCCAACCCCCTCACCCACAGTGGATATTTACATAATAACCTGACCCCCGGGTTACTTTTCATTAACAAACACGTGTGAAAATGCAGAAGCCGCTGGCAATTTTGTATCATAAATACATATTGTTAACCCAGTGTAGACGGCTTACTTGCAGTTACTCAAAAAAGAGGGGGTCCCCTGTTCTTCATAGCCATTAGGTACCAGATGGAGGGGCCCCAGCAGAGTATGGTAGAGAGCTCTAGACTGTGCATTCAAGGTGGGTGGGGGGTGACATACCTCTTCATTTGAGTGCAGAGTTCAACATTCAATTAATGTCCTTGCAAGGGTTCTGGGTGTCCCTGCCTCACTCCCTTTGGAGGCCCTGAGGTCTGGGGAGCTAGGGACGGGGCATTTCAGGTTAACTTGTTAAGTGCTTGTGGCAGGGTCACCCTCCCTTCCCTGGCTGTGGGACGTGGAGAGAGAACCAGGGATGTGCACATTCAGTTCTGGGATGAATGCACCATGTTCCCTGAGTCACACGCTGAAGGGCCGTGGGGTCCCAGGCTGCCTTCTTGCTTTGGGTTGCCCTCTTCTTCTCTCTGGGGTTCTAGCCCATTTGTGCAGGGAGGGGGTTCTGGAGATGGGGGTCTCTGAGTGGTGTGGGGCGGTGCATGCTCTCTCTGACTGTCCTTCGTGCCAGGGACATTGTGTGTTCCTGGGGGGACACTGTGGTGTTCCCAGGAAGCAGGAAGGGTTCACCTCGGTGAAGCAGCCTGTGGCTCTGGTG
This sequence comes from Homo sapiens, assembly GCF_000001405.40. Classification (NCBI taxonomy): domain Eukaryota; kingdom Metazoa; phylum Chordata; class Mammalia; order Primates; family Hominidae; genus Homo; species Homo sapiens. The sequence goes on along the minus strand of NC_000017.11, from coordinate 77,755,908 downwards.
GGGACAGGGGAGGGCTGAGCTAAGGAAGGGCTGGTGCCAAGGCCGGGGCATGCTGGGCTTCCCTCTGCCTTTCCAACCTCATAGCTCCTCTCCTGGAAAAGTGGAAATTCACCCGTGGGTCCCTGGGCAGCCTGCTACAGGCTCAGGGCTACAGTGTGGATGCCAGGCGACCCATAGGTTCTGCTGGAAAGACCCTCTCTGGCTCACAAGGTGCTCCCTGGTAGGCTGTACCTGAGAGCTGTCCTAGGCCATGGACAGCCAGAACCCCGATGTGTCATCCCCGACTCATTTCCTGGCTGTTGCTTTGAGTCCAGTGGCTCATCTCTGGAGTGACCCCGCTGACCACACTCACAGATTGACATCAAAGACCAGAGGTCAGTTCTCCATTTGCCATATGGAGAACAACTTGGCAGACCCGCTGCCTATGTGAGCTGATCTGGATTCTTTCCCTGTAGGCCAGCTCCACGGACCATTGGCTAGCATGGCTAACACAAACTAAGTGCCACTCATATGCCATGTGTATTAGTTACCTATTGCTGTGTAACAAATTACCCCAAAACTTAGTGGCTTAAAATAAGAAATGTTGGTTATCTCACAAAGTTTCTGAGGTCTTGGGAATCTGAGCATGGCTTTACTGGGTGGTTGTGGCTCAAAGTCTTTCATGAGGTTGCAGTGCAGCTGTCAGCCAGGGCCACTGCCTCTACAGGTTGAACAGGGGCAGAAGAATCCACATCTACAGTGGCTCCCTCACTTTGCCGTCGGTTGGGGGCCTTTGTTCATCGCCATGTGGCCCTCCCCATAGGGCTGCTTGAGTGTCCTCACAACATGGCAGCCGACTTTCCCTGAGCATGTGAAGAAGAACAAAAGGAAGAAGCCACCCAGCCTTTTATGACCTGGTTTTGCAAGTGGCGTTGTTATGTCTGCAATATTTCATTCATTAGAAGGGAGTCACTAAGTTCAGCCCACCTTCAAGAAGAGAAAAATTAAATTCCACCTCTTAAAGGGAGGAGAATCAAAGAATGTAAGAACATATTTAAAGACTACCACAGTAGGCGTAAGGTTAGGTGCTTAACATGTGTTGCCTCATTTAATCCTCAGGACAACTCCCATCTTACAGACGAGGAAACCAAAGCTCAGAATGGTTACAGGAGGTGTCCTTGTTCACACGGCTGCTTAATTGCAGTCAAGATTTGGAGTCAGATCATGTAGACCAGTGCTACTCAGCAGAACTTTCTACAGTGGCAGAATGGTTCTGGGTATGCTGTCCAGCGTGGTAGCCCCTGGCCACATGTGACCACTGAGCACTTGAAGTGTAGCTAGTCAATGTCGTCCCAGTCAAAGACCACCAGGAATGCACTTGCGGTTGAACAAGCTGAGTTATTATTGGCTGCAGTGAGGGAGAACACGTCCATGTGGAACTACAGGGTGTCACAGGGAGGGGGTGTCAGAGAGGACTTATTCTAGGATGTGGTCTATGGCTGACTTAGGGGAGGGTCTGAGGAGTCAGGAGCTCACTCCAGATTCAATGCCTTCAAAGGGCAAGGGCAAAATCACGTGCATCCTCGCTCTGTCTCATTTCATTGTGGTTTCAGAGCGGCCTTGTCTGAGTAGGGAGTGAACGGGAGAACAGGACTCCCGAGTGAGGCCCAGGCCAGCTTCCAGAGGCCAGGGCTGCCCTTATTTCTCCTTCTCACTAGTGAGACTGAGGCGCTGGGTTTTTAATTGATGAATTTGGATTCGAGTTATAAAGTAACTCAAATGGCTGGCGGCTACTTTATAAGACAGCTCGAGTGTGGATCTCACACACACGCCCCTAGCCACTGCACCATGCTGCCTCTCCATGAGCCAGGGTCTGCAGGCACCAGGCCAGAGCTAATGGCTTCAGGGCTGGGGGTGGGAGGCAGGACCTGGAGAGAGGTGGGGTGAACTGGGCACCGCAGTCTGCCTTCGTGGGAAGCTTGGGGCCAGTGAGCATCAGAGCCTTCAGCTGGAGAGAAGCTAAAGATCCGGGGGATCTAAACACGGTGGGTTTGCGTGTCTCAGAGAGAGCCCCTACTGAAGCGCCCCAGGCTTCTGTGATGTGCTATCAAGGACTTGCTTTATTGTTAGGATGCTGCTAGTGGAGGGAGGCATCTCCTCACCTGCTTACACATCCGAATCACCTGGGTCACTGAACAAAAGGGTTCTCTAGCCCCTCCCCCACACACCTCCTCAATGGGGTGTACGAGAGAGAGGGATTCTGGAGCCCGTGGGATCTCCTATGGCTCTTTCCATCTGCACCATAGTATTGAGTGTCAGGAAAGACCACCTATGACCCAAAATTAAGAGCTTCCCAGGCAAGCCATGGTGGCTCATGCCTCTAATTCCAGCACTTTGGGAGGGTGGGACAGGAAGATCACTTGAGCCCAGGAGTTCGAGACCAGCCAGGGCAACATAGTGAGCTCTTGTCTCTACAAAAAATAAACAAAATTAGCTAGGTATTACAGGCATGGGAATTACACGCGTGGGAATTACACGCCTGTCATCCCAGCTACTCGAGAGGCTGAGGCGGGAGGATCGACTGAGTCCAGGAGACAGAGACAGCAGTGAGCTGTGATTGCACCACTGCACTCCAGCCTGGGTGACAGAATGAGATAATGTCTCTCGCACACACACACAAAGCTTCCCAAACAGTGTCGAATGCCAGAATGCAGAGTGTCAATATCTTTTTGGAGAAGATGAAGACAGGAACCCGTCTTGAACATGGACTGCATATAATTAGTGCACAAATGCTTTTATACCCCACTCCCTTAAGCCTCATAGTCACTACAGTGAGTATCAGAATCTCCACTGCACAAATGAGAAAACGGTTCCTGCGGTTACACTCCTTACCCGTGGCCCCACAGCACGTCTCAGAGGAGCGATTCAAACTCAGGTCTTTCTGGCCCTCAAGCCCATGGTTGCTACGCCGAGTCAAGAAAGCAGAACATTCTCGCTGCTGGGGAGTCCCAAGCTGCTCATCCTCTGCCTTCCCCAGGCTTCTTCCCAGCCGAGACTGTTTAAGCCCAAGATGGCATAAAATCATCGAACATGGAACTGCATAGTGTCCATACTGGCCATCTCCCGGCCCAGGACATTCGTAAAAACCAAAATCCTTGAGGAAATCGGCAGATGGCAGTTTGGTCACCTTCGTGCTTCTGTCTGCTTGGTTATGCAGCAGAGTCGCTGTCTGTGTGACACAGGAAGATATTTTTTAATGGTGACAACATTATGAATTTCATTGAGAAGTTTTCTTCACAGCATGTTTGTGAATTGAGGCGTCACTATGATTCTGTGGCATACCGTGATCAAGTTGCTTAATGTTAACAGGCAGCTGCTGGCTGGGCGTGGTGGCTCATGTCTGTAATCCCAGCACTTTGGGAGGCCAAGGCGGGCAGATCACCTGATGTCAGGAGTTCAAGACCAGCCTGACCAACATGATGAAACCCCGTCTCTACTAAAAATACAAAAAAATTTAGCTGGGCATGGTGGCAGGTGCCTGGAATCCCAGCTACTCTAGAGGCTGAGGTGGGAGCTGGGTTCACTGAACCCGGGAGGCAGAGGTTGCAGTGAACCGAGATCACACCACTGCACTCCAGCCTGGGCGACAGAGCAAGACTCCGTCTCAGGAAAAAAAAAAAAAAGGCAGCTGCTTCCAGGGTTCTGGGGACAGTAACAGGAAGTACCCACTACATGAATGAGTGAATGCACAAATGAAAGAATGAAGGCATGTGATTGGAAGCCAAGGAGTGGCCACCCAAAGCGACTGTGGGAATGGAACCACTTTGTTACCATGTCCAGAGCACATCAGAAGCTCTGCAAAGCTTACAGTCTGGGCTGGGCATCGTGGCTCACGTCTTTAATCCCAGCACTTTGGGAGGCCAAGGCGGGTGGATCACCTGAGGTCAGGAGTTCGAGACCAGCCTGGCCAACATGGTGAAACCCCATCTCTACTAAAAATACAAAAATTAGATGGGCATGGTGGCGTGTGCCTGTAATTTTAGCTACTCGGGAGGCTGAGGCAGGAAAATCGCTTGAACCCAGGAGGCAGAGGTTGCAGTGAGCCAAGATTGCACCATTGCACTCCAGCCTGGGGACAAGAGCAAAACTCCATCTCAAAAAAAAAAAAAAAAAAAAAGATTGCAGTCTGACAGAGAGCCACATACAAATAGGAACAAATGTGAGGACCTTAAGAACAGTGCTTTGAAAGCCATCTTTTGATATCAAGTTCAAAAGCAAGGTACAATATTGTACATTGTTTTCAAAATTTGACTGCACATAATATTCATTTAGGGGACTTTAAAGGTCATTTAAAAAGATAGTTTTTCAGTCTGTATCTCAGACTTAAAGAGTCAGAATCTCAGCATAGGGTGGGAGGGGGATAGGAAGAGGGGAAATAATATTTATATTTTCGAAGGCCTCTAAGTGACTCTTATGTGACTCCAGATGTGCAGGCTACTGCTCTGCACTGGATAGTTCTATGTTTTTAAAAACTGCAGCATAGAAAAAAGACTGGAAGGAAATGCATAGGAAATGTTCAACAGGTATCTCTGAGTTGTCAGTGTATGGAAACTTTTTTTCTTATTACTTTTTATGCTTTAAAAATTTTCTACAATCAACAGTTCTCATTGTTAGAATTTGTTAAACATAACTAATAAAAAAGAGAAAGTCATTGTAATTGAAAGAGACAGTGGGGAGGTACACCAGAATGTACCTGACTTTGGTCTTCTGGGCACATAATTCCTTTCCAGGGCATCCCTGTGGGAGACATCACTGGTTCAATTTCTGTGTTCCCTGGTATCTGCAGAGTGACCTTCTGAGTGCATCTGCTGAGTTAGAAACCTTGCCCCTCTCGTTCCCATTGCTCTGAAACCTGGGCTTAGTGTCGCCTGAAGGGAGAAGGAGGTCCCAGGTTGCTCCAGCCTAAGGCAGATGGGCTTGTTACTTCCTCTGCAGGAGTCTTTGCTGAGGGTGGCATTGCAGGGATAGCTGGCCCAGCTGGTGAAGGCTGCCTGACCTCTTCCTACTCTTATCCTGTCACTACCTGTGTATCCAGTCCCCAAGGTATCCAGTGCCTGACAGGTATTTACTGACAACCTGCGATGTGCCTGGTGCAGAGCTAAGCCCTGTCCTAATAATGACTGATCACCATGTGCCCAGCACCTATCATGGCTGGCCCCAGAGCCCGACACTTCTTATCTGCATCTCATCCTCATCATGAGTCACTGGAATCATTCTTCCCATTTTACAGATGAGCAAACTGAGGCTCAGAATGGTTAAGTGATTTGCCTTGAGCCAAATTTTATTCTTCCCTGGCCTGCAAGGATGCTCAAGTGAGGGGAATGCAGGTGAGACGCCCCCCTGAGGGAAGGAAGGGGCTGTGGCTGAGAAGGTGCAACATTGTTTGGCTCTATGGGCTGGTTTGGGCTCCAGAAGCTGCATTTCCAGTGGAAGTCTAATGATGCTTCTCCGCCATGGGCTGAAATTTACAGGAATGAACAGGAGCTGGCCGTGCCTGCCACCATCTATGCCCACGTAAGTGCCCCCCTTGCCATCGGGGGATGCATTATTTCACATTAATCCCCCTGAAGCCTTTTGAGCCATTCACTCAGTATTTCCAAACCAATTACTGGCTCAGAGTTTGCAAAGAGAGTCGACACTTGGGTTTTCCGGCAGGGACTCCCTTCAGGCCCAGCACCAATCTGAGGATGTTGTAATTTAGCAGAGAGAGAAAGCATATAATTTTTTAGCTCAGGGGAGGCTGGAGGCAAGCACAAATATCCCTTGAGTGGAGTCAGATCCTCTGGTTTAAAGAGGCAACACGTTCCCCGCCATAATTAGACTTTAGAGCCCCTTTTAATTTGAAAGGGGGTTAGGCAAAGATGGTTGGGGACTTCATTGCTTTGCCGGAGCTGTTTCCTTCTGGGAGCCAGGCTAAAGCCTCTGTTTAATTGGAATGAACTAGGGAGAGTCCCTAGATGGGCCAGCACTAGGTTGTGTCCAGGAAGTGGCAACTGATGTACTGCTCTGGGACAATCCCCTGGGTCAGGGTAGCCAGAGGAGACAAAAAGCCAGACATCAGACATCACCTTTTCCTTTTTGGGCCAGGGGTTCTAGTTGTCTGGTCCAGTTTCTGGGTGTGCCCTGCTCTCTGCCGGAGCCTTCCTGGGCTGCTCAGGATGGGCAAGACCAAGCTGGAGTGAAATTCCTAACCCTGGCCCCACCCACACCCTAGGTGAGACCTGCAGCGAAGCAGAGGGGCCCATCACCTGCAGGGCCAGCAGAGGCAGCTCCTGAGGGGCAGATGGGGCTGGAGCTCCTTCTCCTGGGGCGGCCCAGACCAGGGCCAGGCTCTCATCGGCCAGGCCGCTCCTTACCACACTGGTGCTCTCCCTGGCCCCTGGGGTCATTGTCCTTGAGGAAAAGCCCCAGATGGCCTGGAACCCTCCCCTGGGATTCATGCTAATGTCTTCTTGGAGCGAATTTTAAAAGCAGAAGGAGGCCAAGGTCAGGTTAGAGGAAACCTGGTGACTGCTCCTTCAAACAGGTGGCAGCCCTTTCCTGGGGAGCAGGCCCCCATGACAGAGCCGCGGCTGGAACCACAAGGCTTTGGGGAGACTTCGGGAAGGAGATTGGGGGCTCAGTTCTGGAGCTAGCTGAGGCAGGGGTGTTGAGGCATCTACCTCTGGGATCATGAACAGAAGCTGGCTGTGCCCAGCCTCGCAGCTCGGGGAACAGCATTTCCTTCTTTCTTTTCTTTTCTTTTTTTCTTTTTTTTTTTTTGAGATGGAAAAAAACCACTCTGTGCCCCAGGTTGGAGTGCAGTGGCGTGATCTCAGCTCATAGCAATCTCTGCCTCCTGGGCTCAAGTGATTCTGCTGCCTCAGTCTCCTGAGTAGCTGGGACTACAGGCGTGTGCCTCCAAGCCCAGCTAGTTTTTGCATTTTTAGTAGAGACAGGGTTTCGCCATGTCTCGAACTCCTGACCTTAAATGATTCACCTGCCTCGGCTTCCCAAAGTGTTGGGATTACAGGCGTGAGCCACCATGTGTGGTTGGGAGCAGCATTTCTGCCGCCACACCCTCCCCTCCCCACATGCCTGCACGCACTGCCATTGAGCCAGAGTAAGCAGGATCCCCACTACTCACTCCCCCAAACCCCAGGCACAGAGACCACCCTCAGAATGGAGATGGAACCAAAGCCTGGGGTGGGGAGGAGACGGGCGTCCCCCTGTGGGTCTCTCCCCTGTGCTCCTTCTCACCCCACAGGGGCCTCTGCATGGAGTGGGGGGCTTTGACTGAGCCTGGCTCAGGAGCCCCCATTCACATCAGCTGGGATAAATGGAGAAGCCCACGCAAGGCCCCAGCTCTGTTATGTGGAAAGGCGGGTGCGCCCACTGGCTTTTTCTGGTTCTGACTCACCCTCCTTAGTCCTTGCTTGGTTGGTTCTGTAGGGTCCATGTTCCCTTTGCCCTCTGAACTTTTGCTGCAAACTTACAAAAGGCAGATTCATTGAAGAAAAGTCATGCAAAATTTATTGAAGTGTACACAGCAGCCTTCAGAATGAAGACCAAAAGATACAGGGGAAATTGTCCATTTTATGTTCATCGAAGTATAACCAGCCGTGTAGAAACAGGGTGAACACACATGGTTTGAGCTGATGCTGACGGACTGAGTGGGGAAGCTCAGTAAGGCCTATCCGCTTAGATTCTTCTTGGCCTCTCTGTGCAGTGTTCCTTCCTTCTGGGTGAGGAGCTGGACCCTCTCTGGCATGGGGGTCTTATGGCCTCCAGTCAAACAAGGTAGGACAGATCATTTATTTATGGCCAGTTCTTACACAGAAAGGTGGAGGGAAGGTTAAAGTCATGTATTTTAGGTTTTATGGCTGGCTTTGGGGAAAAGAGGTTCTGGTTTCAGTGACCCCCTTGGAGAAGAGGGGTTGCAGTTTCTATGGCTAGCCTCAGGGGAGAATGAGGTTGAGAGATAGTGGACAGGAGAGGGTCAGATAAAAGCTTTTGCTTCTGAGGCCTTCAATTAAGGTATTGCTTTCTGAGTCCCAGCAGTTCCCTGCAGACGTGCCTGGCAGACGGGTTAGTCCTGGGGAGGGAAAGAAGCAACACACAGAAGGGAGGTGGCGTGCCGGTAAATGCTGAACAAGTCGCTCTCCAGAAAAATAAAAGCCCTGATGGTCACACTTGCCAATTTCCATGGTGTAGATACCCCCACTATGGCCAACTGCAAGCTGCCAAAGTGATGTTGATAAACACAGCGTTGGAAAGAATGGCCTCTTCTCAATTGGTGCAAGCTGGCTCCAACATGCTGCTGGGTAGAGGGGGGATACACAGCCCTGCAACCCTTGCCCCAGAAGACCCCACATCCTTCCCAGGCACCCCTGCCTTGTGCCTCAGGGGCCTTTGTTCTACTTCCTGGTGGCTTTTGGGGGAAAACTGATGGATCTGCCAGTCAGGGAGGTCTGGAGAGAGAGATGGGGCCCAGGATGGGGACAGAGCCAGCACAGCTTAGGTTGTCCTGAAGCATCCCCCACACCAAAGCCCTATACAAAGAAAGGGTGAGGTTTCTAGCAATTTTCCTAAAATGAAAGCGGAGCTGGGAATTGTCCTACCTAAGGATCAATAAGGCCTAATGAGGAAGCAGATTTCAAAGCAGGAGTGGATTCGCAGCTAATCCTCTCAGCGCCCACATGCCAGAGAGCCACTCTCACGGAGGATCTGATTTCTTTGCTCATTCCTGAATCCCCCGGCTTTAGGGAACCTCAAAGCACAGAAGGCAAAGGACAATGAAAATAAATCCTGTCTCTTTCAATAAAACACAAAGGCCTTGCCTCTTCTGGCAGGAGACGGTCTTACACTTCCCAGACAGCCGATGCCTGAATGAGGCATGGGGAGGCGGAGGGGGCTCTGGGCTGGGGCAGGCCCAGGGGGCTGAGAGGGAGGGGAGCTGAGCTTTACATCCCAGGTGCCACAGCAGGAACAAGGACCCTTGATAAACACCCTCACCATGCTTGGCGATCCGACCTGGAAAATGCCATCATGTATTTTTAATCTGCCTTCTCCTCACTGAATAATGAAAGATGAAAATCATAAGGTTTGACTGGCATTTATAAGGGGGCTCTGGAGGAGGCTCAAGCAGGAGAAAATGAGCTCCAGGGCTCATCACAGCTCAACTCCTGGCTGCTGACTCCCGCCCCCTCCCAGGGAGGCTCCTTCTGTCTCCGCAGGCAGGACCTACCCTTCCCGGCAAAGCACAGCAGCTCTTGCTCCACAGTGCTCGGGGAAAGGGTGCAGTTCTCTCAGAGAGACCCAAAGCTTCCAGGGTTCTGACCTGACCAGTTGGAGTCAGGAGGCAGAGTCAAGGGAACAGGATAGAGGGCCTGGGATGGACGCTAGGACTTGGCCAGTTACCATGGTGTAAATACTCCCGCCAAAGCTGATCTCACACCACTGGTGTGATGTCACTGAGCCCGTGGAGTCGGAAAGAGATGAGCAGAATTGACTCTCTCAAGGTCTCATCTTGGGGGCAGGAGACTGGAGTGACCAGTGAGTTCTCCAAGGTGGGAGGGCAAAAGCAGAGAAAGAGGGTAAGGGGCTTTGTGGGCAAGGGACAGTGAGCTACCAGGGATCCAGAAGAGGAACAGAATCTTTAGGAGGGGTAGCAGGGAGGGCTGGGTAGTAACTGCGAGACCTTGGGCAAGTCTTCTAATCCTTGGGAGCTACCAGTTCTTGGTCTTAACATTGGAGATAAGAGCCGATACCCATTTATTTCACAAAGCTATTATGAGGTTAGGATGAGGTCATGTGGATATGATCATTTTGCAAAACTGTGGTGTTTCACTCCAAGGGTGTTATTATAATCAGGTTCAAAGTTAAGAAGAATGCCCAGTTTCTCTAACCACACTGTCACATACAGAAAAAATGATTTATATACACACTATGCAATAAAACAATAAAGTGAACAAGAGTCAACATAATAAGGAGCATTTCTGTGTAAAGCATATGATATGGTTTGGCTGTGTCCTCACCCAAATCTCATCTTGAATTGTAGCTCCCATAATCCCCATGAGTCCTGGGAAGGACCTAGTGGCAGGTAATTGAATCATGAGGGCGGGTTTTTCCCATGCTGTACTCCTGATAGTGAATAAGTCTCATGAGATCTGATAGTTTTGTGCGCACACTCTCCCTGCACACACTCTCTTGCCTGCTACCATGTAAGACGTGACTTTGCCCCTCCTTTGCCTTCTGCCATGATGGTGAGGCCTCTCCAGCCATGTGGAACTGTGAGTCAACTAAACCTCTTTTCTTTATGAATTACCCTGTCTCGGGTATGTATGTCTTTATTAGCAGCATGAGAATGGACTAACACAGCATACAAATGAGAAACAAAGGCTATGTAAGAGCCAGAACTTCATGATTCTTAATAAGAATGGTTGGGCCCTGGGTGATCAGGCCAAGTGTAGGCAGGGCCTTTGGTGATCATGTCCTTCCAATCAGCCAGCCTTGCAAACATCATGTTTATTTAACATGTTCTGTGACTGTGCATTCCTTCATTCATTCAACAAACATTTAAATTGAGTGCTAGCTCTGCTGGGTATGAAAACATTGATTTGTGATTGTGTGTGTCCTAGAAGACTTTGTTGTGTACTTGGGGATCTGATCATGAAACAGATAAAGTGCAAAGCAGACAACAGGCACCATGATAAAGGCATGAGCCAAGAGCTCCAGGAGGAGGAGAGGCACTTCTTGATCAATTATCTTAGTGGTGCCCACCCCTGGGCATGGCACATGGCAACCCCTCAGTAAAAGTTGGCTGATGGGGGAATGGGCCAAAGAGGCTCTGCTGTAGCAGCGACCTCTGAGCTGTGGCCTGGAGTTGGGTCTATCGGCCTCCAGGGGCTTGGTGGCTGGACTCTGGGGGAGGTCAGAGCCTCCCTAGATGCTGTGTTTGGCCCTGTTCTGGCCCATGGTGTTGGTCAAAACCTCACAATGGTCTATGGTCCAGACAAGATGAAGACTGAATGGGAAGGAGGTTGGGTGTTTGCCAGTGAGAGAGGTTGGCTGAGGACACACAGGGCAGAGAGTAAAGCGCAGTCCAGTGTGCCGGGGTGTGGCGTGGATGGTGTGGGGACAGGCAGGAGCCAGGAGAGCAGTGAGTGGTGAGGCCAGGACCATAGTGGGCAGGGAAGGCCTGAGCATCTCCATGGGCACATTGGACCCAGGCCTGAGAGGAGCAGAGGCCGCTTAGAAGAGGGTAGCAAGGGAGGAAAGCATTGCTGGTAATGAGAACCAGGAAGACGTGAAACGAGGGATGAGGCCTGCAGAGATGGGAAGACAGCCTCACCGGCTCCCTCGGGTGCCTGTTGCGTCAGAATGCTTTCCTACAGCCAAGCCCCGTCCAGGTTCAGGCCCAGGTCAGCCTCTAGAGCTCTGAGTCTGCTCCAGAGAAACAAAGTCCCAGAGTTTCAAAGTGAAGTGAGATCTTTTTGCCTGGGTCCCCCGGGAGGCAGTTTCGCTTGTCCCTGGAGCTTAACAAACGAGGAACCAGACCCATCGCCTCCCCGCTGGCTGAGAGAGGGAGGCCCCAGGGACCCCATGAGGGCCCTTCCAGTTTCCTCCTGACGGTTGCCCTGTGAATCCCGACCTCCAGGGCTGTCTTTTTAAATCATCCCCACCCTCTACCCTCATGAACTTCGCAGATGTCCTGAAGGTCATTTGCAGTCCACAACTACCACCCAGGGAACAGCCCGAGACTGGCTCACCTGGGGATCGGAGCCCTTCGAGGCAGAAGTGGATGTAGCTCTTGAGAATCAAGTTTTTAGTAGGTTTTGTGTTCAGTCTCTGTTAAGTGTCAGGTAGAAGGAAGGGGGCAGAAGTCTCTAAGAGAATAGGACACACACACGGATGCTTTTAATCAGCACCCGTGGGAAAGGGGATACTCCAGGCTGGAGAATTTTCCACCAGCTGCAAGTTTACCAATGTCTTTTTAAAATGCATGGCTTGCCTTCTGCCATCTTAGATGATAAACCACACTTAACCTTCCCTTGATGTTTCAGGAATGATGTCTCTGGCCACTCATCACCATGCTGTGTCCTACTGCAGCTGAGCCCATGGCAGCTATAGCTTGGAGACCCATCTGCCCTTCTGCAAAATGGCCCCAGTGTTTGGTTTCTCGAGTGTCTTTCATATTTTTTCTGCTCCCTGCTTCCTCTTGTCTGTCCCCAGTTCTTCTTCTTTTTTGGACAGGGTCTCACTCTGTCACCTAGGCTGGAGCGCAGTAGTGCGATCATAGCCCACTACAGCCTTAAATTCCTGAGCTCAAGTGGTCCTCCCACCTCAGTGTCTTAAGTAGCCGCGACTACAGGCACACGCCACCATGCTTGGCTAACTTATTTATTTTTGTAGAGATGCGGTCTTACTTTGTTGCCCAGGCTGGTTTTGACCTCCTAGGCTCAAGCAATCCTCCTGCCTCGGCCTCCCAAAATGCCTGAATTACAGGTGTGTGCCACCACACCTGGCCTGCTCTCAAGTCTTCCTGCTACTGATATGTCTGCAACACTCTGTCTTTTCTACCTGCTGCCTCTCCCCCTGTAATTTGCTGTTTATAATGCACTGTGGGTTGTAAAACCAAATTATTTGTACTCAAACTGTTTAAGTAAGTAGATAAAATGAGTAGACTGTGGGTGAGACCCAAGTTTCTGGCTGATAAGGATATGACTATATGATACCAATTTTGGCTAATCAGGGACCTTTTTCTTTTCTTCCTGTTTCTTGGCAGTGTGCTGCTGGAGACGTGAACGTGATAGTCAGTGAGGAAATTTAAAAGAATCATGTTCGATGAGTCCATAGAAAAAATAAGAGCTGACAAGTCATGCCTTCAATGCACTAAGCATTTATTATTAAATAACTGGTGTGTGCCTAGAACTCTAGCTGGTATGGAGGGGATTTTCAAAGGAGCACTACGGGGTCCCTTCTGTGTGGTAAAGGATTAACCTCCCCCAAAGAAAGGTTTGGCTCTTTGTTTCTGGCTCTTGAGAGGGAAAAGCTAAGCCCTTGGAATGTCCTTGGTATGAGTGTCTTTGTTTCCCTGGGGTCTTGGGGCAGCCAGTTAGTTTACACTTCAATGTAGGGGCCTTGGGCCACATGGTATCGGCACATGGATGGTCAGTCGTGTCTACCTGACCGAGGCCAAGTAAAACTCGGGACACCAAGGTTTGGGTGAACTTCCCTGTTGGCAGTACCCCGTGTGTGTTGTCACGCATCCTTGCTGGAGAAGCAAGTACCGTCCACACAATTCCATTGGGAGAGGACAATCGAAGCCCATGCCTGTCTCTCCAGGACAACTCTGCCCCATGTATCTCTCCCACTGGCTGATTTTAATCCATATTCTCTCACTGTCATAAACTGTACCGATGGCAGTAGAATGCCTGTTTCGAGTCCTGTGAGTCCTTCTAGCAAATTTTTGAACCTGAGGATGGTCTTAGGGACCTCCTGAACTCACACCACCCCTGTGAAAGATGCAACCCAGGGCAGGGCTATTCCCCTCTGCAGACCTTGGGTCCCTTCCTCATTGGTGATGTGAGGGGTTGCTTCAGGAGATGCCTCAGGTTCTTCCAGCACAAATGCTATGTGGTTCTGACAGAACCTGCATCGGTTAGAGCAGGGTTCCCCAACCCCGGGCCATGGACCTGCGCTGCTTCGTGCCCTGTTAGGAGCCACCTGAGCATTAGATTCTCACAGGAGCATGAATCCCATTGTGAACTGTGCATGTGTGGGATCCAGGCTGTGTCATCCTCATGAGAATCTAAATGCCTGATGATCTGAGGTGGAACAGTTTCATCCCAAAACTATCCTGCACTCCTCCACCCTGTCCTGTCTGTGGAAAAACTGTCTTCCAAAAAACCAGTCCCCGATGCCAAAAAGGTTGGGGACTGCTGCTTTAGAGGGAGCCAGGCTAGTTACCAGTAGAAACCACCACTGTCCCATCTCTACAACCGCCATCAGGGATGGAGGGAGACTGGGAGACTCCGTTCCTCTGATAGTAAGCCTCCCCTCCCAGAGCGAGGGGTGGGCCCAGGGCAGGGTCTCAGGGCTGGAGATGTGGGCCCTGCACAAGGCGTGAGCCTGGATGAGAAGCCAAGAACATCAGGCCCTCAGAAGCCAGGTGAGAAAGAACAAGGTCTGTGGTGGACAGCCGGCTGCAAAGAGAAGGCAGACGTGGCTGACAGGCAGAGGAGGGAGGCTTGGAAAGACCTGGAGAGATGGCATTTCACAGGTGAAAGCCAGCTTCCTGTTATCTAAATAGCACACAGTCACGGACTTAAGAGGATCAGGAAGCAATGGAAGTCATTGAATACACTCACCAGAGCCCAATTCGGTCTTGGACAATTTGCACAGCCTTTCAAAGTTAGGCTGGGCTCGATGAATATTGAATAGTCCTGCCCAAATCCTGCTTACTCGGCCCCTGGCTATCTTGAGTCTTGAGACCAGACACTTTCACTCTTGAGGATGGAGCTGCCTCCGTGGCATTTGATTTTCAAGGTACTTTGCCTGCAGTTTGGGTGAGTGCTCACCTGGGGGCGCTGTGCTTTGGTGTCCCCTGCTGTTTGAGCATCGTCAGTTTCAGAGGCGGGGAGCCCACTGCCGTTCAATTATGATTTCCCATGGAAATGAATCTTTCTTGAACTAGAGCTCTTTATTAATGAGGAAGCCTGGAGTACCATAGAATATTACATTTTCAAGATTGGAAGCATATTTTAGGTACAATTTGGTACATGAAATCAAATTTTAGAGACTGAGGCTGCATGGGAAGTGATCTTGCCTGGTCTCTTCGTTTAACAGATGAAGAAAAGAGGCCCAGAGAGGTGACGTGGCTCTTTCAAGGCCAGTTAGGCTGGGACAGGCTTTAGTGTTATCTTCCATTGGCAGAAGCAGAAGAAGACAGTTATTTAAAAAATCAAATATGAGAGTGCTACCTACCGTCAGCAGAGTTTTTGATGTGTGTAGGGCACTAGAGTTTTTATAATGATTAGTTCATTTAATCCTTATAACAACGTTATGAAGGCATTCTGCTTCTATCCCAACTGGGTGAACTCCATTCAATTCGGACACTAACCACTCCAAGTTAGTGTCACACCGCAGAAGTCAAGGGCTCAGGCCTTCGCAAGACTGCCCTGCCTCAGACACCAGCCGGGGTCCCCAGGACACCTGCACTTCTGACCAGCTGGGTACACATTCAAGGGTTGTCATGATACTCTCAGGTTCAACAATTCACTAGAATGACTAACAGAACGTGGGTGTGTGCTACACCCACGATTACAGCATTATTATAAAGGATACACATAGAACAAGGTCTGGGAGCATCCTGGACTTGCAGCTTTCATGCCTTCTCCTGTGGAATCAGGATGCATCACTTTCCCAGCAAATCCATGTGTTCAACCAGGAGGCCCCACTGAGCTTTGAAACTCACCGCAAAGCTACAGTAATCCAAAGAGTATGGCGCCGGCATAAAGGCAGGCATATAGACCAAAAGAGTAGAATAGAGACCCCAGAAATAAACCCTCGCATATATGGTCCAATGATTCTTGACAAGGGTGCCAAGACCATTCAATGAGGAAAAGAAGGTCTTTTCAACAAACAGTGCTGGGAAAACTGAATATCCACCTACATAAGAATGAATTTGGACCCTGACCTAACACCATATGCCAAAATTAATTCAAAATGGATTACAGACCTACATGTAGGAGCTAAAACCATAAAACTCTTAGAAGAAAACAAGGATACAGCTTCATGACATTGGATTTGGTGACGATTTCTTAGATATAACGTCAAAGGCACAAGCAACAAAGGAAAAAAATAGACAAATTGGACTTCATAAAAATTAAAACCTTTTGTGAGTCAAAAGACACTATCAACAGAGTAAAAAGGCAACCCACAGAATGGGAGAAAATATTTGCAAATCATGTATCTGGTAAGGAATTGATATCCTCAAGAGATTTCAGTGTCCAGAGTTTTGTCGTTGTTGTTGTTCCTTTTTGATATAGAGTCTCGCTCTGTTGCCCAGGTTAGAGTGCAGTGGTGTGATCATGGCTCACTGCAGCCTCGATCTCCTGGACTCAAGTGATCCTCCTGCTTCAGCCTCTTGAGTAGCTGGGACTACAGGCGGGCACCACCATACCTGGTTGATTTAAAATTATTATTTTTTTAATTTTAGTAGAGAGGAGGTCTCACTATGATATCCAGAGTGGTCTTGAACTCCTGGGCTCAAGTGATCCTCCCACCTCATCTTCTCATAGCATTGGGATTACAGGCATGAGCCACTGCACCAGACCCAAAGTTTTCACTGGGATTTCATTACGTAGCCATGACTGATTAAATCATTGTCCTCATGACTGAACTCAATCTTCAGCCCCTCTCCCCTCTCCGGACTTTGGGTGGACCAAAAGTTCCAGCCCTCTTATCACGTGGTTGGTCTTTGGTGGTCAGCCTCCATCCTGAAGTCCTCTTGGCATGTGCCAGGAGTCACACCATCAACACAATCAAGACACTCCTATCATTCAGGAAATTCCAACGGTTTTCTGTGCCAGGAACCAGGGACAAAGACATACTCTTTATTATACCACAGAGGTGTTGTCATTGTCCTTTTGCCAAGCTTAGGCTGGGGCTGAGAGAGAGAGAGGAAGTAACTGGCTCCAAATCCTGCAGCTGGCCTCTGACAGACAAGGGCAGCTCTCAGACCTGACAGCCTCAAACTCTCTGGGCTTAACCCCTAAACTGAGCCACTGCCACCATGTGAAGGGTGGGTGGAGGAAGAGCGCTGAGCAAACTTTCCCTGGGACCAGTGCAGACCAAGTGAGGAGAGGGGGAATTCCATTTCAGAAACGGAGGAACTGTATAATGCCATGAGAATTGCTTCTGGCTCGCAGGGAGTGAAAACCAGTGCTTGGGCTTCTGGGAAAGGACACAGAGCCTCTCTCCATGGAGAACTGATGACGTGCACAAGCCATCATCTGTCCTGAGAAGTTAAATCCAGGGCTGGGGAAGCAATTCCCAGTCCCAGCCCTTCCCTGCCTGCCCCACACCAGTGCTGGCTTGGGCAAGCTCCTAAGCCATACCAAGGCTCAGACCAAGAAAAGAATCGATTATCAGCCAACGAGGAAAGCACGCTACCACTCTTCTCTCCATCGAACCACTTAATCAAGGCTAAAAAGTTTGATTTTCTTCTTTATTGTCTACTGATTTTTTTTAACAAAGTTTTACAGCAGGCTGGCTCAAAACATGAAGCTTTGGGAAAGATTTGCTTTTCAATGCTGTGGGTTCTCACTGATAGTTATGTGTCTGGGGCCAGGGATCCTTCTCTAGGGTTCTTTTCACCCTATAATTCTGGAAAGAGAGAGTGAAATCAACTTGGGGTCGGTGTACCCTCAGATCCTGGAATCACACCCCTCAATACCATATTTTACCTGCATCATGTGTGCCTGGGTCCATTCCCCTAGGGAGGTCAAGAGCCCTGTTGTCCAATAGAGAGAGAATGTGAGCCACTGAGGTGATTTTAACTGAGGACATTTTTCTAGCAGACACAATAAAAAGAAACAAGCAAACTTAAATTTGATAATATATTTTATTTAGCCCAATATATCCAACATATTATCATTTCAACATGTAATTAATATACAAATCATGAATGAGATTTTTTCAATCTTTTATTCATTCTGAATCCTCAAAATCCAGTTCGGATTTGACGCGTACAGCACATCTCAGTTGGGAGAAGTGGTATGTCAAGTGCTTATTAAGAGCCACCTGCCGCTCGTGACCTCCACCTTAGACGGCTCATGACTATAGCCTTCGCCATCCTCCTGAAAGGGACCTGTGGCAACCCATAAAAGCTTAGAATTTCTGCTCAAGTGTCTGTCATGCTGTAGAGATTCCAATTTCCATCTGCAAATAACAGAGAGCCACTTCAGCTCTGCGTACGGGCCGCGTCTTTTATTCTCTGTATTGTGATACTTTGACATCAGGGGCTTTGCTGACACTGGAGAGAGTCCCTCCCAGGATTAGATAGTTCCTAGAGACAGCAGACAATGGCCTGGGAGTGTGCTTTTCAAATACAAATCACCCACTCTAGAGCCCACACCTCCCAACCACACTCTGGGCCCCTATCCACCTGCCTGTATCCCCCAGGGCCAGGTACCAGACAACTACAGACAGCTCCTATGTCCCAGAGCCTGCTGAAATTATTCAAACTAGCTAGTCCTAAACCTGTGTACCCTGCCTCGCCTGTTCCTTCCCATGGGAACTGCTTGCCTGCGTTCTGCCCCTTGCTCCCTCTGGGGCTCTCCGGGTGTGGCCCCCACATGGCGTGGCATGGCATGGCATGGCGTGGCATGGCGTGGCATGGCGTGGCGCGGCATGGCGTGGTGCTCCCCTCCTCTTGGGAACTGTGAGTAACAAACTACCTTTTTTTTTTTTTTTTTTGAGATGGGGTCTCACTCTGTTGCCCAGGCTGGAGTGCAGTGGTGCGATCTCAGCTCACTGCAGCCTCCACCTTCCAGGTTCCAGTGATTCTCCTGCCTCAGCCTCCTGAGTAGCTTGGATTACAGGCTCCCGCCACCACACCCAGCTAATTTTTATATTTTTAGTAGAGATAGGGTGGTTCCACCATGCTGGCCAGGCGAGTCTAAAACTCCTGACCTCATGTGATCTGCCCACCTCGGCCTCCCAAAGTGCTGGGATTACAGGCGTGAGCCACCGCTCACGGCCGCAAACTACCTTTTTAATGGCAGTTGTCTCCTGATCTGTTGGCCTCACTATGCCTCAGATTTTCTATTAATATACTGTATTTTTGAACATTCTGTCTTCAGTTTTGGGCTGGGTGGTGGCCAGGGAAATAGACAGGTCACTCTGGTGTGTGTCATAAGCTTAACAAATGGCAGATTTGGCTGTCAGCAGAGCCCCTCCCGGAGCCACCTGTGCAGACCTTTCTCGGAGCCAGATCAGGGGAAGCCAGAGAGCAAATCTTCCCTGGATCCAAGTCAGCCTCGATCCTCAGGGTCTGAGAAAGGCCAGTGATGGTGCTGGCCTCTGAAAAGAACAGCCCGTGATCAGGAAAAAGAGCCCACCTGGGTCAGAGGCCACTAACACCCCGGGTCAAACGGATATTCAGGGAGAGATGCCGTGACAACTTGAGTTCCAGGAGCCTTCCCAGAAGTTGTCTGACCTCGTGGAAAAAATCAATGCACCTCTTGTTTTTGTCTCCTGAAATATGTTATCGGTGATGATTCTTCCCCAGGTGACAACATAGTTTATGACAAAGCACGCGGCAGCCTGCTGGGCCCCTGGTGGCTTCAGACGCAGCCTGACATCCTCGCCCATCGTTATTGATGAGCCTCACCTGCGCGAGGCTGGGAGGCGGATGCTTCAGGAGCAGGCGAGCTCCCTGCCCCGTTAGGGAGCTGGGGCGGGAGTCCAGACGCCATAAATGCTGTTCTGGAGAGGAGCCACTTCTGCAGCCACAGCGGGAAGGCTGGGATCCTAAGAGCCACTTCTGCAACCACAGCGGGAAGGCTGGGATCCTAAAATGTCAAAGCTCATGCCGGGGTGACTGGCCCACCCCTCGCTTTACAGATGAGCAAACGGAGGCCTGGAGACAGTGGGTCCCCTACAGGGTCTGGAGAGAGAGGGTTCGCTATTAGTTAAGGAGAGGGAAAGAACCAAATTCAGGTCCTCTAATTTCCAGTTCAGCACTCTTTCTGTTCTCCCATTGGCTTTGTAAAAATGATTCCTCCCTCCCTTCATTCCTCTGTCCCTCCCTCCTTTTCCTCCTGCCACCTCCCCACTCCTCTCTCTTCCTTTCTCTCCTCCCCTCCATTCCCCTTCTCCTCTTCCCATCCTTCTCCTCCCCTTCTCTTCTCCCCCATCCGACCTCCCCGCCTCCCTCCATCCCTCCCTCCCTTGACCTCCCCTCCCCTCCTCCCTCCCTCCCTTTTTCACAAATATTAGAGAGCCTTCCCTGTGCCAGGCACTCTGTAGTGTTTATTTTTATTCAGCTCCAGTTTGCAGACACCCATCAGGGGCCATTTAAGGGGAGAGCAGTGGGCGGGGAGGGAGGGAGGGAGGCTGCTCGCCCAGGGCAGGCTGGGCCTGGCAGGCTGGAGTGCCCTCCGTGTGAAGAGGTTCCTTGTCTTCCACGCAGCACCTGCCCATTGAACAGGGCCTCCAGCTCCAGCCAGGGACTGGGCCAGAAGCAGGCAGGGCTTCCCGACCACCTGCAGGACTGGAGGGGCCAGGGTCACAGGGTTTTTCTACATCATCCCTGAGGGGGAAGCAAGCGCAGACAGGCTTGCCCTGCACTGGAGGAAGGGAGGCTGGGCTGTTAAATACTGGCATGGCCCTTGCTGGGTAGATCCTCCTCCTCAGAGCAGGATCCTCACTTCTGCAGAGGCTTAGGGGCAGGGGAGGGACTGTGAGACTCCTCCTTCTACCTACGGACTCCTCATCCTGGCTGTGAGCCAAAGAGAGACTCTTCGTCTTTATCTTCTAACCAGCAGGCATGGGGAGGTCCCTTTTCGACCCCCGGGCTTCTGTTGACCAGTCGGTACCTCTGCGGCCTGCAGGAGCTGAGGCAGGGCCCCTTGCAGCCTGGCCCCTGCCTAGCTGGGAGCTACAGGGTGGCCAGTCCCAGGATCGCCGTGGGGGATGGTTAAACATGCAGAGTCCCCAGTTCTGTTCCAGATGGTTGGGTGGCAATAGCCGGGTTTGGGCCTGGAAATCTGCATGTCTGTCAACCCCCTCAGGTGGGCCTGGTCTGTGCTGACGACCAGATGCCTCTGTGGCAAGACCTAGGCTGGAGGGGCAGCGGGAAGTTTAGCAGGGCAGGCAGGGCAGGTAGGAGCCCCCTGGTTATTAGAGAGAAACACAGGCGTCTCCCAAGCTGGAGCTTCTCTCAGCAGGGAGCGCTGGTGCCCATCAGAGACGGGAGGGCAGAGTGGGGAGAGAGGCACCGAGCTGCCCAGGGGCCTCCTTCCCCCACTCCCGCTCAGCCCCGCCCCCTGGGCTGACTGCCAGGTTTCCCGGGATGGAGACATCTTCTAGCCCCCAGCTGAATCCTGGGAGGAGCCAGAACCCAGCCAGCAATTACTCAACTCCCGGCTTAACTCACAGGCAAAGCCCAGGGACTGTCAGTGGCCTGCCAGTGGCCTGCCTGGGACCCGAGGCTCTCTGGTGGGCTGGGGAGGCTCCTAGAGCCCAGCGAGGGGGTGGAGCCAGGCCGTGCGGGTCTGTTCCTGTGCTCTCAGCCCTGCTGGCACATGCCAGGACCCTCTCCCGATCTTGGCAAAGGGAAACAAAGTTGCTGCTGCAGAGTTAATTAAGGAGGGAGGAAGGCAGGCGGGGGAGTTGGCACGCAGAGAAGTCCTATGTGCCAAGTGTCCAACGCAGTGCCACGTGCCAGGGCCTGGGGAGGTGGTGGGAGATGGGGGAATGGTACTCTGCCTAGAACAAAGCCAGCTGTTTGGAGGTCAATTCCTCCTCTCCCCCGCCCGCACTTGCCAGTTCAACAGATGGGGGTGTCTGTCCCCTCCCCCCAACATTCATCAGGCCCCACCGGTAGGAGCACACCGAGGAAGGGGACAGCCTCCAGGGCTGTGCCATCCAGTGCAGAAACCACTAGTCACATGCAGCTATTTAAGCCTAAATGAGATGAAATGAAAGAAAATGTAAAATTCAGTTCCTCGTTTGCCATCTCAAGTGCTCAGCAGCCACCAGTGGCTGGTGGTTGCCACCCTGGATGGTGCGGGTAGGGTGTTGCCATCATTGCAGAATGTTCTGTTGATCAGGGCTGCTCTTGTCTTCAGCAACTGGCCCCGTGCTTCAAAAATGAAACAAAACAAAAAACAAAGACCAAACAACTTTTGCTGCAATGATCACCCTAACGTTCTACTTCCATTGTTTTGGCTGCAGCCTAAATCCACATGCATTATTCTTATTGAGCCCCAGGAAGAGAAACGAACACAAACCCTACATTGAGGGTGTCAATCAGTCAAGGGATATTTACTGAGCCTCTGCCATGCATGTGTCAGGCTCTGGTCAAAGCCCTGGGGTTGCTGTTCTGAGTAAGACCATCCCCCGTGTCACAGAGCATGGAGCTCAGATGTGCACAAGTATGATGTCAAAATCACCTCAAGGTAGTGTATGTGGTGCTGGGTGTGGAGCAGAGCAGAGAAAGCTGGGGAAGCTCAGAGAAAGGCAATTTGACCAACCTGGAGTTCAAAGATGGACTGCTACAAAAATCTGAATTCATCTACCTTTCGTTTGAGTACTAGATTAAAAAAAGAATTGTTTCCAGGGTCTGCTTTGCTGGGTGATACAGTCATTCTTCTTATATGGTTACTGAGAGAATCATTATGAACATTGTTTGGGTTCGTGTCATGGCTTGAGCTACAGAAAGACCAACTTTGAATTTCCAATTTAACATTCCCCTCTCTCCAACTTAACCTCTATCAAGTATTTTCATGGAAAGTCTGCAGATAGAGTCTCACCTACTGACCACAGACCCCCTTCTCTCCCCAGTTAATCATTTGGGAATCTGAAGACAAGGTTTCTCTTCCCTGCTTTCTGGGGAAAAGATGGTGGGAAGGTGGAGGTGGTTATTTAGCTTGCTGTATCTCTGCTGCCAAGGGACTCAGGACTAGATTTGATGTGGCTGTTCCACCAGGGGATTTAGGACTAGATTTGATGTGGCTGTCCCACCAGTATGACACAGATAATTTCTTAAACATTATATCTTGACCTTACCATGTCTCTTGTTGAATTTTGGTTACCAGGGATTGAATGATACAGTGTTTCTCTACTCCCACCCTCGCAGAACAATCTCTGCCTTTTAACTGAGGTGTTTAGGTTATTCACGTTTAATGTGACTATTACTATGGTTGGGTTTAAATCTGCCCATCTTGCTATTTGTTTTATATTTGTCCCATCTGTTCTTTGTTTTCTTTTCCTTTCATTTCTGCCTTGTTTTGACAGATTTGGTATTTTTTATGATTCCATGTAATCTTCTCTGTTGCCTTATTAACTATACCTTATTAAAAAAATCATTGCTTTTAAGTTTACATAACACACCTTTTAATCGAAGTCTACCTTCAAATAATGTTATGCTGCTTTGTGTATGATTTAAGAACCCTAAAGCAATGTCTTTTCAGTTCTCCCTCTCCTAGCATTTGTGCTATTGTCATATATTTTACTTCTATTAATACATACATGCCAAATAAATTCAATATAGTCTTTTCACCAAATAGTTCTGAATCAACTGGATAACCATATTTTTTTAAAGCCTCAATTCCTAACTCACCTTATATACAAAAGCTTGAAATGGATTTTTAAATCTAAATATAAGTGCTAAAGATATACAAATTTTAGAAGAAAACATAGGAAGAAAATCTTAGTAACCTTGGCTTAGGCAAAGATGGGACACATAAAGCACAAACTACAAAAGGAAAAAATTGATCAGTCATATTTTAACAAAACTGAAAATTTTGCCCCTCACTGTGAAAAGACAAACACAGACTGGAGGGAAACATTTGAAAAACATATCTCTGATAAATGATTTGTGCTCAGAATGTACAAAGAACTCTTATAACTCAACGATAAAGCGGTTAACACCCTACCCCATGAATGGGGGAAAGATTTAAGCAGATTCTTGACCACAGAAGATATATGAATGGCAAGCACATGAAATGATGCTCAACATCCCTAGTTATTGGGGAAATGCACATTAAAGCCACAGTGAAGCAAGAACATTAAAACACATATACAAAATTCATATGTGCATTAAAGCAACTGAAGTTCAAAAGACTGGTAATACCAAGTTTTTTTTGTTTTTGTTTTTTGAGACCGTTTCCCTCTGTTGCCTGGGCTGGAGTGCAATGGTGCGATCCTGGCTCACTGCAACCTCCGCCTCCCAGCCTCAAGCAATTTTCATGCCTCAGCCTTCTGAGTAGCAGGGATTACAGGCATGGACAATCATACCTGGCTAATTTTTCATATTTTTAGTAGAGATGGGGTTTCACCATGTTGGCTAAGCTGGTCTCAAACTCCTGACCTCAAGTAATCGGTCCACCTCGGCCTCCCAAAGTGCTGGGATTACAGACATGAGCCACTGTGCTAGGCCTGGGAATACCAAGTTTTGGTGTTAATGTGGAGCAACTGGAACTCTCATGTACTTCTGGGGAGAATGCAAAATGGTGCAGACATTCCATGGTGCAGTTTGGCAGTTTCTTAAAAAGTTAACATACGCTTATCATACAACCCAGCAGTTTTACTCCCCAGTTTTTACCCAAGAGGAATGAAAGCATATGCCCCCATAAAACTGTATGTGAATATTTACAGCAGCTTTGTTCATTACAGCTGCAAACTGGAAACATCTAAAGCTTCCATCAACTAGTGAATGGATAAACAAATTATGGTATATTCACAGATTGGAATATTACTCAGCAATAAAAATAGCAAACTGTTGATATGTGAAACAGCATGTATGAATCTCAAAAGTATGTGATAAACTCCAATATCTTGTTATTGTTGTTATTTTTGTCTTGGTTATCTTTTAAAGAGATTTAAAACATAAGAAAATTGTTATTTTTATATTTTGCAAATATTTTCCATTTCTGATATCTTTGATTCCTTTGTGTAGATATAAATTTCCATCTGATATCATTTTCCTTCTACCTGAAGGACTTCCTTAAAAAATTTGTATGGTGCTTGTTTGCTGGTAATAAATTATTTCTGTTTATGCCTGGAAAATTCTCCATTTTACCTTCATTTAAAAAGCTATTTTCACAAGGTATTGTTTTAAATTGATATTTGCTCACCCTTTCTGAACTTTAGCTCCAATGTCTTATGATTTGTGTTGTTTCTGATGAGAAGTCTGCTGTCATTTTTATATTTTTCCTGTGTATTTATTATTAGATAAACATAATTTATTTATCCATCCTTTTTTCTTTGGCTGCTTTCAAGGTTTTTTTCTTTATTACTGGTTATTCATGATTTGATTATGTGGTGGCTTGGTGTGGTTTTCTTCATGTTTTCTTGTCTTGAGCTTCATTGATTTTCTTGGATCTGTGGTTTATTGATTTCATCACATATTAAATTTTTTGTCATTAATTTTCTTCTGTCCTTTTCTCTCTCTCTCTGCTCCTTCTGGGATGTTAACTATACATACATTACATTGTTTGATGTTGTCCTGCACTTCACTAATGTTTTGTTTATTTTTTCAATTATTTTTCTCCCTAAAGTTCCTTTTGAATTGTTTCTATTCTTATGTCTTCAATTTAACTATTCCTTCTTCTTCTGTGTCTAATCTGTTGTTGATCCCATCCACAATATTTTTCATCTCAGTTTTCTTTTTACTTTTAAAAGTTTTATTTAGATTTAAAATATATATGTTATCTTCTATTTCTCTCATCATGTTTATGTTTACCTCTACTTTCTTGAACATATACATTATTTTTATAATAGTTGCTTTAAGGCCCTTGTGTACTAAACTTATGATCTTTGTCATTTACTGGTTTGTTTCTATGAACTGCTTTTCTTCTGGCTGTAGAGCCTAGTTCCTGCTTCTTTGCATGTCTGCTAATTTTTAATTGGATGCCAGACATTGTTAATTCCTCTAATTATTCCTTTAAATATATTCGTACTCTTTTTCTAGTTCATAGTTAAGTTACTTGGAAACAATCTGATTTTTCTTCAAGTATTACTTTTAAGCTTTGTTTCACACGTTTAGAACAACCTTTAGTCTAGGGCTAATTTAGTCCCTCTTCTGAAGCAATGCCTTTCTGAGGACTCTGCTTGGTATTTCCTGGGTGAGGAGGTCTTTCCACTGGCTGTTGGGCATGTAAGATATTCTCCAGCCTTTGTGAGCTCCTGGGGTTCTTCTATCTGCTACTTTCCTTTTCCACAGCCTTAGTAATTTTCTCATATGCATGCACTGATCAATATTCAGCCGAAGGCCTTAAGTGAGTCGTCTGCAGATCTCTAGAGTCCTCTCTTTCTGTGTGCAGCTCTCTCCTCTCCAGGGCTCTGCCCTACAAATGTTAGCTGCCTTGGCCTCCCCACACCCTAAACACTATCTCCTTAATTCAGTGAAGCCACTGAACACTGTGTGGTTTCCACTTACCTGTATGGTGGCGTGGAAACTCTCTCCAGGTTGTCAGCTGGGGCACTTGTGGGTCTCACCTCATTTGCTTCTCCTCTGTCAGAGATTACACTTCTGTGACACCTGCGGTCCAATGTCTGAAAATTGTTGTATATAGTTGGTCTATTTTTAGTTATTTAGGGTGGAATAATAAATGCTTACTCCATCATGGCCAAAGTCTCTGTTGTTTACAGTTCAATGGAGAGAGATACCAACTACATACAAATTGAAATGCAAAGTGCCATAATATCTTTAGAGCAGTAAAGGCAAGCTGTTAGAATTGCTCACAGGAAGAGAAAATTATTTCTACCTCTTGGTTAAGGCTTTTATCACCAAGAAGGCAGCATCCCTACCACACCAACTATATACCCCTAACTCTACATCTCCAGCCCAGATTCTCTCTCTCCTGAATTCTGGACCCCTACACATAACAAAACATTTGAATCATCTCCACCCGGGTATGTCACCAGCACCCCAAACTCCACATACCCAAAACCGAATGCACTCATGTTCTTTCCAAATCATATGGCTTCAGATCCTTCTCTGACATGAGCTAGTGGCTCTTTAAAACTTAGTAAGTTGTCTCCTTCAGCAGAAAACAGTCCCTAACTTCTCCAGCCTTTCTCCACCTTTACCACTGCAGCCCCAGCCTACGCTGGATCAGTCACCATCGTCCTTGTTGTACCCTGTGCCTGTGTTTGGCTACCATCACTTGGGATTTTGTGAGCCCCTTGAGGGACGTCGTGTTCCTTCTATGTGTGTTTTGGGTTGTTCGGGTGCTTAACACATAACAGGGGTTCAATCAACTGTCCTTAAATAAATGGTTCCCTTACAATAGTGATTGACAGATAGGAATTGGATGACCATATGACTCTGTTGCATGGGAAAGAAAAAAAATGAACCTGAGAACATTCTTGGGATTAATCCCTTAAACAAGGGGTCAGCAAACTTTGTCTTAAAGGGACAGATAGTAAATCTTGTAGGCTTTGTGAGCCACACTGCTGTTGCAGCTTGCAAGCAGCAGTGTACTGTACACAAACAAATGGGCATGGCTGTGCTCCAATGATGCCATTTACAAAACAGGCAGAGGGCTGGGTCTGGGCTTCCCCTGCCCTAACCTAAGCCCAGCTGGGCTTCATTCAGCACGCTGTGTACCACTCTTGATGGGTAGGCCCACTCTGCCCGCACCTTGAAACCTGACCAGGTCTTCTCCCACCCCATGAATGTAAACATTTTAACAACTAGCCTGACTGTGAAAAGCCTGGAGAATCCTTCCTACAGGGGACAGTGGTGAGTAGAAAGATTATCGTCAGGTGGCGCCTGTCCTTTTGTGACATCTGTTGCTAATGGAAGCTCTGTGTGTGTGTGTGTGTGTGTGTGTCCAGACATGCTCAGGAAAACTGCCTAAGCTCTCTGGGCTTCAGATGTTTCATCTGTTGAGGGAACGATCGGGGTTTGTTCCTGCTCCCCAGGCAATGTGTTTGGTTTCTGTCTTCTGTTTTTTATGGCATATTCTCCCCACCACACTCTCACCATGCTCTCCGGTTGTCGCTGCCAAGGATTGCAGAGTCCGAGGCGTGGGCAGGAGCCCCGTCCAGGGTCGATCTCCTGAACTCACGGAGCCGTGGGAATAGACAAGAGACACTATCTGGGAAAATGCTTTGAAAATAAATAAAATGGGGAAAGTCTAGTCCAGATAAAATGTAAAATATTTAGACTTGAGAACAGGTTTCCAGCTCACTGTGGAAGACACTCGGGGCTGGGGGAGGCCTGGGTCCCTCCCTCTGCCCTTCACATCAGTTTGGTCATCTTCAAATGGGAACCATCCCTGTGCTGACCCTGTGGCCTCACCAGGGCTCGAGGTCCAGGGCTATGAATGCCTGTTGTAAACAGCTCAGGGCGGGACACATGGAAACAATTAGAGACTTATTTCCCAGGACATTGGACCTAGAAGCCAGGCCCCAAGACATGAAGCAACGCTTCTGTGTGTGTGTGTGTGTGTGTGTGTGTGTGTGTGTGTGTGTGAGAGAGAGAGAGAGAGAGAGAGAGAGAGAGAGAGAAAGGGATTCTGGGAAGGGTGGAAGGAAGTGGTGAGACACGAAACGAAGCTGGACAACAGAGAAGACTCTGACTAGAGATTTTTACCATGAGATGGAGATAGTTGCAGAGGCTCCTGGCTGCCCTCCATGCTCCTGTCCCTCTCTGGCCCCTCAGCTTCCCTCCGGCCTTTCCATTGTTCTTGCAGGTTGCGGCCTCCCTGCCCTCCCCCAGCCAAGGTGGAGGCAGGCCCTTGGGTGAGGGGGACTGAGGGGCTTGAGTGATGATGGGCAGAGAAGGGTGACCATCCGTGCCAGGCCTGCGGCAGAATCACCGTTTCCATTTTTTAAAGTCAAATGCCTCATCGGGATCCCCTCCCACCCCGAGAGTCCCCCTATTATCCATAGGCCATTTGGTAGTTGTTGCTATGGAGACCACAAGCAAAACGGCATGCAAACCAACGCAGGCAATAGCAACAGAAAGGGCAAGGAGAAGGGCGGGGGGAGTGGGACGGGGTGGGGCGGCGGGACAGTACTTCCCCCCGCAGACTCCTTAGACCCCGATTCCCCCATGACCAAGGAGGTTCCAGTCTAGGATCTAGAGGAAGGAGGAGGACACTGAGATGCAGAGACCCTGCTTCTGGGTGGGAATCAGCCAGGGAACATGCAAAGAGGGGGCCAGGGCCCCTCCAGCCCAGCCTCAAGCACTAGCAATCAATTGGGGATTGAGGGGTGTAGGGCATGGAAGATGGGCCTGGCTTTGAGGAAAGCTCCTGTGCAGGGCCAAGCTCCTCTTGGTTTTCAGCCCCCTTGGGATGAGCCATAGAAGTCTGTGCCTCCAAGCCCCCCAAACCTGCCCCACTCAGCTTGCAGGTTTCTCTTTGTCCCCCCAGGGCCTGAGCTCCCCTTTTGACAGCAACGTTTGTGCTGACTTTGAGGTGCAGAGTGAAGCTGGGCGGGTGCCTGCTCCCCACCTGCACACACACCTCTGTGCACGGAGGGAGAGCTGAGCAGTGCTGGAATTGCCAAGCCAGGCTGCAGGATGTTGTTAGGATCGGGGGTGAGGTGCCCCCACAAGGACAATGGGAGGGTGTGAGAAATCTTCTCTGCTCTGGGCTCTTGGAGCATCGGCCGCCTCCCTGTGTGTCTGGCTATGCAAAGAGGCAGTGGAACAGCTCAATTTTTAAGAGGAAAAACCACAGCCCCCAAGAATATAAATATGTGAAATTGAGGTTTCTTGACTAAAATAAGGACTGATGAGGGAATGGAGATTTTTGGAGAGGACCTTTCCCTTTTCCCTAGAAGTTTCCCAACTCAGACGGATCAAAGAAAGCCACACAAACATACTCCGACTGGCTTCATGGGAACAGTGTCTGGGGACATTCAGTTAAGCTGATTCCCTTGGAGAAGTTTTGTGAGGCGGAGATTAGCACTTAGTGTGGGGACCACTGTCTAACTGTCTAAATAGGACACATGGTCTGCAGAAATAGCTGGAATGCTGCTCTGGGAGGGGCCTGCCCCATCCATTCTGCTTGGGGCTTGGCATTCTCCACAAGCACCCCCTCCCCACCCAGAGCTCTGCACTCCACTGGGGTCTTCAGGCGGCATCTCCTTGCCTGCTCAAGCCTTTCACTGATGCTCACTAAGTGGTCATGGGGCTTGATGGTCATGGGGGCACCTCATGCCTGCAAGGAGACCCTGCTTTCTTCTCGGGGTGTCTCCCCTCCGATTGGCATGATGCTTAGAGGAGTGTGAAGCCAGGTGCCCTTCCCATCACAGAAGACAAAGAGACCAGCACTTCGTTCCTTGCCCTAGGACCTCCAGAGGGGCAGACGTGTCCTGAGCTCAGCCAATCTGATGATCTCCTGGGACACCGACCCCTGAGGAAGTGACTCAAGATGGACAGGAATTGGGCAAAGTCATTCAGGGAGTTGCCGAACAAGCCAGTGAGCATGAGGCCATGGCTGCAGGACGGCTCCCCACACTTCCTCATCTTGGGAGGACCTCTCCCTTCTCCATAGCCTTCCCTCCAACCTCCTTCTCCTACTTCAGCCAGAGGAGCTTTCTGTATCTGCATCAAGAGCCTCACAGACCCCCGGCTCCTCATTTTCCATTTCTGTGCCATTTCTGCACCTTAGCACGAGCGTTTCTGAGGTGCGAGGCCATGTCAGGGACACGCGGGCCCTGCAACACCATCAACACGTGGTTCTCGGCACCTGGTGTTGCCTTCGGAGGCACAGAGGACGTTCTAGAAACACGAGGGTAAGCCAGGAGCGGCGGCAGGCCACAGGGTCACGGCGGTTCAGACTCTGAAGGGGTCCAGGTGCCCTCAGTCCCACCTGCTGGTTTCACGGGAACTGAGGCCTGCTGAGGACACACTGGCCACTGCTGTGTCGGAGCCTCCCCAGAGCTCGGGAGAGCTGTTTGTCTGACGCTGGGAGGCTCTGGAGGGGGCGTGTCTCCCTCTTCACAGTCTCCTCAGCAGCAAGTGGCTCCCCAGAGATCCCCTGGTGCCACCACATACCACTGAGGGGTTTGACTTGTCCTGGGCGGCCCCTGAAACCCGCCACCACCTGCCCTGCTCAGCTTGCAAAGTTCCCTTTCTGTCCCCACCCCCAGCTCAGCTCCCATTTTGACCACAGCATTTGTGCTGACTTTCAGGTGCAAAGAGAAGCTGGACAGGCGCCCACACCTGGCTGGCACGCACACCTGTGTGCACCGAGGGGGAACTGACGAGCACCTGAATTGCCGAGCCAGGCTGCAGTAAGTCATTAGGATCGGGGTGAGATGCCCCCACAGGGACAAGGGAGGGGTGAGAATCAGAGGGGTTTCTTTTCTCAGCTAAGAAAGGCCCCAGGGGCAGCCTCTGCCCCACATGGCTCTCAGTACCAGCGATGGGCAGGGTCCCTTCGTTCTCATTGCGGTTTCCCCAGGGCTCCCACACCACCAGCTGCCTCTTCTAGAAACTCCCCATCAGGCCTTCTCCCCCGCGAATCTTGGTAACGTCCTTGCTGCCTCTCTCACACCCTCCTGTCCTCCTCTTCCTACAAACATGCTCCTGTCTCCATCCCACCTTGAAGAAACCCTTGGCCGATACGGCACCCACCCATGGTCCCAGGATAACCCCTTTTCTTCCCTAGGCTAATAAAACAGAGAAAGTAAGTGCATCGGGCACTCCAGACCAAAGCCATTTGCAGAATGGAGTCACAGGCTGACATCCAAGACTTTAGCCAGCTGGCTTCAGGCAGCAGATGCAAAGGAGAGGTCATGAGCAGGCCAGGCCCTGGCTAGGCAGGTGAGAGGTGACGGCGACCTTGTCTAGGATGAGGGCCCCAGGAAGCCCTTGGGAACCCAGGGTGGTTAGGCCAGGCCAGTTGGTGAGAGCCTGAACTCTGGAAGGAAAGAACAGGCTGTAGTGTGGACGAGACCATCCCTCCTGCATCGTAGCTGCCTTGTAATCCCATCCTCCTGACTCAGGCTGGGCTCTGCATCAGGCACCCCAGAGTCCAGGCACCCCAGTTTGTCAGGCCTGTGTGGGACAGCGCCTGAGCCGGGAGGGCTCCCTTCCCTCCTCCGGGATGCTCTGGCCTTGTCTCTGTCATGGCCATTTATTGCAACCACGGTCAATAAAGGAGGCAGGAGAGGGCACAGTGGCTGTGAAAACGTTTGGCTCACGAGGAACAGGTATCCTAACTGCGTGGGACAAGGAGGCGGGTGGTGTCGTGATTAAAGCACAGGCCTGGGATCACACTGCAGGGGCTCAGATCCCAGATCTGCAACAATGTGGCTGCGATGACCCTGGCTGGGCGCGGTGGCTCAAGCCCCCCAGTCTCCGATTTGCCAGCCTGGCTGTTCACACACAGGGGATGCACTGGCTTCCCAGGCATCCTGGGCACCCCCTCCAGGTGGCATAGGGGCTCCCCAGCACTGAAGGGTGTTCAGCAGCCTGCAAACCAACTGACTCACAGAGCCCAGATAGTGACGCCAAGACCAGCCGCTCCGGGGCCAACATCAGAGCTGGAGAGCTGAGCCAGTGGCACGCCAGTCACTGAGGAAGGCCTCTTGTTGATAAAGACAGGGCATGAATTCTTGGGGGGCTGTTACGTACCTTCCCAAAGGGAGAAAGAAACCCCTTGTTCAGTCACCGCACAGCTGTCTCTGGAGACAGGAGCACAAAGCTGCCTTCTGCCCAGGGCACTGCTTCCTTGGCAAGTGACCAGCAGCTGGGACCGCACGTGCCAAAGGCAGCAGCTGCCATGTTTGACAAACTGGAACGGAGCTATGTCCAAATTAAATCCCCCCAACCAGCCTCTGCCATACTCCCTTTGGGGACAGGGGTGGTCGGTCGTTACGCTTGCAAAATTCCAACAGCACCTAGAGTCCCAGGAAATGGGGCTGCTGGCCAATAGAGGTGGGACCCAGGGTGACAGGCCACATGCTCCTTAGAGAGCCAACAGTGTTTCCTGAATTCCATGGGAGTTTGCCGAGGGGACATGGAAGCTAGGATTCCGGAACACCCGCTGGGAGCCTAGTCCTGGGCTAGGGGCTGCATTTATCATTTCATCCTCACAACTACTGTTGCAGTTTCGCCTAACAGAGAAGGAGACAAAACTAACCCGGTGGCCACGTGGCCGAAGGCACAGAGCCGTTGAGTGGCAGCGTGGCATTTGAATTCAGGCCGGTGATGCTGAAGTCCCCAGGTCTTTTTTTTTTTGATGCCCACAACAATGTAACTACTAATAGCCTGTTATTGATGCAGGCCTTACCAATAACATAAATAGTTGATGAACACATATTTTGCATATGTGTTATATACTGTATTCTTATCATAAACGAGCCAAAGAGAAGGAGATGTTATTAAGAAAACGGTAAGAAAGAGAAAATATATTTAGCATTCATTTAGCAGAAGGGGATCACCATAAAGGTCTTCATCCCTGTTATCTTCACCTTGAAGAGGCTGAGAAGGAGGAGAAGGAGGGGGTGGTCTTGCTGTCTTAGGGATGGTGGAGGTAGAAGAGGCAAAGAAGGTGGAAGGGAAGGCAGCCACGCTCGGTGTAAGCTTTATTGGAAAAAATCTGCATTTATGTGGACTCTCACCAGGCAAACCCGTATGGTGCTCGAGGGCCAACTGTATTTCCACTACCGTCATCCGCCTTGCCCAGGGTGACCTGATTCACTGACGGGAGGGTTTGCCTTCCCATGCGCATCAGTTCAGCCTTCCCCTGATGTCATTCTTTTCCTAGTGGCTAACAGGCTGGATGTGCAGTTGGGGACAGTCAGTATCTGGGGTCTGGTGAGGACCCTCTTCCTGGTTTGCAAAGCAGGAAGATGCCAGGCATCTCTTTCTGTCCTGCTCAGTCAAGTGTGAATCACAAAGCCTGAGTTCAGATCCTCGACCTTGGGCAGGTGAACTTCACTCTTATGAGTCTCAATTTCTGTACCCACAAGATATAGAATATAACGGTACCTATTCCATGGGGCCTTGAGGAACAAAAGAGAGAATGCCTGTAAAACTCCCCACACAATGCCTGGCACAGAAACGCCCATCCACTTAAGGAAACATCATCATCATAACAACAGTAACAAAAGGAGTGCAAAGGTGTACCATGTCACGAAGCATCTTTTAGCACAGATTATCTCCTTGAAACCTTACACCTCTGTGAGGTACACAGGGCTGATGCTGGCATCCCGGTGTTACAGACCAGGATGTGAGGAGGGAGGGCCCCCCTTGGAGAACAGTTAGCCAGTGCCTCCAGCTTGGGGCTGGCCCTTCCCCTCCTCCTGAGCCAGGACTCCCAGGGAAGGACTCCTTCATTATCATCCTCACCCCCACTGCCTCCCCCGAAGGGCTCCATATTTTGAAATATATTGCCAACAAAACTGAATGTATTAAGTAAGTGTGAATGTGTTTCCCCATTCGTATTAATCAAAGACATATGTATCTGCCAATCACAGTTTCTGAGCAGCAGCCAGACCCGGGCGGGAGCCAAGGCTTAGGAGCTTTGGCTGAGAGGGGGAGGTTCCCCCAACATCTCAGAATCTTGCATACCTACTAAGTGCCAGACACTGCTAGAGGTGCTTGGTGTATGTCAGTGAACAAAACAGAGATCCTCAGAGTTTATGTGCCAGCAGCAGGGAGACAGAAGAAATGAAAAACATAGTAAATGTTATGTACAGTGTGTTAGGAGACGGCAGATCTAGGGAGACTCGTGGAGCAAAGGAACTGGGGACAAGTTGGCATTCAAAATAGCGGTTCACGAAAGACCTGCAAAGACCTGCCATTCGGGGACTGTCCCAGTCCACTTGCCTTCATCTGGCTGATCCTCCTTCCAACACGTTCTAAACCCTCTTGTGTCGGGCCCCGTTTCCTGGTTCTCCTTATAACTCAGCTTTGAGAGTCTGCACCACTGCTCTGGCTAGGACTGTCTGCCCCTCTCCTGCACAGTAGCTTAGACCAGGGTCAGCAAATCAGCAAATCATGAGCTTCAGGCAGCCACTCTCCACCTCCCTGACCATAGCAGACATTACTAATCCATCATCGCACTCTGGTTTACTGGACCCTTCCACACCCTCCCAGTCTTTCTCAATAAAAGATTCCAGGAAGCCTCGGGCAATCATTCAGAACTGGCATGAGAAATTAAATCTATTTTCTATCCAGGTTTTAGTCTTTCTCTCTGGTTTTGCTGTTTTTAGCCAACCTGGGTCAATGCCCAGATCAGTTAAGCCTGTACCTCCAGGTGTGGATCTAGATTCTACATTGAGACCTGGACACAGTGGGTGCACATGACCTTTGCGTCCATTGCACCCCAGCACCTGGCACAGGGCTCATGTGCTACTTTCCAGGACACAGTCTCACTGGATCTTATGCCAGTTTCCAGGATGAGTAGGTTTATTAGTCTGGGGGTCATCAAACTGAGGTTCCTTGAAACAGAAGCCGATGTATTAGTTTTAATATTTTAAATGCCATTGAAAATCTTGGAAGATCTTCACAGGTCTGTCCTGAGCAGGTGCCTGAGGCCCAATTCTTTGTGGAGTAAGCCACTACCTTTGCAGTGGCCTAAAGGCACTGAACTGGACAGGGCACCCCCATTGCCCTTTGATCCACATCCCATTCCCCTCTGCAGCATTTCCCAGCACTCTCTGCACTATTCTGCCCTCTACAACTGTGAGTTGCTGTCATGCTGGGAAGTGAATGGTCAAGTTAGAATCAGAAAGCCTGAGTTCAGATCCTTGACCTTGGGCAGGTTAACTTCATTCTTATAAGTCTCAACTTCTGTACCTACAAGATATAGAATATGACGGTACCTATTCGAGAGCATCTTGAGGAATGAAAGAGAGAATCTTCAGGTAAAACTCGATGCCTGGCACAAAAATGCCCATTCAATTAACTAATAATCATAATAACGACAATACATTATCATAGCTTCTGTTAGAGCAATGGCATAGGGCTATGGACTGAACATTTGTGTCCCCGAAAATCCAAATGTCAAAGCCTAGTCCCCAGTGTGATGGTATCGAAGGAGGGCCTCTGGGAGGTCATTAGATCATGGAAGTGGAGCTGTCTTGCTTGGATTAGTGCCCTTATAAGAAGAGGCATGAGAGAGGTTGCTTCCTCTCTCTTTCTGCCACGTGAGGACAAAACAAGATGACTGACCACCTGCAAACAAGAAAGAGGCCCTCATCAGACACCAGATCTGCTGGCACCCTGATCTTGGACTTCCAGCCTCTGGAACTGTGATAAGCAAATGCTTGTGTCTAAGCCACCAGCCTATGCCTATGATATATTTGTTAGAGCAAGTTTGTCCAACCTGTGGCCCATGGGCCGCATGCAGCCCAGGATGGCTTTGAATGCAGCCCAACACAAATTCCTAAGCTTTCTTAAAGCATTATGAGATTTTTTGGTGATTTCTTTTTTTTTTTTTTTTAGCTCATCAGCTATCAGTAGTGTTAGTGTATTTTGTGTGGCCCAAGACATTTCTTCCAGTGTAACCCAGGGAAACCACAAAATGAGACACCCCTGTGTTAGGGCATCCCAAACTGACTAAAAGAGGGGGTCATATCATCAAGGGAGTCCTGGTCAGATCCAGCTCAAGTTAGGTTCTAGGTTCCATGGATCCACCGGAGGTCATCTCTCTGGTCCCTGGATGTACGGTTGGACATACTTGGTAGTGGGCAGAAGTGCCATGTTGTTTCTAGGCATGTAGGGAAAGAGCTGTTGTAGAGGCATGGACCAAGTAGAAGCCTCTGAACTAGACCCCTCCCCACCTCTGACCAAGATAGAGGGTGAATCCAGTAGTTTTCCCATGAAGAATTAACTGCTAGGAGAATGACCCTCCCGCCATAGCAATAAAAAAAAATATACATAAAATAATTGCTTCCAGACATTGAGTCACAGGTATCACAGGACCCTGATCTCTAAGGGAAAAGAAAAACATAGGGTGAGCCTCAAGATTCTCCCAGCTTATTTCCTGGAGGCAGATTCCAGGCCCCTGGGTAGGGAGGAGAACCCAACAGAGCTCAATAGTCCACTAAATGGAAGAAAAAGGGATTCCTGTTCAGGGAGACTGAGGCAGCAGGAATTTTCAGGGCAGGTCCAGAAGAGATGCAGCGGCATGTGTGCACGCACACACAAACTCACACACAGACACACACACGCATGCGCATGCACACACACAGACACACGCATATGCGTGCGCACACACACACAGACACACACATGCTTGCGCGCACCACACACAAACACATGTGTGCACGCACACACACACATGCATGCGTGTGTGCACACACAACCACACACATGCATACACACACATACACACACGCATGCAGGCATACACACATGCACACACACAAACACAGACACACATGCATGCGTGCACACACAGACACACATGCGTGCACACACAGACACACACGCATGCGTGCATACACACAGACACACACACGTGCACCCACAAACACACAGAGACACACACATGCATGCAAACACACACAAACACACACGGCCACACACGCATGTGTGCACACACACATACACACATGCATGTGCACACACAGACACACACATGCGTGCACACACACACACTGACACACTGTGCACACACACATGTGCACACACACATACAGAGACACACACATCCATGTGCACACACACAGACACACACATGCGTGAACACACAAACACATGCATGTGTGCACACAGACACACACACATGCACACACAAACACACACAGACACATGCATGCGTGCACACACACACAAACTCAGAGAGACAGAGATTGATTCAGAAATCTGCAGAGTGGTCCCCACAACTCAGTGGCAGAGTACTGACCTGTGAGAGAGAGTGTGTGTGTGTGTGTTTGTGTGTGCACCCACACGTGCATGTCGTAAAAATCCACAAAGCTGCGGAAAGAACAAAGAGGAAGAAGTACCCAAACATTTCATGGGCCTCACAAAAGGCTGGGACTTTGCTCATGTTCCCAGTAGGTAAAGTGAAGAAACTTCATAATGCCGGGGATTAAGTGGAGTCCACAGAAGAATGTTGCCTTTGTATCGGGGCTAATTTAGTGTTAGTCTAAAAGCCATTCTGGATCCCCCTGAACAAAGCTTAAAAATGAGCCTCAAAAGGACCAAACAATGAACTTAACTGCATGCTAGAACAAAATCCGAAAACATTTAAAGGGATGCAAGGAAAACTAGTGTTCAACAATGTAAAATTCACCATGTCTAACATTTTATTTAACAATTACCAGGCATGCTAAGAAATAGGAAAGTAAGAGGCACGACCAGGAAAAAAAAATCAATAAATAGAAATATATCTAAAAATTTTAGAATGATGGAATTAATAGACAAGGACCTCTCTCTCCACACACACACACACACACACACACACACACACACACACACACACACCACACACTATATACAGTGGTTCTCTTATCCATGGAGCATATGTTCCAAAGTCCCCAGTAGATGCCTGAAACTGCAAATAGTCCTGAACCTTATATATACCTGGTTTTTCTTATACATACATGCCTATAATACTGTTTAATGTATAAATTAGGCTCAGTAACAGATTAACAATAATAAATAATAGTAAAATAGAACATATAACAATAAGCTATAATAAAAGTTATGTGATCATGGTCTTTTTCTCTCTGTCTCTCAAAATATCTTATTGTGCTAAATTCACCTATTTTCAGACTGCAGTTAACCACAGGTAACTGAAACTGTGGAAAGCAAAATCATGGAGAGCAAAACACACACAGGAGAAAAATGAGAGCTATTAAAAAGACCCAAATAAAACTGCTAGAAATGGAAAACACACTGCAACACAATAAATTGGGTGTGATTGAAAACAGATTGCACATGAAGAAGAAAAATTAGAGCACCAGAAGACACAGCAATAGAAACTATCCAAAAAAGGAAGTTCGGCTGGGAGGCCAAGACAAGGTGGATCACGAGGTCAGGAGTTCAAGACCAGTCTGACCAACATAGTGCAACCCCATCTCTACTAAACACACACACACACACACACACACACACACACACACACAAATTAGCTGGGCGTGGTGGTGCATGCCTGTAATCCCAGCTACTCAGGAGGCTGATACAGGAGAATCGCTTGAACCTGGGAGGTGGAAGTTGCAGTGAGCCAAGATTTCACCACTGCACTCCAGCCTGGGAGACAAAGCAAGACTCCATCTCAAAAAAAAAAAAAAAAAAAGAGAGAAGCTCAGGAAGAAAAAAAGAATGCTGCTATGGCTTGACTGCACCTCCTCCAAAATTCAGGTGTTGCTAATGTGAGCAAGACAAGGGGCATTTAAGAGGTAATTAGGCTTCTTCCTTGTGAATGGGATTAAGGTGCTTATAAAAGAGGCTTCATGTGGTGTTCAATTAGCTTTCTTTTCTGGTTTTCTGCCATATGATGATGCAACATTCCTGCCTTCCAGAGAATGCAGCCCTTATCAAACACCAAATGCCGGTGACTTGATCTTGAACTTCCAGACCTCCAGAACAGGGATAAATAAATATCTGTCCTTTGTAAATTAGCCAGTTTGTGATATTCTGTTATAGCAGCCCAAATGGACTAAAACAAATGCTTAAAGGAAGGAAGAGTTTCAGTGACCTGTGGGAGAATATCAAGTAGTCTAACATCAGAATGTCAAAGACAAGAATGAAAATAAGAATATCAGAAGACTTCTTATTGGAAACCATGAGAGCCAGGAGAAAATGGACTGACATATTTAAAGTGCTGGAAGAAAAAAAAGTCACCTGGAATTATATAGCCAGCAGAAAATATCAAATAAGTTTCAAAAAAAGATGAAATACAGACCTTTTTAGACAAAGAAAAAAAATGAGAGAATTTATTGCTGGTAGGCATGCACCACAAGATCTGTTAAAGAAATTTCTTCAGCCAGAAAATTAATACTTGACTCTACACAAAGAAATAAAGAGCATCAGAAATGGTAAATATGTGGGAAGGTATAAAAGATATCTTTTAATTTAAAAAAATCTCATGAAAAGATAATTGACTAGAAAAGCAAAAATGATAATTATGCATTGAGAGGTATATGAAGAAAATACATGGCAACAATAGCACAAAAAATAGAAGGTAGGGGATGACAATAAACCGTTTTAAGGTCTTTACACCATACGTGAAATGCTATAACATTCTTTGGAAGTAGATCGTGATAAATTAAGATGTACATTGTAAACTATGGAGCAACCACTAAAAGGCAGGTCGCGGTGGCTCACGCCTGTAATCCCAGCACTTTGAGAGGCCGAGGCGGGCAGATCACGAGGTCAGGAGATTGAGACCATCCTGACTAACACCGTGAAACGCCGTCTCTACTAAAAAAATACAAAAAATTAGCCAGGTGTGGTGGCGGGCACCTGTAGTCCCAGCTATGTGGGAGGCTGAGGCAGGAGAACGGCATGAACCCGGGAGGCGGAGCTTGCAGTGAGCAGAGATGCACCACTGCGCTCCAGCCTGGGAGACAGAGCAAGACTCCGCCAAAAAAAAAAAAAAAAAAAAAACCACTAAAAAAAATAAGAACAAAAGCTTATAATACAATAGTAGTAGGATATAAAACAGAATTATAAAAATTGCTCTATAAATTCAAAAGAAAAGAAAAGAAAGAAAAAGGGCAAAAACCCCAGATGGAACAAAGAGAAAACAAATATTACTATGGTAGATCTGTATAAATTATTGCATTACATGTTAATATTCTAACATTACAGTTAAAATGCAAGTATTGTCAGATTGGATAAAATAGTAATATCCAAGTATTGACTATCTACATGAAGCCTACCAAAATAAGAAAGCTATAGAAAGGTTAAAAAGTAAAAGAATGGAAAAAGAAATATCATACACACACTAATCAAAAGAAAATTAGAGTGGCTATATCAGCATGTCAAAGTAGACTTCAGACCAAGACATACTACTAGGAATAAAGGGGAGAATTCCATAATTATAAAGAAGTAAATTCATCAAGAAAACAATGTAATCTTAAATATTTAAAGCAAAAACAAATAGAATAGAGAGAAGAAATATACAAATCTATAATTATAGCAGAGATTTCAATACTCTTCTCTCAATATGTGAAGGAACAAGTAGATAGAAAATAATTATGTATTGATTTAAACTACACTAGCAACCAACTTGACCTTATTGATATTTGTAAAACCAACAGCAACAGAATACATAGTCTTTTAAGTGCATATGTAATATTTACCAAGATTGATCATATTCTTGGCCATAATACAAACCTTAACAAATTTAATAGAACTGAAGTAATATGAAGTATGCTTTCTGATAACAAAATTAAATTTTAAAAAATCAATAACAAAAAGACATCTGGAAATCCCCAAAATTTGAAATTAAACAAAACTTAAATTAGATTTCTAGATTACATATATGTCACAAGAAAAATTAGAAAAAGCATTGAACTGCTAAATAAAGAAAATGCAATATATCAAAATTTGTGAGATGCAGCTGAAGAGTGCTTAATGATAAATTTACGCATTACATAATTATATTAGAAAAGAAGAAAAACCTAAGATCGATGACCTAAAATTTCACCTTAAAAAGCTACAGAAAGAGCAAATTAGACCCAAGGTAAGTAGAAGAAAGGCAATAGTAAGGGTAAGAGCAAAAATCAATGAAATAAAACTTAAACAAATAACAAAGAAATTACTAAAACCAAAAGCTGATTCCTAGAAAAGATCAATGAAATTGATTAACTTATAGCCAGATTAATTAAGAGAAGAAATGAGAGAAGCACAGGTTACTAGCATCAAGAATAAAAGAGGGGCATCACTACAGATCCTACAGACCTTTAAAGCTTAATTTAACAACTTGGATGAAATGTACTACTTCCTTAAGTGAAACAAGTTACCAAAGCTCACTTAAGAGCAATATGTAAATATAAAGATCTCTATATCTAGTAAAGAAAACACTGGACAAAATTCAAAACGATTTATGATTACAAAAAAAAAACCAATTCAGTTAACTAGGAATAGAAGAGAATTTCCTCAACTTGATAAAGGGCATCTACAAAAAATTTGCAGCTGACATCATACTTAATGGCATAAGGTTGAATGCTCCTCTCTATGATCAGGAACAAGGCAAGAATATCCACTTTTATCTTTTATTTAATATTTTGCTGGAAGTCATAGCCTGGGCAATAAGATAATTAAAAGATGTAAATGGCATATCAATTAGAAAGACAAAATGAAAATTTTATTTCACAAAAGATATGATTGTCTATGTAGACAATCCTAAGAAATGTACAAAAAAGGCTACTGGAACTAATAAGTGAGCAAGGTCACAGGATGCAATGTTAATATAAAAAATTGTATTTCTACATATTTGCAACAGAAAACTGGATATTTATATTAAGAAACAATACTGTTTATAAGAACTTCTAAAAGTAAAATACTTAGGTATAATTTAACAAAATATTACAATACCTATATATTGAAAACTACAAAACCTTCTGAGAAAAATTTTAAAGTACCTAAATAAATGAAGTAGACCATGTTAATGAATCCAAAGCAGCAATACTGTAAAACTCCACATCCTCCCCAAATTGATTTATATATACAATGTAATCACATCAAAATGTCAGCAAGCTTTTTTAAAAATAGAAACTGACAGGTTGATTCTAAAATTTATATGGAAATGATAAGCAGTTAGAACAGCCGAAATAATTTTGAAGAGAATAAAGTTGGAAAGCTTACACTATGTGGTTTTAAGACTTATTATAAAGCTACAGTAATGAAGACAGTGTGATATTGGCATAGAGATAGACATGTAGATCAATGTAACAGAGTCCACACATATATGGCCAATTGGTTTTTAATAACAGTACCAGTAATTCAGTAGGAGAAAGGATGGCCTTATCAACAAATGGTGCTGAAAAAATTAAATATTCACACGGGAAAATAAAAATCTCAATTTTTAAACATCATATACAAAATTAACTTAAAATGGATTATAGACAATAATATACATGCTGAAACTCTAAGATGTTCAGAAGAAAATATGGAAGATGTCAGGGAAATGTTTCTTAGAACAAAACAAGTAAACAAAAAGCCAGAAACTATAAAAAAGATTGTCAAATTGGATTTTATCAAATTAAAAACTTTTGCTCTTCAAAATAAACTGTTAAGAAAATGAAAAGGCAATGCTTAGATTAAAAGAAAAGGCTTGCATACATGTATTAGATAAAGAGATAAAGGACTTGTATCTAGAACTCAATTATATAAACAATTCAATTTTTTTAAATGGGTGAAAAATTTGGATTTTTTGAAAGGGTGAACTATTTGGAATGCTTCATCACAGAATATATATACATGGCAAATAAGCACTTGAAGACATGCATGATGTCATCAATAATTAATGAAATGCAAATTAAAACCACAATGAGAAATCATTACACTCCTGCTAGAATGGTTAGCATCAAAAAGGCTGGCAATGCCAAGTGTTGGTGAAGACAAGGAGCAACTGGAACTCTATACATAGTTGGTGGAAATCTGAAAAGGCATGGCCATTTTGGGAAACAGTTGGGCAGTTTCTAATATAGCTAAACTACACTTATATGACCCAGCAATCCCACCCCTAGGTATTTAGCCAAGAGAAATGAAACATAGATCCATACAAAGACTTGTATGTTGCATATTCATGGCAGCTTTATTCATAAAACCCGCAGACTGAAAACAACCATGTCTTAGTCCATTTTCTGTTGCTACAATTGAATACCTGAGACTAGGTAATTTATAAAACAAAAGAAATTTATT
Organism: Homo sapiens; assembly: GCF_000001405.40. Taxonomy (NCBI): domain Eukaryota; kingdom Metazoa; phylum Chordata; class Mammalia; order Primates; family Hominidae; genus Homo; species Homo sapiens. The sequence goes on along the minus strand of NC_000017.11, from coordinate 77,712,359 downwards.
TCTTACAGTTGTGGAACCTGACAAGTCCAAGAATATGGCGCCAGCATCTGGTAAGGGCATTCTTGCTGTGGCATCATGTGGCACAGGGCATCATGTGATGAGAGGGCAAGAGGGTGCCAACTCCCATCTCTTTTCTTTTTTTTTTTTTTATAAAGCCACCAGTCTCATCATGAGGGCTCCACCCTGAGGACCTTACCTAATCCTGATGACCTCCCAAAGGCCCCACCTCCAAAAGCCATCAGCATATCAATTTGGGGATTAAGTTTCCAACACATGAAATTTGGGGACACATTCAAATCAGAGCAAACCCAAATGTCCATCAATGAATAAATATTTGGCATATCCATATAATGCTGTGCTACTCATCAATTAAAAGGAATGACCTACTGACACAGGCAATGACATGGTTGAATCTCCAAAGCATTGTGGGAGGTAAAAAAAGATAGATACAGAAGACTCCATATTACATGATTCCATTTATATAAAATTCCGGAAAAGGCAAAACTATAGTGAGAGAAAGCAGATCGGCGGGAGCCCAGATGGCAGAGGTCGGGGGATGAGGGAGAGAGAATTGAGTATATAAGGGCAGGAGAAAACTTTTCAAGGTAATGGGAATGTTCTATAGTATGATTATGATGGTGATTACACTACTGCTTACATTTGTCAAAACTCATCAAATGCACACTAAAATGGGCGAAATTTATTGTATGCAAATTCTGTTTCAACAAAGTTAACTAAAAAAGAAGAAAAATCAAAACCAATATTCCATCCTGAGGAAATGGGAGCAGAGGTGGTCATATGTCCCCTATATTAACAAAGAATGTCCATAACAAAGAACCAACCACAGAATAGGGGGCTTAAGCAACAGGAAATTTATGTTCCTAGAGTTCTAGGGGCTAGAAGTCCAAGATCAAGGTATTGGCAGAGTTGGTACCCTGTGAGGGCTGTCGTCCTGGCTTCGGACAGCCGTCTTTTCACTGTGTCCTCACGTGGCTTTTTATCTGTGGATGCTCAGGGAGACAGGGTGTCGAGGGCAGAGCAAAAGCACACGAGCAAGCTCTGGTGTCTCCTCCTCTTGTAAGGCCACAGTGCAATAGGATCAGAGCTCCACATTTACAGCCTCATTTCACCTTAATTCATTCTGTAAAGGCCCTATCTCCAAGTACAATCGCACTGAGGGTTAGGGCTTCAATATATAAATTTTGGAGGGACACATGCAGTCCATATGCCTCTGCCCCTTAATTCACCAGTCAGGCCCCTACAAAAGTGATCCTGGCTCCAGCGCTTCCGTGGGATCCACTGAGGTCTTTGTTGCGACCTCAGCAGAGTTCAGTTTCTCTCTCTGCCTGATGCTGATCCTTTGCCCCCATAGACGCGAATCCTCTCTGCACACAGAGCTCTGTCTCAGAATCTGCTTCTCAGAATACCCCACCTACGACAAGTGGATTTCCCAAACACTTAGCTAGTAACTAAAAATCAGTGTCCAGATCCTTCTGGAGAGCTCTGTCCTGTTTTTCAATACCAGGATGATATTCCCCCCAACACAAATATTCACCTTGAGCAGCTGGGCACTCTCCAGCCAGTGTGAGGAGCCCACCACACTTTTATACTTTTTGGAGACAGATTCCAATAAACAAACAACAGAGGAAAACCTACTGTGGCCTTCGGCTCAACCGCATTATTGAGGGAAGATAGCTAATGATCTGCAATGAGGCGATTTTTCATCAGGTCATTATCTGTTCATCACTGTGAGCTTTACTCTGTTGCCACCTTACTCATATGATTTCCAGTGGAGTTAACCCCTGTGTCCCTGAGAATCCATAGCAATAACAACCCAGACTCAACTGTACCTGAGAGAGAGGAAAAGGTGTCAGTTATTTTAGCGTGACTGGGACTCAGTGCTCAAGGGACAGCTGGATGCAAAGAGGGGGCAGAGATGGGAGAGGGCTAGGACTGGTCAGGGACTAGCCAGAGATGTGGCTTGTTAACTCAGTAGGGATAGAGCATGGGTTGATGGGAGGACCCAGGTTCGAATCCCACTTCTGCAGCTTGCTAACTGTGTAACCCTGGGCAAGTCCCCTAACCTCACTCTCTGTTGCCCCATCTGTAAAATGAGATCATAACATCTTATGATCAGGACTGTGGTGAGGATTAACATGGAAACCTGTTGATGATTGATTGATTCATTGAAACAGAGTCTTACTCTGTTGCTCAGGCTGAGTGCAGTGGCGCAATCATAGCTCACTGCAACCTGGAACTCCTGGGCTAAAGGGATCCTCCCGTCTCAGCCTCCTGAGTAGCTGGGACTACAGGATCATGCCACCAGGACTGAATGGCTAATTTTTGTATTTTTTTGTAGGGATGGAGTTCTCACCACATTGCCCAGACTGGTCTCAAATTCCTGAGCTCAAGTGATGCTTCCAACTTGGCCTCCCAAAGTGCTGGTATCACAGGCATGAGCCGCTGCACCTGGCTGAAACCTGTATTTAAAAGTAAATACAGTGTTGCTTCTCTGAGCTCTCCTCTCTCCTGCTGCTCCTTGGAATCCCTTGATGTGTGTACCGTTTCTTATGCTAAGCTAACAGTTTTAGGGCTGGCATGGATGGTATTGATCAACTTTCAGGCCCTTTCCTCAGTTAAGGACGCTGAAGTTCAGAGAAGGAGACATCCATTTCAGAGCACGTGGTGATGAGATGGCTCAGCAGACAGAAACCCCTGCTGGGGAGGGTCTCCTCGCTTCACAGTCAATGAGCCTATGACTTATACCCAGCCCCCACCCAGACTCCAAGCTTTGAATAATGTTGATAAATTATTTATTAGCAATTAGTTATGCATTTTTATATCAGAGTTATCCTAAGAAAATGGAGTCTGATTGTGTTGCTCCCGACTGACATCCTTCACCAGCTCCGCACCTGCGCAGGGTAAACTAATTGCAGCCTGGATGGCAGGACCCTTCCCTCGGGTGCTCTGTGTCCCCTCCCTCCTCATCTCCCACAGGGCCCTGACATTCGTCAGACAAAATGAGATCCAACCAACGTGCTGCGTTTTCTTCACATTTTCCTGCCTTGGCCGAGAGTGGCTCCTCTTCCAGGAAAGCTCTTCTGCCTCTGAAGCTGGAGGAACCCTAGGCCACTTTTCCAAACTCCACCTGCTCCCCGGTCATCAGCTTCAGCTCCATTTTCCCAACACCAGTTCATCACTTCTTCCTCTCTGGATGGGAAGCAGTGTGGGATCACGGCGGCTGCTGTCCACACTCCTGTGTCCCCTGCCCCTCATCCCCCTGAGCTCCTTGAAGGCATGGATCATGCTGGGGACTCATCCACACACCCGGGACAGAACTTGGATGGTAGCAAGTCCCAGGACAGAGTGGATGTCACTGGCACTTGAGTCATCAGAGGACAACTGCACCCGGACAAAGCAAAGCAAACAGACAGCTTATTCTATGTGTGCAGACATATCAAAGGTAATTTTTGGTTTAAAAAAAATACCAGCTGGGCACAGTGGCTCACACCTGTAATCCCAGCACTTGGAGAGGCGGAGGCGGGCAGATCACCTGAGGTCAGGAGTTCGAGACCAGCCTGGCCAACATGGTGAAACCCCATCTCTACTAAAAATACAAAAATTAGCCGGGCATGGTGGCGGGTGCCTGTAATCCCAGCTACTCAGGAGGCTGAGGCAGGAGAATCACGTGAACCTGGGAGGTGGAGGTTGCAGTGAGCTGAGATTGCACCACTGCACTCCAGCCTGAGTGATAGAACAAGACTCTGTCTGAAAAACAAGAAAGAAACAAACAAAAAACCCTTAATATTATATACATGCTGTTGTGGACTAAATTGTGTTCTTCCTAAAATTCATATGTTGAAACCCTAACCCTCAGTACCTCCGGAGTGTGGCTGCATTTGAAAGCAGGGTCTTTAGAGAGGTAATTAAGTTAAAACAAGGTCATTAGGGTGGCCCTTAATCCAAGATGACAGATGTCCTTATAAGGAGAGGAGATCTGGGCAGACACACACAGAGGGAAGATAATGTGAAGACATGGAGAAATCAGATGTCTACAAGCCAAGGAAAGGGGCCTCGGAAGAAACCAACCCTGCTGATGCCTAGATCTTGGACTTCAGCCTCCAGAGCTGTGAGCAAATTCATTTGTTTTCTGAGCCACTCTGACTGTGGTATGTGATTGTGACAGGAAAGGGAAACTTATACCAGTGCCTATTTATAACTGATATGCCCACCACCACCTCTGCACACCCCTGGGCGTCTCAGGTCAGAAACCTGTGTGTTGCACTTGCTCCCGGCATCCTCCACTTACGCTGGGGCCACAGACACCATCCTGGAAGCTCACGGTTAGGCTTCCTTCTGTCTCTATGATGTTAAATGAACATCCGCAGTGCTCCCTGATCCACAGGATCTTTGCTGCACCAGGAAAGGGCTAAGCAGGAATGGGTTTTGAAAGTTCCTATTATTTTGAATTCTCCCAACTCAAAATTTGCCATTCTGCAAAGCCTGCAGAGAGTTCCTGTCAGAGCTAACACAAGGGCCCCCTCACTCCAGAGCCAACCACCCTCTTCCTCCCCTCCCATCAGGGCCGGGTGAGGGCCAGTTTCCCGGCCCCTCCTCTGTGCTTGCCCACTTGCCATCCTTAGCCTTGTCAGAGCCCACTTGGGCCAGCCTGGATACAGATGTCCAGCCTGTGGCAGTTGCCTCTCCCCGACTCCACCTGCCCCTCACCTCTGGGCTGGAGGAAATGTACTTAACATCCCTCAGCTCTTCCTATTACCCAAAGTGTATTAGTCCGTTTTCACACTGCTGAAAAAGACACACCCGAGACTGGGCAATTTACAAAAGAAAAAGGTTTATTGGACCTACAGTTCCACATGGCTAGGGAGGCCTCACAATCGTGATGGAAGGCAAGGAGGAGCAAGTCACATCTTATGTGGATGGCAGCAGGCAAAAAGAGCGTGTGCAGGGAAACTCCCATTTGTAAAACCATCGGTTCTTGCAAGACTCATTCACTATCACGAGAACAGTGCAGGAAAGACTCCCCCTCTCCTTAATTCAATCACCTCCCACTGGGATCCTCCCATGACACGTGGGAATTGTGAGAATTACAATTCAAGATGAGATTTGGGTGGGGACATAACCAAGCCATATCACAAAGATTCCTGGAAGACCCCACTCCAAAGTAGCAGAAGTCACATGGGACATCCTGTTTCTCTCTTGGGCCCCGGAATTGATACAGCCTGGTGTTAGCTTCTGTATGCATGGTGCAGGCGATGCAGGCACCCAGGCTGTGGTGCTGAGACGAACTGCCGGGAAAGGCGTCCACCCTGCAAGAAGAATCACAGCCATCCTTTGGTAGGCACTTCATATGTACCACCCATTGTCCTTCTTAGAAGCCTCACAAATGACCCTATCTGTTAGGAACACTGACTATACCCATTTTACAGATGAGGACATGAAGCACAGAGGAGTTAAGTCATTTGCCCAAAGTCACACAGCTAGTAAACCAATGGACGGGGACTCCAGGGAGTTTGCTTGCAGAGTCTGTGGTTGTAGTGGCCCATTCTCTTGCTGATCTAAGGACATACCTGAGACTGGGTAATTTATGAAGGAAAGAAGTTTAATTGACTCACAGTTCAGCATGGCGGGAGAGGCCTCAGGAAACTTACAATCATGGTGGAAGAGAAGAAGAACAAGGGCTGAGTGAAGGGGGAAACCCCATATATAACCATCACATCTTGCAAGAACTCACTATCATGAGAACAGGAAGAGGGAAACTGCCCCCATGAGTCAATTATCTCCACCTGGTTCCTCCACGACACATAGGGATTATGGCAACTATAATTCAAGATGAGATTTGGGTGGGGACACAGCCAACCCAAAGCAGTGGTCTTAACCATATTGGTCCTGATTGTCTGTTCAGTGTCTTCCCCCAGGGGCCACAATTCACTATTAAGATTTTTCTTTGAATTTGTGTTTTCTCAGGCAACAAAAACTATTACTGACACAGCACATTAGCCCTGATCCATGCAAAAGGGAGGGTTCATGAATTAGGAATCCAGATCCCAAAGGGAATTTGCAACTAAGGACAGAGCAAGCATGATGGGTTGGGGAGGGGACAGTTGGGTGCCCTCTCCTCAAATAAAGTCACCAATTCATGGTTTTCCCTGCTGTTGTCTGGGTATTTTATTTTCCCTTTACAATTACTTGTCTGGGCTGCAAGAGAGATCAAACATGAAGAAATAAAATCTTGCGACAGTTTGCTGAAACTACCACAAGGACAAAAACCCAAATACCGCATGTTCTCACTCATAGGTGGGAATTGAACAATGAGAACACATGGACACAGGAAGGGGAACATCACACTCTGGGGACTGTTGTGGGGTGGGGGGCGGGGGGAGGGATAGCATTAGGAGATATACCTAATGCTAAATGACGAGTTAATGGGTACAGCACACCAACATGGCACATGTATACATATGTAACAAACCTGCACGTTGTGCACATGTACCCTAAAACTTAAAGTATAATAATAATAAAATTAAAAAAAATCTTAATCCAATAATCTACCTAACTGGAGATTACCATTATTAAAATCCTGCCATATTGTTTTCAGTCTTTTTTTTTTTTTTTTGCATGTTGAATTTTCTATTTCATTTGTTTGACGACATGAATAAAAATTAATTGATTACTAAAAATGCTTTTTACTCTGGAGAGGTACAGATAAAGAAAGCAAACAAAAGGACCAAAATTGTGCTACCCAATAACCCTGCTAACATTTGAAGTATGAATAAAAGTCACACACACATAAAGTTAGAAAACAGACCACAAAAGGGGGCCACTGTGAAAGTCACCTTCCCATCAACCTAGCTCTTTCCCCCAAATTAACTTAACAGTTTCTGTGATTCTTTCCAGAAAAAAAAAATGCATCCACCTGCATTTGTGGATCTACTTATATAAACTCTTTCTTCTTTGCATCCCTTCCAGGCATTTTCTATGCACATATTTTTCACACGGCTGAGATGATGCTGCAAGTGCAGCTGTATCTTGCCCTTTTCACCTGACACTCTGTGATAAGCCTTCTGAGATTGCTTTGTAGCAGGAGCCTCCAGGGCCCTACCCTCAAGAGGCAGCTCTCTGGGCAAGCATGCCTGGTTCTCTGGCAAAAGACTACCAGGAGGAGGAAGGTTTCAATGCCAGCCTTCCAGCAGATGGAAGGGAATAGCGCATGGCTGCTGTTTGTGCATGCTTATTTTCAGATCAATCCAGCCAACATTTCTTAAGCACCTACTGTGTATGTCATCGCACAGAGACAATTTGCCTGGCTTATTTCTGCAGCATCTTTCTCTAGGAAGGTGGAAGTAATATTGTGAATAGCCTTGAGAGCATTCACATGTTAGAGTGGAACAGCCAGGAAACAGCTGTTCCAAAGGACTGCAGAGTTAATCCGAACACCTCCGCCTCCAGTAGTGGCTTCAGAGTCTGAAACCATTTTTCTCTTCGCTTCTGTGCAATGCAGCCACTGACAGCAGCAAATATGTCCCTGACAGTAGTGGGAAGAGGCTGGTAGTCGAGTGATGGTTTCAAGCAGTTTGGGGCCAGGTGGGGAAATGGCACAGAGGACAGGGAGGCAGTGGAAGGCCCCCCTGCAGCTGTTGGGAGCCCCAGGCCAGGTCAGCAGGCACAGCATTTGTCAAGGCAGCCCATGACATTGAGGTTGGGCTGCAGAACCGGGTTCCTGGACCTGAAACCAGAGATATATCCCCAGTGCTGTGGGTCTCCACATGGCCAGTCTGGACATGGGGCTTCAGCAAAGCTAGAGTGAACATCTCATGGCTCATCAGAGCCTACAGATGTGGGTAGCAGAGCACAGCAGCTGCACACAGGCTCAGGTCAGTTAGATCTGGAATTTCTCTTCCTGGAACAGGGGCTTGGCAAGGATGCATAACCACCATGGGTCTCAGCATCCTCATCTGTGAAATGAGCACAGCAATACCCTCTTCCTTGGTAGGTTAAAGTACACACACAGTCAACAAATGGTGACCAATACTATAGTATACAGCATTGTTCGGCCTCTCAGCAGATTGTATTAGTTTCCTGGGACTCCCATAGCAGTACTCCCATTGTGCGTATGTTATACCTTTTATAGTTGTTCCACAGTTCTTGGATATTCTATTGTGTTTTCCTGAGTCTTTGTTCTCTTTCTTTTTTAGTTCTGGAGGTTTCTATTGATATAGCCTCCAGTTCAGAGATTCTTTGTTCAGCCCTATCCAAGCTAACTGATAAGCCCAACAAAGTCAGTCTTCATTTTTGTTAGTGCTGTTGTTTGCCTGCATTTCCTTTTTGGTTTTTCTCAGGGTTTCTGTCTCTGGTTACATTGCCCACCTATTCTTGCATGCTGACTACTTTATCCATTAGAACCCTTAGCATTAACCCACCCCTTAATTTGCATGTAATTGAAAGTGGGTTTACATGAGTATAAATAGAGTTGCCAACAGCCCATACGTTGCTGACTCTAGGTGCACTGCCTATGAGTTAGCCCTGTTCTGCAAGGAGCAGCTCTGTTTCAATAAAAGATTGCTGTCTAACACTGCTGGCTTCCCCTTGAATTATTTCCTGGATGAAGCCAAGGACCCTCCTGGGCTAAGCCCCAATTTTGGGGTGTGCCTCTCCTACATCAGAACTACCATATGATCCAGCAATTCCACTTCTAGGTATACACTCTAAAGAACTGAAAGCAGGGTTTTGAAGAGGTATTTGTACACCCATGTTTCTAGAAGCATTATTCACAATAGTTAAGAGGTGGAAACAACCAAAGTGTCCATCAACAGATGAACGGATAAGCAAAATATGGTGTATACATTACAGTCGATTATGATTCAGCCTTAAAAAAGGAAAGCCTGACACATGCTAAAACACAGATGAACCTTGAGGACATGATGCTGAGTGAAATAAGCCAGGCACAAAAGGACGACTATTGTAAGAGTCCACTGATATGAGGTACCTATAGCAGTCAGACTCATAGAAACAAAGTAGAATAGTGGTCACCAGGGCCTGGGAGAGGGGAATGGGAAGTCAGTGTTTAATGAGGATAGAGTTCCAGTTTCATAAGATGAAAGTGGTATAGAGATGGATGGTGGTGATGGTTATACAACATTATGAATATATTTAATGCTACTGAACTGTACAATTAAAAATAACTAAGATGTTAAATTTTATGTTACATATATTTTACCCCAGTAAAAAAAAAAATAGATAAGATGAAAAAGTGAAAGAGAAAAAAAAACATTCTCAGAATTGAGGGAATTTGTTGCCAGTAGACTTGGCTGGCAAAAAATGTTAAAAAGAAAATTTCTTTAGAGAAAACAATATAGGTAAGAAACTCAGATCTGCATAAAGAAAGGAAGTGCATTAAAGAAAGGAAAAGTGAAGGTAAAATAAAAACTTTTATTTTTCTTATTCTTGATTGACCTGACAGACAGCAGTTGGTTCAACATAATAATAGCAATGATGTATTCAGTTACATAAGCTTATGTAGTGTCTTATATATATATTGTGCTTATGTATGCTGATCTATAAGTGAACTGAATTGCAGCAATTGTAATGGAATCCAGGTTTGACTGTTTGCTGCCTGAAAGCCAGCCACTAGAGACAAGGGTTGGTAGGAAGAAAAGCAGGTTTATTTGGAAAGTCAGTCAAACCAAGAGGATGGCAAACTAGCATTCTAAAGTACCATTTTCAGTTTTTCAGGCTGGCCAGAGGGTTTTTATGGGTGAGGGGATATGGGGAGGCTACGTGCAGTGGTTGGGATCAAGAGGTGACCGAGGACCACAAACATTTGGGTGCCAGTGAGGGGTCGAGGAGGTTGGGAACTTTTCTGTCCTTGGTTAGGTCACAATGCTTCTGTAAATCTCCAACAAAACAGACTTAGTTGTTTACAAACTTCCCCTTTGATATGGTTTGGCTGTGTCCCCACCCAAATCTCATCTTGAATACTAGTTCCCATAATCCCCACGTGTGGTGGGAGGGGCTTGGTGGGAGGTAACTGAATCATGGGGGTGGTTTCCACATGCTGTTCTTGTGACAGTGAGTGAGTTCTCATGAGATCTGAAGGTTTTATAAGGGGCTGTTCCCGCTTTTGCTCAGCCCTTCTCCTTCCTGCCATCATGTGAGGAAGGACGTGTTTGCTTCCCCTTCTGCAGTGATTGTAAGTCTCCTGAGGCCTCCCCAGCCATGCAGAACTGTGAGTCATTTAAACTTCTTTCCTTTGTAAATTACCCAGTCTCGGGCAGTTCTTTATACTAATGTGAGAACGGACTAATACACCCTTTACTCCCAGAGTTAGTTTCAAAAACTACATGATTGCTGTTTCGCATTTCATCCCAGTTCTCTAAAATTATCCTAGCCTACGTGCAGGAAGGGGTAAAAGCCCCTTAAAGAAAAATGAAGTGAGTGACGTTAGTTTCTTGCTGTTTCACTGTTACACAATGATACGAGGTATGAAAGGGAGGAATGAGGATGGTTTTGTTATGTTAAGGTGCTCACACTACCTGTGAAGTGTTACAGTGTTATTTGAAAGAGACACAGAGAGAAGATGCCATCCACATGCCAAGGAGGGAGACCTGGAGCAGCTCCTCCCTCACAGCCCTCAAGAGGAACCTGCCCTGCAGACACCTTGATTTCCGACGTGGCCTCCAGCCCTGGGTGAGAATACATTTCTGTTGCTTTCAGCCACCCAGTTTGTGATGCTTTGTTACAGCAGCCCTAACAAACGAATGCTCGTATTTATGTATCTATCGAACTTTTTATTTGGAAATAATTTTAGATTAATAGAAGAGTTGCAAAGATATTCCAGAATGTTGCCTTCACTGTGTTCCCCTGGCTTTCCCTGTTATCTCACACAGCCACCACACACTTAGCAAAACTGAGGAATTATCACTGGCGCAATCCCATTCGCTAAACTTTTATTAGAATTTCCCCAGTTTCTCCACTAATGTTGGCTTCTGAATTTAATTTGAAGGTCCAGCCACAAGGATTTCCTGGCCAATCAGGAAGGCGAGGAGTGAAAGATGACCCCAAGCTCTTTGTCTTGGCACTGCAAGGGTGGAGGTGCTATTAGCCAAGAAGGGAACAGATTAGGAGATGAAGAAGAGGCATTTAGTTTTGACTTTATATTTGAGATTCCATCCATGTGGACATGTTGAGCAGGTAATTGGATGTCAGAGTCTAGGGTTTGAGAGAAAGAGGTCTAGGTTGAAATAAAAATGCAACTTAAGTGGCCACCCCCCTGACCCCGGACCCAGGCTTAGAGAAAGGGGAGTTTTAGGAAAAAACTTCACTCTGTCCTAAAACCATAGAGAAAAGAAGGCAACGATTGCCAGCCAGCCAGCCATCCCTGGAGACTTCTTACAGATCTTTTCCCAGCAGAAGTGGCTAAGTGCCTGAAGGGAGGATGACCACAGCCACGTGAGGCAGAGGACAGATGGATGAGGAAGACAGAAGGTATCAATCAGCAAAGCCACCATGGCATATGCTGGCCTGTGTACCCACAGATCCAGGTGCATGCAAAACCATGCCTGCTGTGCACGCCCCTGCACGAGCTCCCTCTTGTTCCTGACCTCCCCTGCCTGGTAGGCAAGGATAAGTCCTCTGACAGGCCCGGCCTCCCTGCCTCCCCAGCCCCAGCCGTCCCCAGCTCCGGGTCATGCCTGCACCCCCGCTGTTGTGCAGCCTGGGTTTCTTTCCATCCCTTCTCCTGGGTGCCCACATGCTTCTTCTGTACAGCAGCCTCTTCTCATTCACCTCCAGGTCCTGAGACCAGCCCAGTGCCTGCCCGGCCCCTCACAGACACTCTGTAAATATTTGTGGGAATCAGCACAAGTGATTTTCTGGAAGCCACTAACCAGGAGTGAGCAGAGCCAGGCAAAGAAGCGTGGACACCCTCAGAGGCTCTGTCTGACAGTGCAAGGGGCTGATATTTATCAGGAAATGTGACAGATGTGCTGTGTGAACCAGGAAGACCTGTCAGTGCCCTCGGCCGTAATTAGCCGCTACTTCACTCTCCCAGGGAGGCCACTGAGGACTCTGGGCTCTGCCTTTGCAGTGGGATGTCCGTCCACCCCTGCTCTTCTCCCAGGAGGAGCAGCTGCCCGTGACCTTGGACTTCAGCAGGAGAAGATGATCCTCTGGAATGTGATTATCTTCATCTTGAAGAGTACTAATTATGGTTGCTTTCCTTTTTTTTTTTTTTTTTTTGAGACAAAGTCTTGCTCTGTCGCCCAGGCTGGAGTGCAGTGGTGCCATATCAGCTCACTGCAGCCTCCGCTTCCCAGGTTCAAGCAATTATCATGCCTCAGCCTCCTGAGTAGCTGGGATTACAGGTACATGCCACTACACCCAGCTAATTTTTGTATTTTTAGTAGAGTCGGGGTTTCACCATGTTGGTCAGTCTGGTCTTGAACTCCTGACCTCAAGTGATTTGCCCGCCTCGGCCTCCCAAAGTGCTGGGATTACAGGCGTGAGCCACTGTGCCCGGCCAATTATTGTCACTTTTCAAACCCAGGGACACTCAGCTCTGGGGAAGGCACAGCCCCTTGCATGTCCTGGGAGTTTCCTGTGACCTGGTAGGATGAGGAACAGTTTCTTGGGGCTGAAGTGGGGATGCTATGCCCTCATTAAGGATGCTCTGTACAGTGAGACCCGTGTTTTCCCTGGTGGCAGTGACAGCCACCTGAGCTCTGCACATTCCCTAGGGCCAGGTCACTAAGGTCGTGTGTGGCCACTCTAGACTGGCCATGCTGCGGCTCCTCACCCAACACATGCACATGCATGTGTGCACACACCTACTCCCATTCCATAAGCTCGGTGCAGCAGATGTGGCCACTTCAATTACACAGCAGTGCAGTGGGCTCTGTGGCTCAGTATCCCCCGGGGAGCAGGAGGCCCCGCGGTTTGCAGTGAGGTGTGGAGAATGGAGCGGGCTCGGTGGTGTTAATGACAGCAGCCAGCACTCCCCGAGCAGCACTCGCGAACTGATCGCTCTTTAATTATCTGGAATTAAAGCGCCGTCTTCACGCTCTTTATGTTATGGCGGAGGAAATCCGGGCGTCCATTAATTACCTGATCCATATGTAAAGTGTCACACATAATTTTTCCAGAGCCAAAGGGTTCTTGCTCCAAGACCTGCATCATCTCTTAATAATGACGTGGAGTGAAATGAGAGAGGACCCAGCCTCCAGAAGAGGACCTCAGAGCCTGGATCCTGCCAAGGCCAGGGTGGCGGCCGAGCTGAGGGCTTCACCTAGGGTGCCTGGGCACCAGCCCTGATGGGCTGAGGTTCCCCTGCAGCAGAGAGAGAACAAAGGCTTCAGAGACAGAATTAAGAGTTTGATAAACTCCTTCTATCAGAGTCCATTAAATAGAGAAGTGAATGAATATTAAAAGCAAAGTTTAAGCCACAGCACAAAGGATCTAGGTTAGATGGGAAGAAGGATTTTCCAGTAGGAGGAGAGAGTTGCAGACATGCTCAATGTTCCATGTTCCACAAGCAGGAGATCTCATGGCTGCTTCATGGTCCAGGGAGCAGTTCGCATTTGGAGGGAATGGCTGTGCCAGGGACCAGGCCATTACCAAGAGAGCAGCCAAAATACCAAATACTACTGAGGTCACAACCTCACTAGCAGCCTTAGGAGCATGCCCTGGGCACACAGAGGAGGAGAGGGACAGAGAGACGGGATCAGAGAGATGCGAGTGCTTATTTCTGGCTGAACCATCAGTTTTGCCAACTGAAAAAATCTTGACAGTTGACCAGGTCCTCAACAACCCAGCCATTTCCCAGCCAGTGCTTGATGGCTTTGAACCTGAGCCTTGGAGAGGTTATTAGTGATGTAGGAAAAAGCAAAGGCAGGCATCCCCTGTGGTTAAAGACCCCTCCCCCTGACTCCCCCAGCCAGGCTTCCTTCCAGGTTGACAGAGGGGGCTGCTCTTGTGGGTGATGGAGGCAGTGACAGGATGGAGTGAGAAGACCCCTCTGTATCCCCCAGAGCCCTCTCTCTCACACACACACCTCATCCCACCCTCAGTCAGCCCACGGTGGGTCCTCTCCTTGCCCTCAATTTACAGAAGGCGAGACTGAGGCCCAGGGCCAAGCCTCAAGTGGGTGGCAGAGATGGCCCAGGTGTCCTAACTGTGGCTGAGGCTGTCACCCACCAAAAGCATGGGGTGTCCCTCACGCAGGGTGATCTGCGTCACCCCATGCACCCATGCTGCCTGTGTCTGGGTCTCCTGGAGCTTTCAGCCAGTGAATGCCCCACAGCTGGCACCCAGCTGCTTGGGCTGGGTCCACACGGCCTCCTCCTGCCCCCTAACTGTGGGCCTCTGAGTCTCTGCTGCCTCCTGAGATCAGCCAGAGAGCAAGGTTTCTGGGCACCGGGCTCCGGGAGCTCACACCCTCTCCTTCCTGCGTGGCCTCATCCTCTCCAGTTTGACTCCTGTTTTACCTTCCTCTTCTAGTTTATCAGATCTCAGACGTGAGTCCACCTGTGGCTGGAGCCGCTCCCCTTTCTGCGGGAACACACCCCGATGGCTGACCACCCCAGGGCAGGAAGTGTGGGGCCCTCCTGGGCCACCTGGGTGTCCACCTGGCATCCCTGCTGCCAGGACAAAGCCGGCTCCTGCTGCCCACCCCACCTCCCACTCCTGCCTGGCTCTGAAGCTCTACTGGGTGCCCTCCTCCCCCAGCTGCCTGGGAACTAGGCTTCCACACATTCCGGGGAGAACTGCAGTTGCTCCCCATGACGGGTTGTGAAGACCTAGTTGGTCTTGCTTTAGTGGGAGGTGACGCTCAGCAGATTTGGGAGGGGGCTCTTTAAGAAAAAGATTACAAAATTACAAATGAAAAGAGAAAGCCAGGCCCCATGAAAGAGAGGAGGCTCCTGGGCTTCAGCTGTATCTCTGCTCAGGCTCTGGGAAGCGGTAGGCACCTGGACAAGCCTCAACCCAGGTGGGAGACATCCTAGGTCAACCCTGCAGCAAAGCTGCCAGGCCAGCCATCTCCTCCCGCCCCCACTGTCCCCCCGTCTGCAGCAGCTCAGAGCATTGGCACTTTCAGCATCCAACCCTGGCAGGAGGGCTCACAGTCCACCTTCTTGGGGACGCCAGTGAAAGGACCTTACCAGCCTCCATTTCCCAGACCCTCACTGCCCCGGGGCAGCACACACCCACCCGTCCCCCGTGCCAGGCTTTCTCTGAACAGGATGCCCAGGTCTCCTGGCAGCCCTGGCCCCCCAGCCTGGGGAAGCTGCTAGCCCTGCCGCATCCTGATCCCGGCTTTGACACTGCTCCAGGCCCCGTCCTCCTTTCTTGGACTCTTTCTGCCCAACCCCTTCCTGGCGCAAGGCTGGTCACCTCCTTCCCAGCTACTGTCTTGTCTTTGGGGCTGAGGTTGAACCTGCCAGGAAGGGAGGGGACTGGAGGGGAGGGGAGAAGAGGGGAAGGAGGAGGAGAAGGGAGAGGGGAGGGGAGCGTTTCTTGTTTACCGCCTGCTGCCTCTGCAGGCTCGCTCACTCTCCTACTTCATCTCAGAAATCTCTCCAGCCTCTCCCTCCCTCCGCCTCCCCCCTGCTTTTTCCTGTCCATTACATCTTTCTTACATCTCCTGGAATAAAAAACAATTCTCTTGTGCCACTTAATTCCCCCTCCTAACAGTTTAAGGCCATTATATTAAATAATGATAATCACAAGCATCTCTTTGTTCGTCTTCAACAGCCGCCTGTTCCTTTTAAAGCTCTCAAACCCAAGGTCACAGGCCCCTCCACTCAGCTTAGATAAATCTCTCCCACCGCCGAATTCTGACAAATCCCCGCGCCGGCCGGCCCTTTGTTGTGTATTCTTTGTTTGAAATACGGCATGCGGGGCGATGCACCCAATGCCAGACTTTCCACCTTTGCATATTAAATCGCGGCCGCTGCTTCCCGGTGAAGGGAAGGGAAGGGAAGGGAAGGGAAGGGAAGGGAAGGGAAGGGAAGGGAAGGGAAGGGCAAGGCGGCGCCTCCCCCTGCCTGACTGTGGCAGAAGAACCCCCGCAATCCTCCCCTCCTCGCCCTTCCCCCCACCGCTCCGCCAACCCAGGCGTCTCCCACGGTGGCGGCATCTCTTTTGTTCTCAGCTGCCTGCTCATCCCCGATCACCTGCCTGAAGAAGAGCTCCCGAATCACTTACTCATAATAACTTGGTTAAATCAAAAGGTGCCATCATGCGCCCCCCATCTGCAGGGGCGAGTGGGTAAATGGAGAGGGTAGAAGGCCCCAGAAAGAGCTGCACTAGGGGAGCCCAGGAAGGGGGCAGGTGCACAACACCCCTCCTCTGTGCCCTGGAGACCCTGCCCATCCCTGCTTCCCTGCTGGGCCCCATCAGCCCCCGGGGACTTCCGGGATCCTGGCTCTACTCCAGGTCATCCTGTACTGGGCTGAATCGTGAACCTGTGAATTCATGTCCTCCCAGAACCTGAGAATGCAGCCTTGTTGGAAATAGGGTCTTTGCAGGTGTGATTAAGGTAAGGATGGAGATGAGGTCATCCTGGGTTAGGGTGGGCCCTAAATCCAATGAGAGCGTCCTGGCAAGAAACAGGAATGAAGACCCAGAGACACACGGGCAAATCCAGGTGAAGCAGCAGCAGATTGGAGCCATGCGAAGGACGCCAAGGATCCCCGGGAGCCCCAGATCCGGGAGAGGGGCCTGGGATAGGTTCTCCCTCAGAGCCTCAGTGGGAACCAGCCCTGCCGACACCTTGATTTCTCCCCTCTGCTTCCAGAACTGGGAGAGGAAAAATGTCTGTCACTTTAAGTGGCCCGGTTTGTGGATCTGTGTCCCAGCATCCCGGGGAAAGTGGAGCATCATCTTCCCTTCCTCCAGGAGACTGACAAGATCCATCCACAGAGAGACCAGGAAGGAGAATCCACCCAGATGGTGAATGTTAAGATCCCAGGCATGAAAGGGTCCAGGTCCAGCCACACCCCAGATTCGTTGCCGAAGAAAGGCCGGAAGCTTCCAGAGCAGTTACAGTCTTCTCTCCCCTGGGCCCCTCAGTGGGAGGGTGATGGTGGCCAGGCAGCCACCTCCTGGGGCCCGGTGTGGTTGATGCTCCTCACTCCTGGTGCGCAGAAGATGGAGCTGGCAGCCCAGGACCCGGGAGGTGCCCTCAGGTGCAGAAAAGGGCTTTTCCTCCCCATGTGTGCACCTTTGACCTGTTGAAGCCAGAGTAGGAGGCAGGGGTCACATCTGTCCCTGCCTTAAAAGCCCTCCTGCCCCACCTGCCTTATCCCACCCTGGCAGGGCCCCTGGGAGCCTGATAGGGGCTAAGCTGCTCTCAGGTGGGCTGCAAGCTGGGCTGCTTGATGAGAGCAAGGCCCTTTGCTGGGAGTGGAAGGGAGTCAGGGCGGGGAGGCCCATAGGAGCCACTTGCTCTGAGCCACAAGGGGTTGTGGGTTTGGGTCCTCTGAGAAGCAGGTGCCAGGAATGAATTGGATGTCCATGAGACTTGTTGCAGGGAAATGTCTGTGAAGGAGAAAGGAAAGAGAGCAGGAAGAGTTTCCTTCCATGATGCAGGACCAGCCTGTGCAGGGAGTGGGGAGGGAAGGAGGCCTGGGAGGAAGAGCCTCACAGAAAGCCCCAGTCGGCAGGTGGGAGCCCAGAGCAGAGACTGCCTGAGGGGTGGGGGATCCTCCTGGGGCAAGAGTGGCCATCTCTGGTGTTCCCAAGCTTCTGCGTGGGCTGGGAGCTGGGTGGGGTGTCGAGGCTCTGCAGACTGCACCCCTCCCTAGAGGGCTCCTCTGGGAAGAAGGTGAGTGGGGAGCACCCACAGGGCAGCTACAAGAGCCAGGGAAGAAAGGGGATGCTGGATAGGATGGTGGCACTGTATGAGCCCGTTCTCACACTGCTAGAAAGAACTACCTGAGATAGGGTAATTTATAAAGAAAACAGGTTTAATGGACTCACAGTTCTGCATGAATGGGGAGACCTCAGGAAACTTACAGTCATGATGGAGGCAAAGGGGGAGCAAAGCATGTCTTATATGGCAGCAGGAGAGATTGAGAGTGAGGCGGGAAGTGTCATACTTTAAACCGTCAGATCTCGTGAGAACTCCCTCACTTTCACGAGAACAGCATGAAGGAAATCCACCCCCATGATCTAGTCACCTCCCTCCAGGTCCCTCCCCTGACATGAGGGGATTACAATTCAAGATGAGATTTGAGTGGGAACACAGAGCCAAACCATATCAGGCACCCCCCTGCTTTCTCCTGCTCTTCATGCTCCTAGGTCCCCCTCGGCCAAGGTCCTTCCCTCGCTTCCCAGGGGGCAGACGAGGATGCTGTCTCCACCGCAGGCTTCTCTCCCTCCTGAGAGCCAGCACCTGCCTCATCCGAAATCGCCAGCCCTGAGTTTCCTCTCCTCCTCCTCCCACAACCCACCCTCCTCCTTCTCCAGGCACCTCTGTTTCTGAGGCTGGTTCTTCTCCAGCCTCACTTGTTATTTCAATTTCTTCTCTTCATTTCCCCTAATTTCACATATTTTCAGAGAGAGTCGAGGAAATGAGAAACACTGTCATCTTCAACGTGAGCTTTGATAGAGACGAGAACAGGTTTGATTTTTTGTTTTTCTGTGAAAGGCTACAGAGCGGAGGAGGGAGGATGCCTTAGCGTGCATTCCATGTGGGAGCAGCCTGGGGGCCTTGCTCTCCGATCTGGCAAAGCCCAGCCTGAGAGCTGCCCCAGTTGGCCCAGGATCCTGCGCAGACCTTTGAGGACAAATAATACATCTACCTAATGGCCGGGCAGCCACTTTTCCCCGCGCTGGCACCTTGGGGCCGCCCCACTGAAAAACCCTCCTCTGTTCCTGTTCTGGAGGTCATTCATGACCAGTCAGCACCCATCTACGTCCCCATCCATGTGTCCCTGTGCCAGGGGGGGTGGGACTGGCAGCAGAGCAAGTTGGTCCCAGCCCTGGGGTGGGCTTCTGGCAGATCAAGGGTTCAAACCCTGCAGACTGCTGCAGGTCACAGAAGCAGGGGCAGCAGTGTGAGATGAAACAGGTGGAAAGAGAAAGGTCCCAAGAACTGTTCTCCTGGTCCTGCTGTGAAGCTCTCTCGCAGGGTTGGGAAGTCAAGGTGGGTGTGATTGCCAAGTTTGTTTTCTAACTTCCCACCGTGACAGGGCAGCCGTTACAGGACCAAATGACTTTCTTCACACCACCGAGGAAAACACACATGAACACCCCCAGGCTCCCCCGTCAGTGGGGGAGTGAAATTCCCAGTCATGCTGGCATCCAGCAGGGCAGTCTGTGTTGCTGGGACTGCTTGGTTGCATTCACTCCAGCTCACATTCGGGTGACTTTGAGCTCAAGGGACCTGCAGAAATAATTGTGTGTGTCTTAAGTTGGGTCCCTGTTGGGCATCGGGTGGCGGAAGGGCAAGCACCTTGAAGAAGGGGAGGTGGGTGCACGTGTACACAAATGCACACAACAGAACAGGGACCAGAGGGGCAGAACCACATCCTGCACTCAGGATCTCCCAGGCTGATACCGAAAATATGAATCCACCCAACAGCAGGACCTTTACAAAAAAAAAAAAAAAAAAAAAAAAAAAAAAAAAACTAGGGCAGGTGACTCATGCCCTGGGGCCCAAACAACACATCCATGACACACTGCTAAGCTTGGCCTCGCTTCCCTCCTCTCCAGAGGGCTAAATCACGAGGCTCTCTGCAAAGAAAACCCTGGGCCTTGGGAGAAAGACGGCACCTTCCTCAACTCCAGGTGACCCTTGAACAACATGGGTTTGAACTGCATGGTCCACTTATGCACAGATTTCCTTCCATCTCTGCCACCTGCGAGACAGCAAGACCTACCCCTCCTCATCCTCCTCTTCAGCCTCCTCAATGTAAAGACAAGAAGGGTGAAGACCTTTATGATGATCCGCTTCCACCTAATGAGTAAATATGTTTTCTGTCCCTTATCATCTTCTTTATAACATTTTCTTTTCTCCAGCTTACTTTATCATAAGAATGCAGTAACATATAACTTACAAAATAAAATACACATAATGACATACAAAATATGTGTTCATTGACTGTTCTCAGTAAGGCTTCTGGTCAACAGCAGGCTATTCGTAGTTAAGTTTTAGGAGAGTCAAAAGTTACACATGGGTTTTTGAGTTACACAACACTGAGGGCAGTGGTGTGGGAGGCCCACGCCTTCAACACGTGGGCCTGATGTCCCTGTCCCTGCCTCAGCTCCCACTGGACACGTCTGCCGATTCTTTGACAATTGCTAAGTGTTGGGCCCTTGCCGGCCACTGTGACGGGGGTAGGGACGGGGGTAGGGACAACGAGATGGAGCCGATGCTTAGGGCACCGCCTTTCAGGAGCCTAGGGGCCCCGGGGAGAGCCCTGCACACCTTCTGTCCCCTGCAGCCAGCACACCTGGCATCACGCTCACCTTCCCCACTTAACCAGCCCCCTCCTCAGACTCCCGGGCAGTCACTGCTACCACCTGCTTCCTCACCCCGCAGGTTCAGACCCTGGAGTTGTCACTGACGCTTCCCTTGCCCTCCCCAGTGCCCAGGTCTGGGCAGCCCCAGCCCTGGTTCCCACGCTCTTCACCCCTCTCCATGCATCCGTCTTTTCCATGCCTCCTGCTGCCACCCTGGTCACACTCTCCTCTCTCTGACCTGGACTTCCAGCTGCCCTCCCTGCCATCTCTGCTCCCCCAGGCCACCCTCTGCATGGGGCAAGCCCAGTGAGGGACAATGAGCGTAAACATACGTGCCCTGGTGTTGATGATGCATAGAATTAGGAAGGGCGATGAAGATTCCTCTTCCAAGCGTGTCCCTTGAACAAGGAATTGCACCTCACCCTGGTCATGAATGTGTAGCAAGGCAATGGGTGCCAAGTCCCCTGGGATTCAGCTGCAACCCAGGCCAGCTGTGTGCCCTTGGGCAAGTCACGCCTCTCTCTGAGTCTCAGTTCCCCCTAGGACATTAAGGGGGATGAGTGTGGGGGCTTTCAGTAGCTTTGTTCAGTTTGCATCCTCTACATCTATGCCTTAGTTGTCTGCATTTTCCTGGCTCCAACCTGCTTCTAAGCGGGTATCTGGGAACAGAAAGAAAGAGGAGAGGAAGGAGGGGTCCTCACTCCTGATAAGCTGCAGTGGCAGCATCAGCCTTCAGGGCAAGGGGGCATCTGGCGGGGCAGTGGTCTCAGGAAGACATGAGGGGAAGCCCCCCCATCCGCCTGCATCCCATGGCTCCCCCGAGCTCTTGGCTCCTGGGCAGAGGGGTTTCCTGGCTGCTTTCTTGTGCCTTCCACCTTTGAGGATGAATTCTTTCTCCACCTTTAAGCACATTGACAAGATTAATGCCATAATCGGGAGGGGCTGCCATGGAGGCTCAGGGGTCTCTGAGCAATAACTCCTAATTCAGAAATTTATCTAGGGCAGCAAAGACAAGGGCACTCCCCACCAGGACCGGCCCTGCCGGGAAGGAGAGGAGCAGGTCTGCAGGCTCACCGCCCGCCGAAACATCCGCTTTGCACATGCCTAATTATAACTTGGGTTGCTACAAACGGAAATGGACTAAACCCATTAAATCTATTTTTTCTCCCGTGGTGGGAGGGAGTATGGATTTCTTAAAGATAGAGAATTTAAATTAAGCTTTAAAACTGTGACTGAGCGAGATTTAATACTGACAATTAGCCTGGACAAACAGTTAATCGTCCTGGCGGGGTAATTTATATACGTTCCATGTGCCCACGAGGCAGACAGCACACTGCACTGCAAATTAGTGCAAGGAAAGAGGCTTCGCTCCTCCTCGAGCTGCAGCCTGGGGGGGCGGGGGCTGTTTAGAGCTTCCCATCCCAGTGGCCTGACGTGGCAGGAGCAGGGTGGGCTGTCCCATTTTACGGGGTCTGCCTGGCAGACAGCCACCCAGATGTCTCAGACCCTGGTCCCTGGAATGGGAGTGGTCAGTGCAGCTGTTTCAGGGCTTGGAAAGGGAAAATCTTGCCTCTTCCTTCCAGGGAGGACATGGCGTAGTAGGCGGAGCTCAGAATTCTTGGAGGGTTTATTTTCTTTTATTTTTAAGTTTATTTTTATTTTTTATTTTTTCTCACTCTGTCTCCCAGGCTGGAGGGCAGTGGCATGATCTCAGCTCAC
Organism: Homo sapiens; assembly: GCF_000001405.40. NCBI lineage: Eukaryota > Metazoa > Chordata > Mammalia > Primates > Hominidae > Homo > Homo sapiens. Next base: position 77,690,159 of record NC_000017.11, on the reverse strand, counting down.
TGCAGCCTCTGCCTCCTAGGTTCCAGCGATTCTCGTGCCTCATCCTCCCGAGTAGCTGAAACTACAGGTGCATGCCACCACACCCAGCTAATTTTTTGTGTTTTTAGTAGAGATGAGGTTTCGCTATGTTGTCCAGGCTGATCTTGAACTCCTGACCTCAAATGATCCGCCTGCCTCTGCCTCCCAAAGTGTTGGGATTACAGGCGTGAGCCACCATGCCTGGCCTTATTTATATTTTTAATTTTTCTGGGTACGTGGTTGGTGTGCATATTTGTGGGGTACATGAGATGTTTGATACAGGCATGCAATAGGAAATACACACGCCATGGAGAGTGGGGTATCCATCCCCTCAAGCATTTATCTTTTGAGTGACAAACAATCCAATGACACTCTTTAAGTTATTTTAAAATGTACAATTAAGTTATTGTTGGCTATAGTCACCCTATTGTGCTATCAAATAGTAGGTCTTATTCAATTTTTCTTTTTTCTTTTTTGGCACCCATTCTGGCTGCTCTGGCCCTGGAGACCTGAGTGGGCTGAGCACTCACTTCTCCACTCTGAATGTCAGTCTCCTTGTCTGTAAAATGGGCTGAATGAGCTTGGTGCTCACTTCTCCACTCTGAATGTCAGTCTCCTTGTCTGTAAAATGGGCTGAATGAGCTTGGTGCTCACTTCTCCACTCTGAATGTCAGTCTCCTTGTCTGTAAAATGGGCTGAATGAGCTTGGTGCTCACTTCTCCACTCTGAATGTCAGTCTCCTTGTCTGTAAAATGGGCTGAATGAGCTTGGTGCTCACTTCTCCACTCTGAATCTCAGTCTCCTTTTCTGCAAAATGGGAAGCACTTGCTCATCAGAGTTCTTGGGATGGGTTGGACGCCAGGTGGAAGCGTCTATCTCAGAGCCTCAATGGATCCTGTTTGCTCATCACCTGGTTCCTCCTAAATGGAGAGCTCCCTTATGCTCTCAGAAGCCCCATGTGCCTGGTCCTCAGAGAGTGCCCATGAATGGGGGCTAAACAACTGACTTTCAGTGTTTATAATAGCTGCTGTATGCTTCCCAGACAACAGCCTTCTCTACCTGGAATAGATGCGTCCATTCGTGGCAATGTGGCATTGATTTTTTTTTTTTAAATACCACATTAGCAAGACTTCTAAAGAAAAGATCCCTGGCTTCCTCACATGGAACGGGGTCCAAGCCACAGCCATTTTTACCTCACGCCTCTCAAGGCTACACGATTCCCCTCCTAAGAACTTCAAATGCCTTTTTGTCCATATCACTCAGATTTGCAGATTTACTCTCCACATCCAACAGTTTTCCAGCTGCAATGATTTCTGTGGGTGGATGGGTGGGTGGGAGGGTGGAAAGGTGAGGGGAATTGATCTATACCCTTCCAGGGCTGCATTGATAGCAAAAGCCCCTAAAGAGTTGATTGGAGAGAGTGAGCAGGTGGATACCTGCCCTGTTCCTGTCTCCTTTGACTTTATTCCAGGAACTCTAGGGAGCAGAGAGCAGAGGGGAAGGCTGGGGGAGGTGGGTAGGGAGGCTGTTATTTCCTTAGCATGGGGCTGCTGGAGGATCGGCAGGGGGTGTGCTGGGCAGGAGATCATTCTGCAATGACGATGGGGGTGTCTCCTCTCACCGGCCCACCTGCATCCCCTGGGGGCTCCCTGTTACAACCTATGAGCCTGAGGGATATGACAGCAATAAAACCAACCCCTCCCACCCCCAGCCCCCTGAAGACTTCCGTTCCAGCAGAGAAGTCAGACAACAAAGCATCAGTCACATTTTAAGAAACAGTGATGGCAACTATTCGAAATAGCCAAAAGGTTGAAGGAACCCAACTGATGAATGGATAAACCCAATGTGACGAATCCACACGATGGCCACACGCGACGACACCAGTGGACCTTGAAAACACGCTCAGTGAAGGAAGCCCAGGTATAAAGGCCACATGTGGCCTGATCCCATTTATGTGAAATATCCACAGTCCTTGATTTTGATGGTGGAGCCGGAGGGGGACGTGGAACAAGGTCAGGGCGGGACCACGCCCATGGAACGCCAGGCATCTCTGCTTCGTCATGGGAGGAGAAAGCAAAACCAATCTTTCCTTCAAGGCTCCACTCCCCCGACCACCTCTCCAGCACGCCGCAAACACCTGAGAGGTCACAGTCACCTGGGCCACTTCTTCCATTCCCGTGGGACTGCTGGCTCCTGGCAGGGAGGGGTTGGTCTTGTCTACCTCTGAGTTATCCCTGCTGCCTTCATATATGAAGCGGCCAATAAATATCTCTAGGTGGGGTGAAAAATCCCTAGGGAAGCTGTGCCTATAATCCCAACACTTTGGGAGGCCCAGGCGGGTGGATCACTTGAGGCCAGGAGTATGAGACCAGACTGGTCAACATGGGGAAACCCCGTCTCTACTAAAAATAAACAAATTAGCAGGCATGGTGGCGCATACCTGTAATCTCAGCTACTAGGGAGGCTGAGGCAGGAGAATCGCTTGAACCAGGAAGGCAGAGGTTGCAGTGAGCTGAGATTGTGCCATTGCACAATCTCTAGTCTGGGCAACAGAGCGAGACTCCATCTCAAAACAAACAAAATAAACTGAAACTGAGAGAGGTTAAGGCCCTGGCCCCAGGTCAAACCAGAAGACAGACTTGGAGTGGTGGTTTCTCTTTTTCCACACTCCGGGAAGGTGTCTCAGATCTCCAAGTGAAGGATGCTGGTGGGTAGAACAGAGGAGACCTGGAGAGTGACTGGTCCCTTGAAAGATCGCTGCAAACTCTTTGTGGGCAATGTACGGAGAAGGCCACAGACACAGCACAGAGACAGACCCTGTTCCGAGAGCCTGCAGAGCCCTTTCCAATCTGCAGGGCATCCCCACACCCCAAGCATGTTCCACTCCTGCCCCTACTCTCAGTCTGTTCTTTTCATCTGGGCCTTCTAAGGAGTGGGTACCCAGTGGCTTTGTTGTTGTTAAATTGCGGAACAAACGTTATAATGGGTAAGCGTACAGAGAAAGAAGAACGCTAAGCACTGTGCTAGGCATTTGACATGCATTGCCCCACTTGATCCTCCCAAGAGCCATTGTCATCTCTATTATGCCATCAACGTAAATAACACACAGAGAGCAGCTCCCTAGAAGAAAAAGATACTCATTCATGAATAGGGCATCGCAATGGGAAGACGCGTGCTGTAGTAAACAATGTACATGTGAGGGAGGTAAAGCAAGGCAAAGAGTATTAAAGGGAAAATAAAATAAAATAAGGAGGATTAAATAATTGTTCTGAAATGATTACCCTTAGCTACAAGGACCAATAACAAGGGTGATGCCAGAGCGGACAGGCGATTTCTGAGCAGGTGTCATGCAGAAGGTATCTTTTGTGTAAGGTTGTGATGACCTTTGTACAAGGTTGTGTATTTTGCAGAGTCTTTTGGACAGTTTTTGTTATCAGGCATTTATGCATAATAACCCTCTCTTTATGGTCTTCTCCAGGTTTATTTGTGAGCGTGGACTCCGTTTTGATTCTGACAACTGCTGATGAGGAAACTGAAACTGAGGGGGGTTAAGACCTCTGCCCCAAATCACCCAGGTGGTAAGTGAAAGAGCTAAGACTCTATCTCAGCTGCTCTAGCACTGGAGCTTTAGGCCAGAGCCCTTTTTTCCATGACTTGATTCTAACTCCCAGAAGGACAAAGAGATGGGTGGATGGAGGGATGGGTGGAAGAATAGATAGGTAGATGGAAGGAGAGAAGAATGTGTGGATGGATGGATGGATGGATGGATGGATGGATGGATGGGATAGATAGATGGAGGAAGGGATGGAGGGATGCATGGATGGAAGAACATATGGGCAGATAGATGGGTGAATGAAGGGATAAAGTGATGGATAGGTGGAGGGATAGGGCAACGGATGGAGGAATAGAGGGATGGATGGATAGATGGAGGAAGCATAGAGGGATGCATGGATGGAAGAATGTATGGACAGATAGATGGGTGAATGGAGGGATAGAAGGATGGAGAGGTGGAGGGATGGGGCGACAGATGAAGGGATGGATGGATAGATGGAGGAAGGGTTGGAGGGCTGTATGAATGCAAGAATGTATGGACAGATAGATGGGTGAATGGAGGAATAGAGAGATGGAGAGTGGATGGATGGGGCGACAGAAGGAGGAATAGAGGGATGGATGGATAGATGGAGGAAGCATAGAGGGATTCATGGATGGAAGAATGTATGCACAGATAGATGGGTGAATGGAGGGATAGAAGGATGGAGAGGTGGAGGCATGGAGTGATGGATGGAGGGATGAAGGGATGGAGGGAGAGAGGGATGCATATGTGAATGGTGAATGGGCAAGCCTTCATCTCCTTCCATGGCCATGCTCATGGCCACCTGGGCTGGCCTGTCATCAGACCTCATAAATCTATACTAGTAAACAGGCTCTAGCTTCAAGCAGAGACAAACTTCTATGAAAGGCAGTTTGTTGGTCCGAAATAATTGCCTCCTATCAGGATGTGTTAAAACTGAGGAGTAACAAGGGCTGCGGTTACCTTAAGATTTATGGCACATGACATGCCATTCTTTCCACCACAACACATTTGCATAAAATGCTTATATTACTGCAGCTTCATCGGACCTGAAAATGCAATATGATTCCAATAACATTTCTCTGGAGATAGACAATGGGCTGAAACAAAAACACTATGTGTTGCCTCGGCTCTGTGTCTTTATTAACAAACATGCCAGGATGCATTGCTAAAATTGCGCAATTTAAATGGCATGAAAACGCTCACCTCACACAGGGCGGCTCTCTAGCTTCCTCCGATCCATCTTGCTATTTCCCGAGTGTCAAAGCATTGCTTTAAATACGTAATAAAGCCCTTGCCTGAGATGCTAGCACTGCTGCAATTCAACTTACTTGCCCATCTGGCGTCACTTTGCATTTTTAGTGAAGTTGTGGCTTGAGATAGTAGGTTTTCTGCTTTCAAATTCTTTGCTCTTTCCACCAAAAAGGTAGTTCAATGTTGGAAAATGCTCTTACGTGGGCTGTGAGTACTGGCTCCCGGCTCCCGGTTGGATGGATGGAACAGAGTCTTCCTGGAGGCAGGGACTGTCCTGTGGGGCCTTCAAGGTCTCTTCTCACTATAAATGGGAATTCATAGCTGCAGAGGTGGGCAGAATCCAATGGGGGATGGCGCTGCCATCTGGTCATGTGAGTTCACCTCAACCCATAGCTGTCCCTTTAACATCTGGTGGTATGAAAATCAAGGCCAAGGCCAAGCATGTGGGCAGAGCCTCAGCCTCATTCATAATTAAAGAAATGCAAATTACAACCACAAAATAAGATTTTTCACCCATCCAACTGGGAAAACAGCAAAGGCTTTTTGGGAATAGGCGCAGTGGAAACAGGAATAATATCTTTAGATCCTTGCTACTCAAAGCAGGGTTTAAAGACCAGCAGCATCAGCCTCACCCAGAGCTTGAAAAAAATACAGATTCCCAGGCACCAGTCAGGACCTGCTGGTTGGAAACTGCAGGTGGGGCCCAGGAATATGCATTCTAACAAGCCCTCCAGGTAATTCTGATATAGGCTGAAGTTCGAGAACCACTGCTTTAGAGGACATTTTGGCCCCGAAATTTCACTTCTTTTTCTTTCCTATTACATTTTCTGATTAGTTATTGCTGGAGTGTGTGAAAACAATTGATTCTGTTTATGTTGAGCTTCTATCTAGTCATCTTGCTGAATTCTCCTACTAGTTCTAATAATTTGTCAGTTGAGTCTACTGGATATTCTACATAGAGGATTCTATTGTCAACTGGGCCCAGTGGCTCAAGCCTGTAATCCCAGCACTTTGGGAAGCCGAGGCAGGTGGATCATGAGGTCAGGAGTTCAAGACCAACCCGGACAAGTGAAACCCTGTCTCTACTAAAAATACAAAATTTAGCTGGACGTGGTGGACCGGCACCTGTAATCTCAGGTACTCAGGAAGCTGAGGCAGAGAATTGCTTGAACCCGGAAGGTGGAGGTTGCAGTGAGCAGAGATCATGCTACTGCACTCCAGCTTGGGTGATAGAGCGAGACTCCACATTTGTTAGGACTTGCAGAGCACTAATAAAATCTGCTGTGGCTTTTAGGTATATTTGGATATGAGTTTGTATTAGTCTGTTCTCTCCCTGCTGTAAAGAAATACCTGAGACTGGGTAATTTATAGAGTTTTAATTGGCTCACGGTTCTGCAGGCTATTTGGGAAGCATAATGCTGGCATCCGCTTGCCTTCTTCGGGGGCCTCAGGAAACTTAAACTAATGGCAGAAGGGTAAGGACAAGCAGGCACGTCTTACCTGGCCAGAGTAGGAGCAAGAGAGAGACAGGGTCGGGAGGACGGGGCAGTTTACACACTTTTAAAACAACCAGATCTTACGAGAACTCACTATCGCAATGACAGCACCAGGGGGTGGTACTAAACCAGGAGAAACCACCCCCATGATCCAATCACCTCCCACCAGGACCCACCTCCAACATTGGGGATTACAATTCAACATGAGATTTGGGTGGGGGCGCAGATCCAAACCATACCAGGGTCCAAAGATGCCTGTGCGGGAATGTTTATTGCAGCAGCATCTGTAAAGAGTAGAGCACTGTAAAATGCCCCCAAAACTCCCATCAGCATGGGGCTCGTTGGATGAACCAGGGCCAGGCCAGGCACAGTGGCTCACGTCTACAATCCCAGCAATTTGGGAGGCCAAGGTGGGCGGATTGTCTGAGGTCAGGAGTTTGAGACCAGCCTGGTCAACATGGCAAAACTTCATCTCTTCTAAAAATACACACACACACACAAAAATTAACCAGGCATGGTGGCCCACACCTGTAGTCCCAGCTACTCTGGAGGCTGAGGCAGGAGAATCACTTGAACCCGGGAGGCAGAGGTTGCAGTGAGCTGAGATCACGCCACTGCACTCCAGCCTGGGTGACAGAGCAAGACTCCGCCTCAAAAAAAAAACAAAAAAAAAGATTAAACCAGGGCCTAATCAAGGCAGTGGAATAATGCAACCAATAAAACGACTGAGGCAGATGCAAATGCGCTGATATTAAAAGAGATCAGACAGGTTATTTGCAAAGGATGCAGAGTGGTGTATAAAGATACACAAACATATATGAGCACATGTACACAAGGAACTTCTGGAAGGATACACTAGAAATTCTCAACAGTTGCTTCTGAGAAGGAGGACTTGGGGGCCTGGGGCGAGAGGGAGAGGTACTCTTAAATCATTTTTTGTCACTAATTTATTTGTTATATTTTGAAAATGTTACTTTTTCATTAAGAAAATATTTCTAATTTTTTTCTTCTTTTTTTTTTTTTTTTTTGAGACGGAGTCTTGCTCTGTCTCCCAGGCTGGAGTGCAGTGGCGCGATCTCCACTCACTGCAAGCTCCGCCTCCCGGGTTCACGCCATTCTCATGCCTCAGCCTCCTGAGTAGCTGGGACTACAGGCGCCCGCCACCGCACCTGGCTAATTTTTTGTATTTTTAGTAGAGATGGGGTTTCCCTATGTTAGCCAGGATGGTCTCGATCTCCTGACCTCGTGATCTGCCAGCCTTGGCCTCCCAAAGTGCTGGGATTAGAGGCGTGAGCCATCATGCCCAGCCTCTAATTTTTTTCTAAATGAATAAGCTCGGGTTCATCAGAGACATGCGCTCCCTGTCTCAATCAGGGCTTCTCAGTCCCCGGCTACATGTGTCAGTCCCTGGGTCTGTTTATGCCTACTGTTCCATTATTGGAACGCTAAGCATGGGGGAGTTATTTACAGCCTACTGCTCAAGGTCAGCACCAAGGTCTGATTGCAAAAATTCAAAAAATTGCAACCTCAGGCATACATGGGTTAAGCGGAGGGGGACTGAGGGGAACCGATGCATCGTTCTGGCTGACAGCTTTCTGGCATTGAATTCTGTTTCCAGGAGGGCCCAGTGTCAACTCGGAGAGAAGGAAATGTTAGGACTCATTTAGTGGATTCTCTCTCACAATTTAACTTGAGTAGTTTCACAGCAAACAAAATGTGCTCTTCCCAGGACGCTCTGGGCAGCTTGCCCACTGCACCGCTTCATAGAGACGCCAGGACAGTTTATCCTCTACAGCTGAACAGTTCAGAGCATGGCCTCGGGCCATGTGGATCCTGGTGCAAATCCCCACATCGCTCCTGAACTGTGGGACTCAGGACAGGTTTCCTAGGCTGGCTGAGGTGGTTTCCTCATCTGTCCCATGGGCTGAGTAATGCCAACTTCAAAGAGATGCTGCAAGGGTTAAAGAAGAACATGTAGGGCTGGGCACGGTGGCTCATGCCTGTAATCCCAACCCTTTGGGAAGCCAAGGCAGGCAGATCACAAGGTCAGGAGTTCGAGACCAACCTGGCCAACATGGTGAAACCCCATCCATACTAAAAAGTACAAAAATTAGCCGGGCCTGGTGGTGTGTGCCTGTAATCCCAGCTACTTGGGAGGCTGAGGCAAGACAATTGCTTGAACCTGGGAGGCAGAGGTTGCAGCGAGCCGAGATTGCGCCACTGCACTCCAGGCTGGGTGACAAAGCGAGACTCAAAAAAAAAAAAAAAGAGAAGAAAAGAAGGAAAATGTAAAGCGAAGATTCAATACATGTGTTTTGTTTGTTTGTTTTGGGTTTTTTTTGAGGTGGAGTCTTGCTCTTGTTGCCCAGGCTGGAATGCAATGGTGTGATCTCAGCTCACTGCAACTTCTGCCTCCTGGGTTCAAGCGATTCTCCTGCCTCAGCCTCCCGAATAGCTGGGATTACAGGTGCCTGCCACCATGCCTGGCTAATGTTTGTATTTTTAGTAGAGATGGGGTTTCACCATGTTGGCCAGGCTGGTCTCGAACTCCTGGCCTCAGGTGATCTGCCTGCCTCGGCCTCCCAAAGTGCTGGGATTACAGGCGTGAGCCACTGTGTCTTGGAAGAGCTTCATATGACCCCATCCCCAGGTGCTTGGAATCTTTCCCAAGTCAACTCTGCATGTTCACACTAGGGCAAGGTCACAGAGAGGCATCCCTCCTCCTTGAGACCTTGTAGGGCCACTCTCTGCCCTCTGGTTCTTAGCCCAGGCCTGAGGTCCAGAGAGGACTTATGACTCCCTCTTGCACACGGGAAACCCGGGACTCAGAGATTAAATGACTTGGCAACATTAAAGTCAGGGGCAGAGTGGGCCAAAGCCCATGGGTTCTGCTGCTGTGTCCTGTGAGGTAAGCTCCCCCTGCCACTTGCACACACCAGCTTTCCAGTTTTAAAGTATGATTATGAAAAAGCCAGACACAAACTGAACATGCTCTAGGTATGATGTCTTTCCATGTTTATAAGGAAGGAAAAAATGGGAAAGACATAGACCAGTATGCTCAATGAGTAGGATTATGAAGGATTTTAATTTTCTTCCTTATCTTGATTTTCTAGAATTCATACAACAATATGCACTTCTTTTGTAAAGACAGAAAAACTTCATGTACATTTACAGTACCAATTTTTTAAAAATCCATACTATATATTGATACTTGAAAACAGAAAAACATAAACACAGCTACAAAATAATTATAGTGTAATGTTAAATTTTAAAAAGCATGATGCAAATCTGTACTTTAAGACGACAAAAGACAAGGCATTGGCAAAGAAATGATACATGTTTGAAGTGATGGATAGCCTAATTACCCTGATTTGATCATTACACATTGTCTGCATGTATCAAAATATCACAGGGACCCCAGAAATATGTACCATTATTATATATCAATTTTTAAACGACAAGATGTTGAGATGGTGTGATTTCTAGATGATGGTTTGTGCGAAAGCATTAGGTTCTTCTGTGTTTTGTGAAATGTTCACAATGATGCATGTGACTTTAACAATGATCAAATGTCACCTCTTCAGAGGGAACTTTTCCAAATAACCTGCTAGAAAGAATCCTCTGCCCTTGGGGAAGGAAATCATTTTACATCTCTTTATTCATTTTTATTTTTGTTCGTGGCACTGATCACTACCTGGAATTTGATTTTGCAGATAGATCTTTGTGAGCTTACTTGTCTCTCCCCACTGGAGTGTCACTTCCTCAAGGGCAGGTGCTTCTGCTCAGAACAGTGTCTGGCACACGGAAGGGGTCCAATTTGCTGGATGAAGGAATAGATGGATGGAAGGATGGGTGAATGAATGAGGGAAGTCAAGCGATCCCCAAGCGACTTAGGAATGTAGTTGCTCCCCTGAGAAACCAGGCAGCTGCCATTCTCCGAAGTGCCCCGGCTTGCCAGGCACAGAAGGTCTCATGGCACCTCAGAGACTGGCCCTGCAAGGGACATGGCTGATGGCCAAATACAGTCACCACCTCGGGCTGCCCAAGCTCTGTCGAGCTGGAATATGGCAGGGCTAACATTACAGAAAACAAGTTGACGGCGTCAGAAATGGGAGTTTCATCACCCTCAGACGTGTTTAGCCCCAACTGTGTGTCAGTCTCTGCTGGACTCCAGAGCATAAAGGAAGCAATCATTGTCCAAGGAACAGAGTCCCTAAAGGAGGTAGTGGGGTCAGGGGAAAAGGAAGGAAGGAAAGGGACATTTATTAAGAAATTTATTGTATGCTGCAGTTTACTCTATTATCTCATTTAATCTTCTGAACAATCCTACAAGACTGAAGGTGTAAGAGCCATTTCTCCACCTGGCAGGTGATGAGAAGACAGTGATGACAATGACAGCTAACGTGCACTGAGGGCTTCCTTGTTCTCAGTGCTCGGCAGGTGCTACTGTCATGCACCATGTAACAACATTTGCGTCAGCACAGACCGCATTGATGATGGTGGCTCCATAAGATTATAATACTGTATTTTGACCCAACCTTTTCTATGTTTAGATGTGTTTAGAAACATGAATACCAGGCATGGTGGCCCACGCCTGTAATCCCAGCACTTTGGGAGGCCGATGAAGGTGGATCACGAGGTCAAGAGATCGAGACCATCCTGGCCAACATGGTGAAATCCAGTCTCTACTAAAAATACAAAAAGTAACTGGGTGTGGTGGCTGACGCCTGTAGTCCCAGTTACTTGGGGGGCTGAGGCAGGAGAATTGCTTGAACCTGGGAGGTGGAGGTCGCAGTGAGCCGAGATTGTGCCACTGCACTCCAGCCTGGGCGACAGAGCAAGACTCCATCTCAAAAAAAAGAAAAAAAAAAGGAAAAAGAAAAGAAAAGAAACATGAATACCTACTACCATGTTCCAATTGCCTGCAGCATTCAGTACTGCAGTACACTAACGTGCTGTACAGGTTTGTAGCCTGGGTCCACAGGCATACACCATATACCACAGGCTGTACCACCTGGGTTTGTGTAGGTACCCTCTGTGATGTCCACACAATGAAAAATGTCTCAGAACATTTCCCAGTGTTAAGTCACACATGCCTACATTGAACACGACCCTCACAACATCCCCATGGAGTGGGTGTCTCACCCACAGAACCAGAGACAAACATGGGACATCCAGGGTTGGGGACAGCAGTTGGCAGGCGGGGTGGGGTGGTCCTGAGCAATTTGGCCAAGGTCTATGGCCAGCCAGGCTGGAGCTGGTCCCCTCCCCAGCTTGGATTCATAAATGCCATGTGTTAGCTCACAGGGGTGCTGCAAAGGTTAAATGAGAAGATGGGTCTGACCTGCATGGTACTTAGTAGGTGCTCAATAAAAAATGGGTTGAGTGAAGGCTTGTGGTTTACAGATGAGGAAACTGAGGCTCAGAGCTGTTTTGTGACTTACGCAAAGCCACAGAATATAAGTGGCGGAACTTAGCCTTCCAACCCAGGTCTGCTGGCACCAAAGCCCCTGTATTTCCACATTTAGAGCCGGTAAACAAATGATTAAAATGCAGCAGAACGAGGACTATTAGAGATAAACACAGTCTGCTCTGTGGAGCTGAAAGATGAAGTAAGACAGTGAACGAGAAGGGGTCGATACGTGTCCACTGAGGAGATGACGGGAGGCTGCCCAGACTGGAGGAAATCCCAAAACATTAACAGAGGTTCTTTTCTGCAGGAACGATTGCAAGTGCAAAGGCACAGAGGGGTGAAAAGAGAACGGGCTGAGGTTTGATGTGATTTAAGCGTGGGGGGCTGGGAGGAGAGAAGAAGATGGGGAGGGGAGGGAGAGGAGCCGGGGCCATAGACCCAGGCCGGGTTAGAGATGCGGCAGAGAAGGACGTGAACTTCTCCTGGAGATCCTGGCTGTCCACCCGGCTGCACGTTAGAATTGCCTTGGGAGTTAAATAAAAATATCCCAGTGTCCAGAGCCACCCCAGCCCCACAAGCCCAGTGCAGCAGAGCAGGCAGCGGGGCCGGAGCAGAGAGAGAGAGGTCCGAGCAGCAACGGGGCCTGATCACTGAGGATGAGGGCCGCTGGGAGGACTTTGGCTTTTTTTGGGATTTTCATCCGAGTCCGTGTTCCCAATACTCATGTCCTTGGGTGACCAGGCTCTGTTTGTTTCCACCCAGGCTCAGAGGAAACAGAGCCTGGCTGAAGGGAACGACTTCATCAGGATACTGGAGGTGTCCAGGCAAAAGTTCAAAGTCTTCATCTAGACTCTTTGCAGCAATGGAATTAGGAGAAAAGCAGAGATTCCAGAGATAGTTGGGAGGTAGGACCACCAATCAGGCCTGAGCTCTTGAAAGCAGAGAAGATGGAATTCCCAGTCCTGGTTGGTTGCAATGTCCGCTTCGTGCATGGCTCTGCAACACTGTGCACAGCTGTTATGCACATTTAAGACTCCGCAAACAATAAGCTAGCAGCAAGCGGCCCCCTGGGTCTTGGTTGTTCCCAGCATACTTGGTATCTGAGCTGTGATTGGGGTGGGGAAACAGGGAGGAGAGAGATGAAATCAAGGACCATAGTTAGTGCAACAGGCAAAAAGAAGCCTTGCCTGAGCAGGGAGATGAGAAGATTCCATCTGGGGGAGTGGGGAGCCCCCAGCCCATTAACGAAGGCCGTGGGGGATACAGGCCAGACCTGCAAGGAGGAGGGCTTGAGCCCCGGGGTCTGGAATCTTTGGGCTATTATGATATCTGTCATAAAGTGTGGCCGCCATTCCTGTCTCTCCAAGAAACAGAAGGTGACAGAGCCCCTCTCAGTGTTGGGACCCGGAAGCTCAAAAGGGGGCAAAGACATCTAGGCTGGGCAGAAACGAAGACGAGACACCTGCGTGGGGCATTCCAGCAGCGGCAGAGGAGGACGTGAACTGATGGGAATTTCCACTATCTGGGTTTAAATCCTGGCTGGAATTTCTCACTCTTTCCATTTCCATTTCATATTTCAGTTAAAAAATAATGACAAAGGCCGAGGGTTACAGAGCAGCCTCCCCCTCCTCGGTAATTACCAAATTAACACATTCTAACAGGCGCCCCCGCAGCACACTGTGATTAACGCACAAGGACAATTAGCTGTAGAGCCTTCTCCTCTCGTTTTAACCTCCTTAAACAGCCCGAGCCGCGTGCAGGGCCTCTGGGGTGAGCCTCCTCGGCAGGCACTCCCTCCCCCTCGATTTAATGGAATCTGAGACCCGGTTTAATGTACTAGGCAGTGCACAGTCCTGTCCCGCCCTCAGGGGCCTCACCCCACAGGTCAGGGAGGCAGCCTCCCCATCCAAGCAGGGGGCCGGGAAAATGAACCCCAAATTAATTTATTCAGCCAATTCATTAGGCAGGCGTTGATTGAGTGCCGGCTCTTCGCCCGGCGCGGGGCTGGGAGCCCAGGGAGATACAAGATAAAGTGGAATGCGGATGGCACATTCCTGGCGCTCGCCGTCCGGGAAAGGGAATCAGGCGGCTGGTCTAAGACACGCCAGAAAGTGGCCGATGTGAAACAGACTCCATGCTCCTGAGGAATTCCAGGAAGGGGGCACGGGGCTGGGTTCTTGCGGACGGCCCAGGGAGTGTGGCAGGTTGGTGAGGTACCCAGAAGCCAGGGCTGCAAATGCAGGAAACTGGCTGAGAGCTGAAGGGGCAGCTCAGCTCGAAATAAAGCTCAGCTCGGCTCGAAATAAAGCAGAGGATGTCAACTGTGAAATTACACCCAAAAGGCAGGAGCCTGGGCTGGGTGTGACATGGTCTGGCTTAGTGACAACGTGGCTTTGGCTGGGGTGTGCTGAGTGCTGGGGAGTGTGAAGAAGAAGATGTGGGTGGGTGGGGACCAGCTCAAGGAGGTTGCAGGGCCCACAGCGGGGAGGGGGAGGTCAGCAAATGGAGGGGCTCACCTGGGCTCCTTCATCCAGAGGCCAGTTAGAGATTAGGATGGAGCTGATGCAGAATCTCAGATGGAGGAGGGAGGAAGGAGGGAGGAGGAGCACAAGAGGTCACTCATAGGAAGGATTAGCAAAGCTTGCACCTGATTAGAGCTGAGGCCCCAAAGAAAGGCAAGTGCCAGGGTTCAGGCTAGAAGGAACAGTGTGGGGGTGTCAGCACCCATGGCTGGGAGGGGAGGAGGGCTTGGGCTTTGGGGTTGGAGCAGGAGCAATGTGGTTGGAGATGGCCGGGTGGGTCTCCACGGAGCCGCGGCAGTGGACAGGAAGGCCCGCTGGGGACACTAATGGGGAAAGAGGACAGACAGGGGCTCTTGGGTAAGGTCTGGAGACTCCAGAATTCACCCGACCTCAGGCCTCAGAGGACCACTTAGGTGGAGCCTCCACTGTCCAGCCCTCCTCAAAGTGCACCTTCAGAGCGGGGGAGTCGGAAGTCTAGAGGTTCCAGAAATGCTCCTCAGCATTCTCCTGCCCTTGGTGGCAGAACCTGGAACCAGGATGGGAGGGGAGGCGTCACCGGGAATCCTAAAGGTGGTGTCTGGCCCCCAAATGGCCCAGCTGCTGACCCCAGGGGCAATTGTTCTGTGTCACCAGTTTTCAAATCTGTTCCAAGAGAGATTTATAACTCCCGCAGCAAACTAGCCCCGTGTGGTTTCTTTCGCAATGCTAAACACTGGCTTTGGCAGCACTCAAAGGGGTAAAATAAAGAGTTAGCAAAGTGTCTGTCCACATTTCCATCTTCAGAAGATGAGGGGGAAAAACCCCATCTGCACCCAGCTCAGATCCTTTGCTCCAGTCTTGCATGGAAGGAAGCTAAGAGAGCTGTGTCTGTAAAGCAGCCGCGTTCGTGTAATCTCATGTAGTCCTCACCACCTGCAATAACGTGTGAAAAACGATGCCCATTCCGCAGACAAGAAAACCACAGATGAGACAGGTAATTTCCCAAGGTGACCTGCAGGTATGGCATCCTCAGTCGGCCGCTTTGCAAGGCAGTGGTTGTTGGCCACCCTATCAGGGGCAGTAGGATGAAGGTTTGAGGCTTCTGCAGATGTGAGGTCGAGTTTGCCTTCAGTATCTAATCAAAGCGTATCTTAAGGAAATGTATGTAGCTTCTCCATGCCATAGTCTCCTCCAGTAAAATGAAGCTCATAATAGCACCTATTCTAAAGCTTCCTTAAGAGGATTAATTGAAGTCATACAGATTCTTCAATAAATCTTAGTGCCGCCATCATCATCATCATCATCATCGTCATCATCGTCATCATCATCATCATCATCGTCGTCACCATCATCATCATCATCGTCGTCACCATCATCATCATCGTCGTCACCATCATCATCATCGTCGTCACTACCATTGTTGTCCTGACCAGGGAAAACACAGGCAGCTACAGCCCCTCTCCCTGTGCCTCCTTACCCTGATGTGTGAAAGTCATGGCTTCCTAAATTGGTTATTTCTTTTTAAGACATCTTAACCAAAGCCTCATGCCTCCAGAGTCCTCACCAGGACAAATGTCAATAAGCAAGATGACTCCCTGAGGCTGAATTTTAAAAGCGCATTAAAGATTAAAGAATGCACAGGTCAATTACTGATACAAGTAAATGACTTTAGGAGTAATTACAAATAATTTTGCCTTGTTTATTTGGCATTAGTTTTGAGTGTCCATAATCCTGGGTCCCGGGGGCCCTTCACTTTGGGTTTGCATTTAGCAGATGAAGGGCCTTGGCTCCAAATGCGGAGCTGGAGTGTGGGAGAGGGCCCTGGCGCTGAGGGCTCGGCCTCTCCAGACTCCATCTGGTTGACTGGCTTCAGATTCACAGATTTCTGCAGCCCCAAACCACTCCCAATAGTTGCCTCACATTAGTCAGGGTTCTCCAGAGAAACAGAATCAATAGGAGATATATAGATAGATAGATAGATAGATAGATAGATAGATAGATAGATAGACAGACAGACAGACAGACAGACAGACAGAGATAGACAAATAGATGGATAGACAGTGGATAGATAGATAGATAAATGGATGGATGGGTGGATAGACAGTCGGATAGACAGACAGAAATGGATAGTATAGAAATAGACATAGATATATTAATAGATGATATAGATATAGATGTTGATATTGATACAGGTGATGAATTGGCTCAATGATCATGGAGGCTGAGAAATCGTATGATATCCCATCTGCCAGCTGGACAACGTGGAAAGCTGGAGGTGTCATTCAGTCTGAGTCTGAAAGTCTGAGATCCAGGTGAACTGGTGGCACAACCCTTAGTCTGAGGCTGAAGGCCTGAGAACCTGGTGCTGCTGGGGCAAGTCCTGGAGTCTGAAGTTCCTGAGAACCAGGAGCTCCAGTGTCAGGGCAGGAGAAGATGGATGTCCCAGATCAAGGAGGGAGACAGAGTTTGCTCTTCCTCTGCTTTTGTGTTTTCTCTGGGCCCTCGAAGGGTTGATAGATGACTGCCCACGTGGGTGGGGGTGGATCTTCTCTTCCCAAACTACTGATTCAAATGCTAACCTCCTCCAGAGACACCCTCACAGGCCTTCCCAGAATAATATTCTCCCGGCTATCTGGGCATCCCTTAGCCCAGTTAAGTTGACATAAAATTAACCATCACAGTGCCGGTCCATCACACACTGTGTAACACACCAGTCTGTCTACTCTCTGGGTGCTGACAGTGGGACCCCGATACTGGGAGAAGACAGAACAGATGTCCCTCAGAGTCTGCAACATAAACCATAGAGGTCATGCGGCTGAGGGCCAAGGGCATGTGAAGGGCAAAAGCTGGTCCCTGGTGAGAGAAAAGGAGGGCTGGTGAGGGCATTGTGCAGACTTAACAGGACAGGAGGAAGTGGAATTTCCAAAGAAGGTGAAGGAGGAAGAGGAGCATGATGGTGAAGGATTTTCCTTTGCTTTAAGCAAAGAGATAGAAAACTGCTCAAACCAGCTCAACAAAATGGCCTGTTATTGGAATGTATATTCATCTCCTAGGACTGCTCTAACAAAGCACTGCAAACTATGGGTGGCTTAAAACAACAGAAGTGTCTCCTCTTACAGTTCTGGAGCCCAGCAGTCCAAAGTCAAGGTAGTGGCAGGGTTGGTTCCTTCTGGAGACTTGGAGGGAAAAATCTGCTCCATGTTCTTCCCTAGCTTCTGGTGGCTGCTGGCTGACCTTGGCATTTATTGGCTTATCAGTGCTTCATTCCACCCTCTGCCTGTGTCTTCACGTGGCCACCTTCCCTGTGTCTGGCTTTGTCTTCCCTCTGTGGATGTTTTTGTGCCCACATTTTCCTCTTCTTATAAGGACGAGTCATTGGATCGGGGCCACTCTAATCCAGTGTGCCCTCATCTTAACCCGATTACACCTGCAAAGACACTTTTTCCAAATAAGCTCACATTCATAGATCCTGGATGGACATGAATTTTGAGGGGACAAATTCAGCCCAGTGCAGAAGGTTACAATGAAGACACAAACTCCTGAGGACCGACATAAGAGCAGAGCTGGGCTTCCTGAGATGGGGTCTGGAAACTGAGAAGTTAGAGGACAAGGGAGGCAGGACCCTTGAGCCACCCACACTCATTGTCCCCTTCTCCCTTAGTAATGGAACCTGATCATGCCCAGATCCTGGACATGCATGTGCTTAGGGAGGGGGAATCCCTTCCCCCAGCCCAAGCGGGAGCTTGATGTAGTCAAAATTAATCATGGTGATTCCACTCACCTCGTCAATGACTGTTTCAGACATGAACTTGTGATGCCAATTAGATTATAAAGATAAGTACAATAAGGCCAGGGTGGGGGTGCTGGAGGTGGCTTCTGAGAAGTAACATTTCCATAGCTAGAAAGAGATTTAGCAGTTTTGCCGTGGTAGCATAATGGGCATCAGACATACCGCCTTGCTACAGACTACTACAGAGGTGGTACAATAAGTAAAGGAGCAGTTTTACTTCAGGCAGGCTTTTGACAACAGGCTTTGGGCAGAATACGGCACGAGGCTAAGATCCATGGGAGGATGAAAACATACAAGGTAAGATCCATTTCTACCTAGGATTTTTGCCTGGGAGCATTTCCAAACTGAGGTATGGGAAAGAAGAACCCAAACAGAAAGCTCTATCATTGGGTGGACAAAGTAGAAAACAGAAAGCAAGGTTGCTGGCTGGGAGTGGTACCTCACACCTGTAATCCCGGCACTTTGGCAGGCCAAGATGGGCAGATCGCTTGAGGCCAGGAGTTTGAGACCAGCCTGGCCAACATGGTGAAACCTCATCTCTGCTAAAAATACAAAAAAATTAGCTGGGCATGGTGGCAGCTGCCTGTAATCCCAGCTACTCGGGAGGCTGAGGCAGGAGAATAGCTTGAACCCAGGAAGTGGAGGTTGCAGTGAGCCAAGGTCGTGCCACTGCACTCTAGCCTGGGTGACAGAGTGAGACTGCAGCTCAAAATAAATAAGTAAATAAATAAATAAATAAAATAAAAAATAAAAATAAAAATAATTCAAGGTTGCTGAGGAATCTGGAATTTGCAGGGCAGGGTACCAGAGTAGAGAGAGCTATGCATACAAGTATGTCCCAAGATTGACATGGAGTTCCCTAGAGTTTTTGGTCAAATACTAAGCAGGTTATGCTTAGGAGGAGACTACATAAGGCCTGACACAGAACAACTATTAGAGAGCTGTGAGCTAAATGGAGATTCTAAAGCACAATGTCTCCCAGCACCGTGCTGGGAGACATTGAAGTTCTGACCAGCCAAAGTGGGGAGACATTGCTGAACATTCAAAAATTTAGTGGAGATTTCAAAAGTCCACACCTTAGGAATAGGGCTACTACAGCGTTAGAGTAAGAGCTACTTCAGATCCACGTTAACAAAGCTTAAAACCAAGCCAAGACAAGATTCAGCCGATCCACCAGCAAATTAACTACCTGCCAGAAAAAAATCCAACACTCTTTAAATAAAGACAAAATAATCCAAATGATCAATAATGTGTCAGCAATATTTGGAATATAGTAAAACATTTCTAGATATATGAAGCAGGAAAATGTGACAAAATACCCAAGAGAAACACCAAGTCAATAGAAACAAACCCAGAGATAATATAAATATGGGAATTAGCAAACACGATTTTTAAAACAGCCCTTATAAATGTGTTCATGACTTATAAAATGAATATATATGAATAAAATGAATATATGTAAAATGAATAAATATGTAAAATATATATATAAATAAAATGAATATATATGTAAAAAGTGAACAGATGGGGAATCTCAACGGAGAAATAGACACTATATATATATATATTATATATATATAAACTGAATGGAACTTGTAGAACTTAAAAATAAAAGATCTGAAATTGTAACATTCACTGAATGGGCTTAACAGCAGCAGATACATTGCAAAAGAAAGCATCAGTAAACTTGAAGGCAGGCCAATAGGAACTCTCCAAACATAAGTACAAAGGGAAGTGGGAGTGAACAAGATTAATAGAATCGCTGTGATTTGTGGAACAATGTTACGTAATCTAAAATACATGTAACAGGAGTCCCAAACAGAGAGGATAAAAAAAATGGGGCAGAAAACAATATTTGAAGAAATAGTAACTGTAAATTTCAAATTTGATTTAAAATATCAATCCACATATCCAAGAATCTCAACAAACTTCAAACAGGATAAACACGAAGGAACTTCTGCTAGGCATATCGGAGTCAAATTTCTGAAAACCAAAGATAAAGAGAAAAATGTAAAAGCAGCCAAAAAAAATTAATTGCATACAGGAAAAAAAAAATCACTCAATAAGAATCATCACTGGGCAGGGCGCTGTGGCTCACACCTGTAATCCCAGCACTCTGGGAGGCTGAGGTAGGTGGATCATGAGGTCAAGAGTTCGAGACCAGCCTGGCCAACGTAGTGAAACCCCATCTCTACTAAAAACACAAAAATTAGCCAGGCATGGTGGCATGCGCCTGTAATCCCAGCTACTCAGGAGGCTGAGGCAGGAGAATTGCTTGAATCCGGGAGGTGGAGGTTGCAGTGAGCCGAGATTACACCACTGCACCGGCCCAGGCAACAGAGCAAGACTCATCTCAAAAAAAAAAAAAATCACAACTGACTTCTTACAAAAAAAACTAGAAGCCAATAAATAAAGGAATAACATCTTTAAAGGGCTGAAAGAAAGAATTGTTAACCTGGAATTATATATCTAGTGAAAATACCTTTCAAATATGAAGTAAAATAATATAAATAATAAAATTATTTCTGATGACTCCACCCTTCAGCATTGTCTTAGGGTTGTTTGAAACCAAACTGGCCCCAGAATAAATGCTACTCTGGATGTGTTCAGGGCTTATAAAATGAATATATGTGAACAAATATTTATAACTCTAGCAAAACTTTAAAAATTATTCCCCAAAGAACCAAGTTGATTTCAAGTAACTTAACAGTGTTCCAGAACATGGTTCAACAATTTAAATGAATACAATGAAAGGTAGTAAAATGAAAATGTCTAGCATCTAATTAAAAGGCATCCAAATAATCAGGAATATATGTCCCACAACCAGGAGAAAAATCAAGAAATGGGAAAAAGGCCCTGAAATGACACAGATGATAAAATTAGCCAAATAGGATGTTAAAACAGCTAGCAAAGGAAAACATGAACATGATAAGATAAATGAAAAATGTAGAAAAGTCAAAAATCAAACTTCTAGAGATAAAAAGTATAATATCTGAAATAAAGATACATTGGATGGTATTAACAACAGATTGGACACATCAGATAAAATTATCCATGAAATTAACAGCAATAAGAATTATCAAAACAACAACAACAACAAAAGGAAAACAACACTGAAAAAATAAATCGAGCAATAGTGGCTGCTTGTGGGACAATATTACATGCTCTACCATCATGTAATTGGAGTCCCAGGGGGAGAGGAGAAAGAGCGGAAGAGAGAAAAATATTTGAAAAAAATGATGGCTGAAAATGTTCCAAATTTGATGAAACTATAAAACCCACAGATCCGAGAGGTCTGACTAACACCAGACAGAAGAAACACTCCACTAAGCACAATGTAAACATATTGTTGGAAAATAGCAAAAAAAGAAAGGAAATATTGAAAGCTGGGGAAAAAGACAAACATAAGACAACAGACTTCTCATATAAAATTATGCAAGGCAGAGAAAATGGAGTGGTCTTTAAAGTCCTCAAAAAAAAAAAAAGTCCACTTAACATTCTGAACTCAGCAAAAATACCTTTAAAAATGAACACAAACAAAAACTGAGATGACCCATCACCAGAAGAACAGTACAATAAGAACTGTTAATAAAAGTCCTTTGGGCAAAAGGAAAATACGAGATGGAAATCTGGATCTACACAAAGGAAGGAAGAGTATTATAAATGGTAAATAAGTGGGTAAATAAGAAGTACTTTTAAATATGTTTATACATTCATATTTTGTATTGTGAGGTTTACAATGTATGTAGAGATAAAATATATGACAACAAAAGCGCTCCACAGGAGTCCCTATAAGCTGGTGTGGGGGAAACGGCGCTGGGGGTACTCCCAGCAGCTGCATGGGGCACTGGCTACAGGACTAGAATTCAGCCAGAGAAGACGAAAGCTCAGAGAACAGTGAACGCACCTGGGAGCCTACTGAGGGCAAGACTGTTGCCTTGATCTTTATTTCACATACAGCATTGTTTCTGCCATATCAGCTTGTAGGGACTCCTGTGGAGCAACAGGCTACACACAAGTACTCAACCTATTAGCAAATCTTGAAAAAATCTTGACATCAGAAAATGTTTCCCAAATTTGTTCTTGTCAAGATTGTTGGGGTTATTGTAGGCCCTTTGGCTTTCCATAAATGTTTTATAATACGTTTATCAATTTTTAAAAAAAATCTTGCTAGGATTTTAATAGGGGTTACATTTTTATCTACAAATCAATTTAAAAGGAATTGACATAGTAAGATATTAAGTCTTCCAATTCAAAATTAGAGTCTATCACTTCATTTATTTAGACCTTCTTGATTTTCTCTCAGTAATGTTTGTAGTTTTTAGTACAAACTACAAAATTCATCTGCAATGCCTGTGTCTGTCACACAGCATCTCAATGAATGTCAGCTGTCACAGTGAGTAAGGCAAGTTGTGAGTTAGTTGATGTATGAGAGAAACAAAGAATGAGTTATGAATGAATGAATGAATGAATGTATAATGAACCAGGGAATGACTGAATCAGCCAGTGAATGATCTAAAGACTAAACAAACAAACGATGTTCCCAGGATGGCTGTGGTAAGGGCAGGAGGCAGCAGCTTCTGTGTCCTTTGATTCTCTTTCTCTCCCAGATCACAGGTGGCATTTACTTCCCTCTTGGGGACTTCATCCACTGTGGCTGCCAATCAAACAGGATACTTTGTTTCTTAATTAGAAAGTGAGCATTTGAAAGCAAGGCTCTCCGATGGCTGAATACATAAAACAATCACCTTTGCTCCTTACAGCTGTCCCCACACTGAGTTAAAACAGCCACTTGGGCTGCCCATGATTTTGTTCCTGATCATACATCAAAGATGCGTGTTACGTGCTGACACTGGCTTCTTGTCTTTCATTGCATTTTATCAGTTCATCTGCCACAAACCTGAAGCAGGTGATCAAGGCCTACTTACCCTTGAACAGGGAACCTTCACTGTCCCAGCTGGGCTGGACCCCAGACCCCCTTCCTTGCTGCTTTGCCACACCCCTCTCCTCCACCTCTCAGAAGCCGCCATCGTGGTTGTGGTTTGCGTGCCAATTTCCAACGAGAGAGCATCTGAGGTCAGTTCCACAGTTCTTCATTTGTGTAGCTCCTCCTTAGGTTAAGGGGCTGAACACTAAAGTGTTCAGCAGCTCAAAGAGTATTTCCTGAATGCAAAAGAGAAGACAGGAAATAGCTTAAGGTTTTTGCCTTAAAGGGCCCCTACATGTTGTTTTGAGATAGGGATAGAAACTTTCTGCCCAAGGCAAGAAACTTTATGGATGGGCTTTCTAACTATCAGAAAGTGGGCAGGGAAGTAAAGTTCTTAAAGACCCATTAGCTAGAACTCTGGACAGGCAGCTAAGCCACAGCCCAGCCCTGGTGCTAATGTGAGAGCCATAATCTTTCTGGACCAGCCGATCCTTTCCCAGCCTTTGCACCTTTAGCACAAGCCCATTCCTTTTAAGCGATGTTGATAAGTTGATTGATGCACTTCCTGTTTTTCTCTTATGTGTGCGTTTCTAAGAGCCCATCTGCCCGCTGCCGTGGGCTTCTATCTAATCAAAGACCTATAATGTACTGATTGTCCTCAACCACGATGTTACTTCACTTTCCTGGGCAATTTACTCCTTTATAGGATTTAATCTGCTGCTGAAATTCACTGCATTATTAATGGGAAGCCGGTGCACAGTGCTGCTATAATTAAACCATTCACTCCATGACACCCACACATAAACACGCACAGACCTTCTCCCTTCGGTGCGCGGCTGGTGTGCTCACCCCTATATCCCCAGCCCCAGCCCCTGCATCAGGGGCTGTGCTCTTGACTTGAAATCCCAAGCGACCCATCATCCCATTCAGGATAAAATCTAAACACCTGTCCGGTTCCCTGCTGGATCTCCATGCTTAGAACAGCACCCAGTGCGTGCAGAAACTCAGAAAACATATCTTTAAGCAAACGAATGCATGAATGAATGAGTGAGTGAATGAATGAAGAGTAAGTGAATGAATGAGTGAATGAAGAGTGAATGAGTGAGTGAATGAAGAGTGAATGAATGAATGAGTGTGTGAATGAATGAATGAGTGAGTGAATGAAGAGTGAGTGAATGAAGAGCGAATGAATGAATGAGTGAGTGAATGAATGAATGAGTGCATGAATGAATGAAGAGTGAATGAATGAAGAGTGAATGAATGAAGAGTGAATGAATGACTTTCCTAGCTAGTAAGCACCCAAGTCCAGGGAATCACTCTCAGAGGCTGACTAGCTTCTAAATCATCAGAGCTTTGCTTCCACCCACTTTGCTGCTGTGGACAGAGTTTTGTGTGCTGGGAAGATAGTCGGGGAGAAGGAATTTGACCCCAATTCCATGCATCAGAGTGTGGAATCTAAAACTCTCTCCCCATGTGGGTGATGTTTGGAGCTTGCCCGTAGAATTTTTCCCTACCAATAATCATAATACACTCCCCCCACTCCTGCCTCTACCACCCCTCACCAGGCAAACAGCTCGTAGAGGGTGAGTGGTTCTCTGAACTCTGACCCCACCCCTCACAGCCTTCATTCCAGGCTTCCCCACACAGCTCTGCACTGGAGGCTGCAGATATAGGGCCAGATCCCTATATCTGGGGGCTCAATGGGCAGTCAGGCAACCAGACCTGAAAGGAAATCTGGATAGATAGTGAATTAGTCTGTTTTCACACTGCTGATAAAGACATACCTGAGACTGGGCAATTTATAAGAAAGAGAGGTTTAACGGACTCACAGTTCCACGTGGCTGCGGAGGCCTCACAATTATGGCAGAAGGTGGAAGGCACATCTTACATGGCAGCAGGCGAGAGAGAGATTGAGAGCCAAGCGGAAGGGGTTTCCCCTTATAAAACCATCAGATCTTGTGAGACTTATTCACTGTCACAGGAACATATGGGGGAACCGCCCCATGATTCAGTTAACTCGCACTGGGTCCTCCCACAACACGAGGGAATTATGGGAGCTGCAACTTACGATGAGATTTGGGTGGGGACACAGCCAAACCATATCAGATGGAGATGGGGTCAGAGTGCATGCAGAGTGCCCTGCTAAGCTCTCTGTCTCTGCCTCCCTGTTAAGTCCTTACCCTCTTAAACACTGTCCCATCTGGAGAATCTGTCATACTCTGCACCCAGAGGCACTTTGCCTGCCTCTCAAGGGACTTCTCAATTACATTATAAATATTTCAATCATCTGCCTCACTTCTCCTATGAGGCATCAGCTCCTTGAGGGCAGGCACTTTCTCAAACTTGCATTTGCACAGCCTGGTGCCAAGCCTAGCACTTAGCAGGCACCGATAAATGCCTATTGAATGAATAAACATTAAATACTGTGTATCATGGAATCTAAGACACCATCAATTATAAAATGCACCTATATGTCTCTGCCATTAAGAAAGAGAAAATGCTGCCGATTGACATATGACACCATGCTTTCTTCTTAGTTATCATGTCATTTTCCAGTTATTAAAAGAGGCCTTTTAAACTTAGCCATACGTTTCACCATGTGTTACTCTTGTGGACACAGAAAGCCAGGCAGCTTACATTTACTAGCTATTCGACCTCAGGAAGGTATTACTTTCCTGTGGGCCTCAGTCTTCCCATCTGTGAGATGGGGATACTGACACCTCCCTTGTGAATTCTCAGTGAGAAGCAAATGATGTCAAGCAGGAAAGCGCTCGGCCCCATATGTGCTTGAAAAGTGGCCCAAAGGTGCTCCTGGTGATGCCCAAGGGCTTCTACCAGCTGGCTGTCACCTCAAAGTCGAGATCCGGCTGGGTGGCGTCCAGAGCCCCAAAGGTAAACACTCTGCTCAGCTCCTTCCTCTCCCTGTGCCGAGGGCAGTGTCTCGGCCAGCCAGCATCGTCAGCGTCAGAGAGAAGACTCACCACCGGGAGCTGCAGGCCCTGCCTTGCTCCCTCCAGGGACAGGCCCACCTCTGTGGGGCTCCCCTATGCACCTTTCTCCTTTTAGTTTCCATCTTGACTCCTCATCCAAAGCACAATTTCTCAAGCTCTTTGGTTGGAGCTCATCCCCTTTCCAGTCTATGTTTTCTTTTTCTTTTCTTTTCTTTTCTTTTTTTTTTTTGAGACAGAGTCTTGCTCTGTTGCCAGGCTGGAGTGCAGTGGCCTGATCTCGGCTCACTGCAACCTCCGCCTCCCTGGTTCAAGCGATTCTTGTGCCTCAGTCTCACGAGTAGCTGGGACTACAGGCACATGCCAAGACACCCAGCTAATTTTTGTATTTTTAGTAGAGACGCGGTTTCACCTTGTTGGCCAGGCTGATCTTGATCTCCTGACCTCAGGTGATCTGCCTGCCTTGACCTCCCAAAGTGCTGGGATTACAGGCGTGAGCCACCGTGCCCAGCCTTTATTTGGTCTTCCTGGGCAACTTCCCTGGCTCTGTGAAAGAACAGCATTTCATATTCAGAGCTGAGGGCTGGGCAATTCGAAAGCACTTGGAGCTCAGTTTACGACCAGAGAAAGAACGTGTCCTGGTGTCAGAATAACCGGGACAATGCTACAGTTTCCTCAGCGGCTGCAGTCCACATAGAGGATGCCAAATGGTGCATCGTCTACTCACTGTGGACCCAGCCTCGGTCTGCAGAAGGGAAATGTGATGGTCTGTGGCAGGGGTCTCCAAACTTTTTGGCACCAGGGACTCGTTTTGGGCAAGACAATTTTTCCAAGGACCGAGAGTTGTGGGTGGTATAGTTTCGGGATGATTCAAGCACATTACATTGATTGTCCACTTTGTTTCTATTATTGTTACATTGTAATATATAATGAAATCATTATACAACTGCACTATCACGTAGAATCAGTGGGACCCCTGAGCCTGTTTTCCTGCAAGTAGACGGTCCCATCTGGGGGTGATGGGAGATGGTGACAGATCATCAGGCATTAGATTCTCATAAGGAGCATGCAACCTAGATCCCTCACAGGCACCGTTCACAATAGGGCTCACACTTCTGTGAGAATCTAATGCTGCCCTGATCTGACAAGAGGTGGGGCTCAGGCGGTGATGCAAGCAGTGGGGAGTGGCTGTAAATACAGATGAAGCTTCACTTGCTTGTCTGGCCTGCCGCTCATCTCCTGCTTCGAGGCCAGGTTCCTAACAAGGACTTGAGGTCCCCTGATCTATGGGATCTAGAGTTCTAGTCCCAGTAGACCTGCCTGCTACTCAGGGCTGTGCTGTGGCATGGGCTGCCTGGTCTTGGTATTGCTTCCAGGATGTTGCAGAGCCCCTGGAATACAGTAGCTGCTCAATAAATATTTGCAACATTAAGAAAGGAAGTCTCCTAGAGCTGCTGTAACAAATTGTCACCAAGTGAGTGGCTTCAAAGAACAGAAATGTATTCTCTCATGGTTCTGGAGCCTGGAAGTTCAAGATGAAGGTGGGGGTTATTTCCTTCTGGAGGCTCTGAGAGAGACTCTGTCCAGGCCTGTCTCCCAGCTTCTTGTGGCTCCCGGCGATCCTTGGTTTCTTAGCTTACAGACACATGGCTCCCATCTGCCTCTCTGTGTCTGTGCATCCCAAATGTTCTCTTCTTTCTCTTGCAAAGACCCCAGTCATTCAGTTTAGAGCCCACCCTAAATCCAGGGTGATTGCATTTAGACCCTTAACTCAATTATGTCTATGAAGACCCTTACTCCAAACCAAGCCCTGCTCTGCAGTTCCATGCAGATGGGAATTCTGGGGTGACACTGTTCCGTCCCAGAGGGACATGCAGAGGGAGGTCAGTATGGAGATGAAGAGGGAGTTCCTCCACACCCCCCAGTCCTGAGCTCATGCAGAGAAACTGATCAGCCTGAACAGAGTTTCACAACCTGGGCTGGGATGAGCAGGTCCAGAATGTGGAGGAAGGGGAGAAGGAAGGAGCAGGATGAAGGGGTGGAGTGTTCATGGGGGGCTCTGACCCAGGCTAGGATCTGCAAGCTCTGCCCTGCCCAGCCTGCACAGAGCTGAAGGAGTGGAGGGGACAAGGCTCCCCCACTACCAGGGCCCAGCTTTGGGCCCCAGGAAACCCCCCATTTCTCTGCTTATCTCCTGCCCCCCTGACCCTCCTCTCACTCCTTCCCTACCCCTTCAAGCCCCAGTAGCTTTAAGTCCCAAACCCAACAACTTCCCTTAAGCCTGAAGGGTGCCAAGCTGCGACCCCCTTGGAGGTGCTTTACTCTGGAAAGAATGAAATCTTTTTTTTTTTTTTTCCTTTCTTTGAGAGAGAGTTTCACTCTTGTTGCCCAGGCTGGAGTGCAATGGCATAATCTCGGCTCACGTGCAAACTCCACCTCCCGGGTTCAAGCGATTCTCTTGCCTTAGCCTCACAAGTTACTGGGATTACAGGCACCCGCCACCATGCCTGGCTAATTTTTGTGTTTTTAGTAGAGACGAGTTTTTGCCATGTTGTTCAGGCTGGTCTCGAACTCCTGACCTCAAGTGATCCACCCGCCTCAGCCTCCCAAAGTGCTGGAATTACAGGAATGAGCCACCATGCCCAGCCCAAGAATTAAATCCTAAACAACAGGAATAAGCTGGAAAGAGGTCTACCTATGGGTCAAGAAGTGTTTCTGGGCATCAGGCCATCTCAGCCAGGTCCTCAATGATCCCCTTTTTGGCACAAAAATTGAATCAGCGCTATTGGTAATTTCAAATTTAAAACTGCAATAGAGAAAGAGGACAAAGATGTTCACTTTGGGTTGTCCATATGATATCACCAAAACAGTGGGTCAGTGGGCACGGTGGTTCACACCTGGAATCTCAGCACTTTTGGAGGCCAAGGCAGGTGGATTGCTTGAGGCCAGGAGTTCAAGACCAGCCTGGGCAACATAATGAGATCACCTTCTGTAAAAAACTTGAAAAATTAGCCAGGCGTGGTGATGCATGGATGTAGTCCCAGCTACTGGGGAGGCTTGGTGAGAAGATCAGTGGTGCTCGTGAGGTTGAGGCTGTAGTGAGCCATGATCACGCCACTGCACTCCAACCTGGGTGACAGAACGAGACCCTGTCTCAAATAATAATAATAATAAGCATGTCAATTCAGTCAACACAGTTGACCTGAGAAGGACGCAGTGTATCCCAGGAGTGACAGTGACCTGTCCTCTCAGTCCTACAGGCACCGCGGCCTCAGAGGCCACGTCATACACACATGGGCTTCTTTCAGAGGTGAGGCATTCTGGCTTCCCAGAGGACATCTGGGTTTCTGGAGGGATCTCCGGCAAGTCCTTTGTTGCTTCCATCTATGACAGAGTCTTTTCCCGCCACCGGGAAGGTTCTATCTGTGGTATTTGTGAAGGATGATTGACTTCCAGGGATCTTTGTTGTGCTATCAGCCATAATTATTTTAATTCAAACATACTCCAGTATAGGACTGACATCATAAATGCTGTTTTCTAGAACAAATAGCTGTCAGGGCTGTCAAGCAGGGCTGCTTACTGTTTTACATCATTACAATATTTAATTTCAACTCTGCTATTTTTTTTCTCACTGAGCACTTTTCAAGACTGTTTCTTCCACTTCTATCTGGAAAAATGGAAACCAGGAAAGCAAGAACGAAGAAGCTGTTCTTTCACATCAAAGCAATTATTGACATGGAGGCTAAATGAGAAAGAAGGAAAGAGAAAGAGAGAGAGGAAGGGAGGAAGGGAGGGAGAGAAGAAGGAAGGAGGGAAAGAAAGAGAAAGAAAATGCTGGTAATTCAGTATTAGAGAAGAAATGAAAATTGGAGAGAAAGATAAGAAAAGGAAGGAAGGGAAGGAGGAAAGAAGGAAGAGAGAAAGGAAAGAAGGAAGAAGGAAAGGAGGGAAGAAGGAAAAGAGAGGTCACTGATTCAGTTTATGACTGGGACAACTTTTTGGCTGGCCAGGTAGAAGTAATGAATAACTGAGTTTCTTTTGCTACCTGAGTACTTACCAGAGAAAGGGCAAAGGACCCAAGAGTCTCAGTGGCCTGGTTAATTGCACTGGCTCCTTTGCATTATGCTTTTATGGTCTTGATGAACAGATCAATCTCAAATCAGGTAGGTTTTGATTGAAGACCAATAACTTATTAAATTCCACAATGTACTGAGCTGCTTTTACGTTTTTTTCATAAATTTTTATTTTGAAATTGTTTCAAATTAGGAAAAGTTGCAAGAATAGCAGCAGGAACTCCCACATACCCCACCATATTCCATGGAGTTCCATTTGTGCTTTATCACCGTCTTGCTTTCTCTGTGCACATTCTTTTTTTTTTTTTTTTGAGATGGAGTCTGTTGCCCAGGCTGGAGTGCAGTGGGGCACAATCTTGGCTCACTGCAACCTCCGCCTCCCAGGTTCAAGCGATTCTCCTGCCTCAGCCTCCCAAGTAGCTGGGATTACAGGTGCACGCCGCCACGCCCAGGTAATTTTTGTGTATTTAGTAGAGACGGGGTTTCACCATGTTGGCCAGGATGGTCTCGATCTTTTGACCTCATGATCCGCCCACCTTGTCCTCCCAAAGTGCTGGGATTACAGGCGTGAGCCACCACACCCGGCCCTCTGTGCACATTCTTTTTCTCCTGCACCTTTTGAGAGTAAGTCTGAGACATCACGTCTCTTCCTCTAGGTGCACTTTTCTGAGAATAAAGACTTTCTCTTACCTAACTGAAGTACAACAATCAAAATCAGGAAACTTGCCATTGATAAGATATTATTTTCTCATCCACAGTCTTTTATTTATTTATTTGTTTATTTATTTATTTTTTGAGACAGAGTCTCACTCTGTCACCCAGGCTGGAGTGCAGTGGTGTGATCTCAGCTCACTGCAACCTCCGCCTCCTGGGTTCAAGTGATTCTCCCACCTCAGTCTCCCAAGTAGCTGGGATTACAGGCACCCACCACCATGCCTGGCTAATTTTTTTGTATTTTTAGTAGAGACAGGGTTTGACCATATTGGCCAGGCTGGTCTCAAACTCCCAACCTCAGATGATCCGCCCACCTCAGCCTCCCAAAGTGCTGGGATTACAGATGTGAGCCACCACTCCCAGCCCCACAGTTCATATTAAATTCCACCAGTTATCCAAATAATATCCTTTCTTGCCATGAGCTGCGTGGTCCAGAACCAAACTGGCGACCACAAGCTGCATTGGCCACTCTCATTAGCTTCCTTTAATCTGAACCAACTTCTCAGCCTTTCTTCACCTTCCTTTACCGTAACATTTTTGAAGACTATGGGCCAGTTATTTTGCAGAACATACCCCAATTTGGGTTCTTCTGATGTTTCTTAGTGATCGGTTCAGGTCAGGCATTTTTTCTGGGAACGCCATGGAAGTGACACTGCGTCCTCCCCAGTGCATCATATCTGGAGGCACCTGGCCCTTTGTCATCATATTGGTGAAACTACCCTTAATCATGTGGTTCAGGTGCTGTCTGCCAGGTGTTTCCACAATGACGTTACTCTCTTCTCTTTGTATTTAATAAACAATTTGTGAAGAGATGTTTGGAGGTGCATAAATACCTTGATCTTAATTGTGCTCTCACCCACTAATGTCAGCATCTGTTGGTGACCTTTCTGTCGCTGTCATCCCTTCTGTATTTATTCCTTGGCATCCTACCATGAAGGTTTCCCTGCCCCCGGTTGTTTGTTTCCATGGACTTTTGTTCCCTGTAATGTTCCGTCATCTCCAAATTCCCCTCCATGCCAACCCCGTACTGAAGACATCAGCAACAGGTTCAACCCTAACATACTTTTCAGGCTGGCTGGCCACTTCCTCCTTAGAGTTAGAACAACCCAGAATTATGGACACTCACTTAATTCAGCAAAATGCTTTTACAGATAGCGTGGCTGAAGCTAAAAGGAGAGAAGGGAAATGCCAAGAGGAACAGTACCATGGCAGAGCTTGGGCTCCTGGCCTGGTACTTGTAGCTGGGGAAGCGTCCCTGGGAGCAGAGCTCTCTGCAGTTGCCGGGACTTGCTGGCTGTGACTTAGCAACAGTGGTTCCAGTGCCTTATGAGATAGAAACTCCTTGGGTACTGGCTTTGTGTTGTTCCCATCTGTGTCCCCCAGAGCCACGTCACAGGCTCTCTAATTAGGATGCCCTCCCAGAGA
Organism: Homo sapiens; assembly: GCF_000001405.40. NCBI lineage: Eukaryota > Metazoa > Chordata > Mammalia > Primates > Hominidae > Homo > Homo sapiens. The sequence goes on along the minus strand of NC_000017.11, from coordinate 77,658,029 downwards.
CATGTTGGGCAAATGAATGAATAAACACATGACTTAAATTCGAGAGGATCCAACCAGTGCCTGGGCAGAAGAAACCCGTAAGAAGGCAGAAGTGTGTGTCAACAATAGGAAGCAGGCGGCTTTCTATTGGCTGGTTATTGGTTTCTAACTAGCTAGGTACCAACTGCAGAGGATGATTAGGGACCACTCCCAGAGAAGCCAGCCAAACTCAGCTCTCCTCTGAGATGCACAAGAGGTAACATTCAAAATCTTTCCCCCAAAACTCTAATAACATGAAAGCACATTCAGCAAACGGTCTTCAGACTTTGGTTTCCTCATTGAAAATGACAACTATGGATTTTATTATCTCTAAGGTCCCTGCCCCTTGCTGTGATGCTAGAATCTAGAACTATAATCTACCCAGGACCTTACCAGCTTTAATTAAGACAGCATCTCTTACGTAAAACCAAGAAATAATTAGCCCTAACAGTAGAAGCAGAAACAGATTCGTGATTCATGATTTTTCTAATTGTTCTCCCTTCTGCACACTTGAACCTCCCCTCCCCTGCCTGGAGTAACATATGTTCTACATGCACACGGACAAATAGAATACACACGAGCATAAATGAGCAGGATTGGGCGGGGTGGAGCAGGCGGGGGGAGCTGATTCTCAGCCAGCTGCTCACTGTTTTCCCACTCTGGGTGTCTCTCGGCACTGGGTGCAGAGGAACAGAATCCTGTTATCTTGCTCGCCAGCACGATGTACTATAAAACATCCATAAATTCCCTGACATTCTAGTGACCTTCGTAGGGTCTGAAAGAGCCACATTTTACACCAAAGATGGAGCTGTAAATATTCTATCTGTGCAGTAAACACCGCACTGACGCTGGCACCTCGCTCATGTCCTCTGTGCCACCACCTCTCAGAAGAGATGGATTTACTGCCATGGAAAATTCCGGCCCCAAGGCAGGCGGCTTGCCACAACCCAGCATCTCAGCATCTTGCTTCTTGCTGCTGCCTGCTCTCATCACACACACACACACACACACACACACACACACACACTCACGCACGCACACACACTCACCCCCTCCCGTGATTATAAAGCCGGGAGGAGGAAAGCCCCTGAGAAAATTATCCTGGAGCATATCACACGGTGTTAGTGGGTTTTCCAGGTGGCAGGCTTTAGAATGATTTATATTTCATTCTTTTTCTTTTTGCTTATCTGAATTTTAATTTTTCTGCAATAGTCAAATGGGACCTGGCGCAGTGGCTCACGCCTGTAATCCCAACATTTGGGAGGCCGAGACAGGTAGATCACTGAAGGTCGGGAGTTCAAGACCACCTTGGCCAAGATGGTGAAACCCTGTCTCTACTAAAAACACAAAAATTAGCTAGGTATGGTGGTGGGTGCCTGTAATCCCAGCTACTCGGGAGGCTGAGGCAGGAGAATCACTTGAACCTGGGAGGCGGAGTTTGCAGTGAGCCAAGCTCCCACCACTACACACGAGTCTGAATGTGACAGAGCAAGACCCCTTCTAAAAAAAAAAAAGTCAAAAAGTCAAGCAGGTCTTATCTAATTTTTAAATTTTTTTTTAATAAAATACTTTATTTATGGGCAATCACCCCCTGGGAGAAAGGGACTCTAGGAGTGCCAGGATGCCACCTCCACCCCCAGCTCCTGGAACTCTTGGCAGGTCACTTGGCCAGTTGAGTGGCCCAGGCTAATCCTTCCTTCTTGGAGGGGTAAATGGCGGACCTGGGAAGTGCAGGCACCCGGTGGGTTCTTGGCCGAGGGGGACAGTTGTGGTGATCCTCGTTTCTTATGGCTGAGAGTTACCTTAGGGGTTTTCAAAATCCTCTTCTCATCCTTCTCTCAAGACAGCTCTCGGGGCGTGGATGGTCAGTGCAGGCCGGCAGCACCGCCTGTCTCCCATCCACCCCGAGCCTGTTCATCCAGGGTGCAGAGTGCAGGATGGGAATCACTAAGATACCAAGCAGAAAAGGCTGGACCCGCCCTCCACCCTGCAGCCTCTGTCCAGCCTGCAGGAGGGTCAAAGGCAGGGTCTGAGGCAGGGCTGAACCTCATCTCTTGAGGGGGTGAGGGGCAAGCAGGGGGAATGATTGTGGGGCCCTCTGAGCTGCTGGGGAGGTGACCATGGTTCCCGAGTTCCTAGCAGGGCCCTCTCTGAAGACCCCCAAAGGGAGTCAGCCTTGGACTGACAATGGGGAGGAGAGGGATGGTGTGGCTGGGTCTTCGGGGGTGGCAGAGGGTAAACCCACATTAAGGGGCTCCACTTCCATGTCCAGGCCTGCCTCATACTTTGCTGGCCATCACAATGACCCCAAGAGCCAGGTTTTAGGATTCCCAGGTGGAGATTCAGAAACAGCCTTGAGAGGGGATAGGATTTGCCCAGGGTCTCCCAGCTAGGTGGGGTCAAGATGACAGCAGAATCAAACCATTCCACTGCAGTCTGCAGCCTTTCCTCTGCTCCTCGCTGCCCACAGGGGCCCAGCACAGACCCCCACAGCCACCATGGTGTGACCCAAAACATACGAGGGGCAGCTCCTTCCAAACCGGGGGCTCTCAGGGAGCACGGGGCAGCCTCCCAGGGGCCAGGTCTTGCCCAGCTGGGAAAACCTCTGTGCTCTCAGCTTGGTGTAGGCAGAAAGAGACAGACGAACCAATTACTCCCAAAAATCAAATCCCAGCCTCCTCAGCCTCAACCTTTCCTCCCCAGAGAGGAGGACTTCACTTCCCCTGTCCACCCACCTCTACCCGAGAAATCAGGGGTTAACCATAAGCGCCTCATCCCGCCTCCCCGCTGTGGCTCCTCACCCTCCAACTTATTTCTGCGATTGTAATTAAGGTCCTGACAGAGAGGGTTGGCTGCCCTGAGCTCTTAGCTCCATTTATTGATGAGCCATTTCTCAGAAGTTCATTACCATCCCGAGGCCGGGGATGGGAAACCGGGTCTCTGTGGTTTCTCAAGGCTTGGGCTGCTCCCGATGATTGAATGCAAGCACAACACATCCATCCTGCATGAGCAGCTCTACCCAAGGTCACACATTCATGCAAAACAGAAGCCGGGATCTGCATGTTTAAATATCAGCAGCGGGCATGCCCGCAAGACAATTCTGAAAGCGGGAGAGGGGAAAGACAGGGAGGCAAGAAAGAATGACAGGAAATGGCCCGTGGAGAGAAAGGAGGCTCCTGCAAGGATTCCTACACCCAACACAAAAACCTGGGGTCCCCCACACCCAAACAATGGCTACAAAGTGGGCTTTCCACATAGAAACCTGTGTATCCTAATGGATAAAAACCCAAGGATAAGAATGAAAAATTGGCGTCTTAGCCTCTGAGTGACCCAGAAACAGGGCCCGCCTGAGACAGGTTTGCTGGGGGGATTTTATTGAGAAGTGTGGCTCCAGGGAGCAGACAGGAGGGGTGGGAGGGATACACTTTTGCTTGGGCTGGGAGATGGTGGTGGGACTGGACTTTGGCTTCCGTCCCCTCTGGACATTGGCCCCCACACTCTGGGTGGCACCAGGCCTTGCCCAGGTGAGGCGCTGTCAGGAGGCCCTGCCAGGCAGACACCAGCCTGAGCCCCAGCAGAGCACGAGCTCCAGGGAAAGAGGAGGCAAGGCAGGCCTGGAGAAGAGGTGTTGGCTACAACCAGGAACGAGGTGCCTGCTCACCTGAGCATGCTAAGTGCCTGTTGGGGTTCAGCACCTCCCCATACAACCCCCCATCCTGCCCTTGGGATGGGACCTATGGACTGGGAAGGAATGGTGCCGAGCATTCATCAGACAATCTCTGGATCCACAAAAATGTGTGACCGTGATGTGGGCCACGAAGGAGAGGCAGTGGGATTGAGAACCAGGAGGAACAAGAGGAAGGTCCCCTGGCAATGGAAGATCAGGAGAAATCAGAAGAGGCTTCTCGGAGGAAGTGGTGGATCAGGGCAAGATCTCAGGAGAGACAGGGGTTTCCTGGGTGAAAAGGATGGAGGCATTCCCAGCCTGTGCCGAGGGCTGCCGTGTGTCTGATGGCTGACCTTGGGCAGGTGGGCTGGAGCTCAAAGTAGGGGCAGGCAGCAGGGAGGAGGGCAGGACCACCTGCTGCAGGTGACCATCGGCACCTGGGCTTTATCTTCAGACCTTTAAGGAAGGCACTGAGAGCATTAAGGGGGGAAGGAAGACATTATCGCTTTTGCATTTTGAAAAATTTACTCCAGTTGTTCTACAGAGAATGGAGTAGAAGGAGGTGGGAGAAGAGTTGGGAGGCGGGGACCACTGTCCAGGCAAGAGGTGATGGAGATTTGGGTGGTGGTGAAGAAGGTGGAGAGAGGAGGTGATTGAGATATTTGGAGGGCGGTAAAATCATAGGCCTTGGTGATGGTTTAGACAAGAGGGTGGAGGGAGGGGATACAAGGATGATTCTAGGTTTAGGGAACTGGTAAAAAAATGGGATCTGCAGCAGTTATGAAGAAGGTAGATTTCTGGATGCTGACATGGGAAGAGGCACAGGCACACTGTTCATGCACAGACCCAGGTCTGGAAGGCCATATACACCCAGGCGGTGAAAGTGGTCACTTTGAATGGAGAAGGCAGACAGGAGAGAGAGGGACGTCCACTGTTTACACTATGAAATGGACCAACAGGTTTGGTCCATGAGTTGCTCATATATAGTAATTTAACCTTTTAAATACTTTTTAAAAAAAGGCCAATAAGCACATGCAAAGATGCTTGCATCATTAATCCAGGAGATGAAAACTAAAAACAAAATGAGATACCACTATGCAGCTGCTAGAAGGCTAAAATTTAAAGACTGAGAACACCAAATGTTGATGAGAATGTGGAACAGTTGGAACTCTCCTACATCGCCGGTGGGGATGTAAAATGGTATAGCTGCTTTGGGCCGGGTGCGGTGGTTCACGCCTGTAATCCCAGCACTTTGGGAGGCCGAGGCGGGCAGATCACGAGGTCAGGAGATTGAGACCATCCTGGCTAACATGGTGAAACCCCATCTCTACTAGAAACACACACACACACACACACACAAAATAATTAGCCAGGTGTGGTGGCGAGTGCCTGTATTCCCAGCTACTCGGGAGGCTGAGGCAGGAGAATGGCATGAACCTGGGAGGTGGAGCTTGCAGTGAACCGAGATCAGGCCACTGCATTCCAGGCTGGGCAACAGAGCGAGACTCCGTCTCAAAAAACAAAAAACAAAAAACAACACCAAAAAATACTGGTATAGCTACTTTGGAAACTAGCGGTTTCTTATGAAGCTAAACATACACTTATCATATGACCCAGGAATCTCAGCCCAAGAGAAATAAAAACATGTGTGCATACACAGACCTGTGCATGAACACTCAGGGGATCCTTGCTTATCATAGCCCAAAATTTGCCACATGCATGTATCTATATCTAGTAAATAGATCAACAAGCAAAGTACGCCCCTACACTGAAAGATTACTCCATACTAAAAAGGAAATAACTATTGACACATGGAACCACGTGGATGCATCTCAAAGGCATTATGTCAACTGAAAGAAGCCAGAGGCAGCTCAATGCACAAAACATGGTGTGATGTTGTGATATAATAAGAAATATATACTTAGTCTTCATCCCAGTTCCTGGCACAGAGCTCCTAAAACCTTTGTAATTTTCTGAGTGATAGGGGTGGTAGGAGTGTCTTTTGTTATAATATGTAGTCTCAGTCTTTGGTTCCTGATGCAAGAGTTTCTAAGACCCTTGGAATCCCTGAAGTTGGCAAGAGTTTCTAAGGCCCTTGGAATCCCTGAAGTTGTCTTTTTGTATGTTAATGAGATGACTGGTGGCCAGAGCCCCCTACGCAGCTTCAGGGTGGAGCTGGGTGCAGGGAAGACCAACCATGTGATTGGAGGGTTGGAACTTTCAGCTCCACCCAGTGACCTTCGAGGAGGGAGGAACGGCTCGAGATTGAGTCAATCACCAGTGGCCAATGATTTAATCAATGATGCCTATGTAACAGAACCATCAAACCCCCTAAACTATGAGGTTCAGAGAGCATCCGGGTTGGTGAACATGTGCAAGTGACAGATGGGTGGCTGAAAGGCGTGGAAGCTCCCTGCCCCTTTCCTCATACATTGCGCTAAGCATGTTCTTCCATTTGGCTAATCCTGAATTGCATCCTTAATAATAAAGCAGTACATGTAAGAAAATTGTTTTTCCTGAGTTCTGTGAATTGCTCCAGCAAATTATCAAATCCAAGGAGCGGGGCATAAGAACTCTTGACTGTGTAGCCAAGCTGGACAGAAGTGTGGGTACCCTGGGTACCCACAATATTTGCAGTGGGGGCAGTCTTGTGGGATGGAGCCCTTAACCTGCGGAGTCTGACACTCACTCTCGGCAATTAATGAGTTGAACCATTGGACACCCAGTTGGTGTCTGGAGAGTTGGAGAATTGACTGTTGGGGAAAAAAGCCCACACATTTGGTATCAAAAGTGTTCTGTGTGTAGAAACAAATAATGAGTAGCATAATCTGTGATTCCGTTTGTGTGATATTCCAGAGAAGACAAAATAATAGGAGCAGCAAGTGGATCAGTATTGCCTGCTGGGAAGGGAGGGAATGTCCCCAAAGGGACATGAGTGAAATTTTCAGGTGATATAAATATTCCATATCTTAATTATGATGGTTGTTACATGGGTATATACGTTTTCCAAAATGTTTTAAATGGCACACTTATAGAGGCTGACTTTTGTTGTATATAAACTATACCTTAATATATCTGACATTTTTTAAAACTGAGGGGAAACACAGAGTTTTTTTAGGTGAAACTATTGTATATGATATTGTAATAGTGGATACATGACGCTGTGCATTTGCCCCAGCCCACAGAACTTCACGGCCCAAAGAACGAATCTTAATGTATGCAAAATTTTTGAAGTCATTTAGAAGGTCAGGAGATCCTAAGGTGGAATGCAGAATGTGACCAAAGAATCCAAACATATTCCAAATGCATGAAACAGTCTCGCCAATGTGGACAGAGGAAAAGATGCTCACTTAAGTAACTTTGGGAACGAGCAGAGTCTGTGAAACTAAAGGCAAAAGGAACTGTACACAAGCACTGCGCTGTAATTGATAAAGCTGTGTCCCATACTGGTATGGGTTCATGATTCTGAAAACAGTATATATGTCTACAGGAACTGAACAACTAGGTAAATGGATGGCAGATGGTGGGAGGCAGCTTCTACAAAGCAGTTGTGACATTAATTCCCCAGAGTTAGGCCAAACCTCACAAGTCAAGCACACAGTCCTCCCCAGACTGCCCTCACTTCAGACACCAGCTGAATGAAGCTTGGGGGCCCCTCACTTCTGACCAGCTGGCGACAAATGCAGGCGTTCCCATGACCCACTCAGGTTTGGTAATTTGCAACAATGCCTCACAGGACCCAGGAAAGCATTATACTTGCTATTACAGTTTTCTTATAGCAAAAAAGATACAATCAGGACTAGCTGAAAGAAGAGACTCATAAGGCAAGACCAGGGAGGGTCCCAAATGTGAAGCTTCTGCATGTTCTCCCTCTGGAGTCAGGATGCATCATTTTCCCCCCACGCTGATGTGCATGATATGAAGAGTGCTGTTAACCTCGGAAGTTCACCCAAGCTTTGGGGACTGTAGGAGATCGATCAGGTGGGAAAAACTGTAGAAAGATGCAAACCTCCTTAGAAGGCCAGGGGTCTGCAAAGCTTTGAAAGAAAATTTGGCTGAAGGCAGCTGAATTCTCTGAAGAGCTTAAGTTAGATAACGAAAGGATGTAAAGAAACTGATGTTGATAAGTTAGTTTACTTAGGCCTCAAAACCTGGCTTTAATCATCTGCACCCAAGACTACTCTCTCTGGGGTGGGGGTGGTGACCACGTTGATTAACCACAAGTGTGTTGACTCAAAGCCTTTGTCATGAAATCTGTGCTGAATAAATATCCGCAGTGCCAGCTGGTCAAGGCTGTGGCTGCCGACTCTTTACAGCACCCTCCTCAGGGTCTGTAAGCAGCCCAGTCCCCTAGCCTGCTCTTTCACTGGATACCTGTCTCTGAGTGCATTCCTTCATCCGTCGTTTGGCCAAAGTCTATGGGCTGGACCCGCCAGGGGACCAGAGTTTCTATGGGGTTTTATTATGTAGGAATGATTGATTGAGTCACTGGCCACATGATGGAGCTCAATCTCCTCCCTGGAGGCTAAGCTGATACCACGTGGTTCAAAGCCCCATCCCTCCATCCCTCCAACCACACAGTTGGCCTTTCTGGCCTGGCCAGCCTCCATCTTGAATCATCTCGTTAGAATGAACTATCTAGGGGCCCACCATGTGTTACCTCCTTAGCACAACCCCAGGAATTGTCCAAGGGTCCCACTGTGAACAACAAAGATTCTCCTATCACAGGAAATTCAAGGGTTTAGAGACTCTTCCCCAGGAAGCAGGAACAAATACCAGCCAAACCAGCCTTTACCACAGTTTCACATTGCATTTGGAATGAAAAGTTACAAACAAGCAAGGAGAGAAAGTTAGAATGATGCATGCAATTATGGATGAGATTTGGAGAAGTCACTATCAACTCATATTTAATATATGTATTTACAGATGAACTATACTTGACATAGATACAGGTAGTTGCATTTAGAAAGGGGTATAGATGCATATATACACGGATTAGTATAAACATGTATATCTTCTTTCCTGTCTGCTGAGAGGGCCTAAAAAAAATGACATCCCAGGAGTTATGAGCACACTCTGTACCAGCCTATGGTTGCTACCTTCTCTAGTAAAAAGAACCAGGGCCCCTTGGAGAAATGACTAATTCTTGGATTGGGCCTGGAAAGATACAAAATGAGTCTGGAGCATGATGTAGTATCAGAAAGTAAGGAAACACAAAAAAACAAAACAAAACAAAACAAAACAAAAAACAACCACATTAATGGGATATGTCAAAGGGACACAGGAACCAACTGAAAGAGCTCCCGATGGCCAAGGCTGGGACAACTTGAGCAACAAAGTAAATAACATTGCATTGGGTCATCACCCAAAGTATGAAATAAATAGCCATGAGTCTATATGGATATAAATAAATGATTAAATAGGACAATAAACGGGGAAGAATACGTAAATCTAGCTTGCAGAGAATGTATGTACATATCCCACTCTCAAGAAGGTGGAACATCAACATGGCAAAACCCCGTTTCTACTAAAAATACAAAAATTAGCTGGGCACAGGGGCAGGCATCTGTAGCCCCAGCTACTTGGGAGGCTGAGGCATGCAAATCTCTTGAACCTGGGAGGCAGAGGCTGCAGTGAGCAGAGATCATGTCACTGCACTCCAGCCTGGGTGATAGAGCGAGACTCTGTCTCAAAAAAAAAAACAAACAAACAAAGAAGGTGGAACATAACTCTCCTCTGTTTAAGTGTGGGCCCTGCACAGTGACTTCCTTGTACAGAGTACAGTATGGAAAGGGGTAAAAAGGTAACTCCACAGAGAAGAACCCTGACAGACACGATCTCAGCCAGGCAATCAAGGTCACCATCACTGGCAACAAGTTCTGTTGATAGTGCATACCCTTGATATGACAAGTTCACAACGCCACTTTACCTGTGTGCTCTTCCTCCCCAAGACCCATAACCTCCATCTAATCATAAGAAAAACATCCGACAACCCCCAATAGAGGAACATTCTACAAAATGCCTGACCAGGAATCCACACGACTGTTGAGGTCACCAAAAATAAGGAAAGACTGAGAAACTGTCACAGCCAAGAGGAGTCTAAGGAGATGAAGCCTGAGTGTCATGCGGGGTCCTGGATGGGCTCCTGGGACAGGAAAAGGACAGTAGGTAAAAACTAGGGAAGTCTGAATAAATTATAGGCTTGAGTGAATAATAATGTGCCAATATGGATTAATTAATTGTGACAAATGTACCAGAATAATATCAGATGCTAATGAGGGTGTAGGCATTACCCTGCTAAACCAGCAACCTCAGAGTTTCCAGGGTTGGCTGCAGAAGGAGGCCCTGCATACAGGTAAGGCCAACGCAGTCCTGCAGGAGATTCTTAATCTCATCGATTTTAGGCCTGACCATGGGCCTTTAGACATTGCTTCTCAAGGTAGATCTTGGCCTTAAAGTGGATGCTGACCCTTCCAGGCCCTGCAAAGAGCACGCCATGAGACGCCAGTGTGCTTTTGAACGTGCACCTAGGCCTCCAAGGGGCAGCCATGGTTTTCCAGCGGGGATTCTGCCTTGGCAACCTCCAGGAGCACCTGCCACGGCTGGGCTCTGGGTCCTAAGGTGCAGGGATCACCCTGAAAGTGTAGCGGCCATGAGGGTGGTGGGGGCAGGAGCTCGTGCAGGAGAGTGAAAACCAAGGATGTGCAACTGCTTGCAAAGCAGAAAGTGCACTAACACACATGGAAATCCGCACAGCCATCTCCAGCTTGCACGAAAGTACACTAAACACACAGAAATCCGCACGGCCATCTCCAGCTTGCACGAAAGTACACTAAACACACGGAAATCCGCACGGCCATCTCCAGCTTGCACGAAAGTACACTAAACACACGGAAATCCGCACGGCCATCTCCAGCTTGCACGAAAGTACACTAAACACACGGAAATCCGCACGGCCATCTCCAGGTTGCACAAAAGTGCACTAACACACACAGAAATCCGCACAGCCATCTCCAGCTTGCACAAAAGTACACTAAATACACGGAAATCCACACAGCCATCTCCAGCTTGCACAATTGTGCCTCTTTTTAAAACACATATTTGTTTAAAATTAGCCGGACGTGGTGGCACATGCCTGTAATCCCAGCTACTCAGGAGGCTGAGACAGGAGAATTGCTTGAACCCGGGAGGCGGAGGTTGCAGTGAGTAGAGATGGCGCCATTGCACTCCAGCCGGGACAATAGAGCAAGACTCTATCTCAAATATGTTTTTATTCTTTTCTGTATTTTCCAGAATGAGGACAGATTTCCCTTAAGGTCAGACCCCTGCCCCGCAAAAGCTTTCTTTTTATTTTTTGAGACAGAGTCTTGCTCTGTCACCCAGGGTGGACTGCAGTGGCATGATCTCAGCTCATTGCAACCTCCACCTCCTGGGTTCAAGCGATTCTCCTGCCTCAGCCTCCCCAGTAGCTGGGATTACAGGCGCTTGTCACCATGCCCAGCTAATTTTTGTATTTTTAGTAGAGACAGGGTTTCACCATATTGGCCAGGCTGGTCTCGAACTCCTGACCTCAGGTGATCTGCCCACCTTGGCCTCCCAAAGTGCTGGGATTATAGATGTGAGCCACCGTGCCCGGCCAAGCTTTCTTTTTTTATATAAAGCTATGGTTAAAAATGTCTTTTTCACCATTCACATCTTTGGGTAAGAATGTTAACTGTGAAACAGAGGACTGTGAATGCAGTGTAGTGTCTGTCTGTCTCTGTCACTCCCACACGTCCTCCCAACAAGGTTAGTTAAACATGCGAGCTTTAGGTGGCTGCCCTACTAAACCTCTTTTCTCAAAGGAGATGAAGGCCTGTTTTCAATATGTTTGTGAAACAGAAAGGACTTCCTTTCACCAGCCTGAACACAAGCAAAATTCAGATGTATTTCTCCATAGAAGAGAAGCTGTCACCCGGAGTGGCATCACCCCCACCCCCAGCCCCTCGGTGTCTGTCTCCCGCTGTGTCCACCCAGAGTTTCCCACGGCAGACAGTGCCTACCAAGCTCCAGGGGCACCTAGGGAGACGGCCACCAGCTCTGAGGACCCCACAGACAGAAAATCCCCCAATTATTAGGAAATGTAGGTCCCCTGGCCCTCCCCACCGTGCCCACTCGGAACCCGGCCTCGGGTACCCTGGGCCTCATTCCTAGCTTGCCTCCAATGCTGATGGTTTTCACGCCCTGATTGTCATCTCCCGAGTGTCTCTTTAGGATTGGGAGCCACAAGTCACCATAGAGGAGGAGCATGGCTCTGGGATCCCATCTCTGTGCCTGGTTCCTGTACAGTCTTTGAATAAGCCTCTGATGGCCTCTGGGACCCTCCTTTCCCCTTCCCAGGGCTCGGAGCCCTGCTGTACTGGAGCCTTTAGGAATGTGACATTGTTTTGGCCAGGGTTACTTCCTGCAACTACAAAACCCCCCAAAGGAAACAGTAAACCAGCCGCAAAGTTGCAGCGTCCTTAGATGCCACTGCTGGGCAGGGGGGGTGGTGGTGGAGGAGAAGCCTCGTCACCCAGGATGAAATAAGAGCCTGGTGGTTTAGATGGGGGAGGAGGGAAGGGAAGAAAAGTCTTTCTGGGCCATTTCACTCCTCTTTAAGTACAGAAGCTTAGGCTAAAAGAGCATTTCACGGGGCTGAGCTGTGGCCCCGGGGGACCCCGGCTGCCCCCGGAAGGGCTCTCGCCCCGCGGCGTCCCCTCCCGAGTCCCATGCAGGGACGTCAAAGTGAAGCCTTCACCATCATCACCCAAAAAGAACGTGTGCAAGATGTGACCGTTTGTCACCGAGATGGAGTATATGATATGAACCATGGCAAACACCGTAATGACTAATTTCAAACATTTATTACAATTCTTGAGAGACTTGAAAGCTGTCCCCGCTCTTGATTTTAATAAATGCAGTCTTGAAGCAGCCGCTTATCAAAGTGACACAAATTGTGTGGTAAATAGATTATGGCACAGCTGAAATACTGGAAAATGAGATCAGAAATGCTCCTTCTCCTCCATTTAAAACTCCCCGAGATCCTTCAGCCTGAGCCGCAGGGCGAGGCAGCCACCGGGAGCGTGGAGGTGAGAGGATTAGCCCCCAGCGGAGGCAGCTTTTCATCTGCTGCTCACTGAGGCCCCCTGCAGCAGAGCCCGGGAGGCCAGGGTGCCTTCTTCTTGCCCCGGCCCAGCTGGGATGGGGGTCCCAGAATGGGGGAGGAAGGAGAAGGTGGGTCTTGGGTGGGGGCTGAAGCTGGAAGGGGATACTGGTCAGGGGGCTATGGGCACTGACTCACCCGGGGAAGCTCCGCTAGAAAATGCCCCCACCCCCATCTTTTATGCCTCCCTAGCACAGGTTCAATGACTAGCGGATTCCTACTCCCTTCAGCGGTTGGCAGCTCCTGGGCTCTGAGTCTCTCTCCAATCCCTGTCTCCTGGAGCACCTGCCATGTGCCGGGCATAGTGCTAGAGGCTTGGCACACACAGATGGGCAGGGCCAGGCAGATGTTCTTAAGGGGCTTCCAGTCTGGAGGGGGAGGCTGACTTACACACAGTGACATGCTGGGCCTGCCTGGACGTTGGCCAGAGGTAACAGAAGATCCTGGGCAGCCGACCCAGCGCTGTGGGGTGTCTCCTGGCCAGATGGCCTGTGTCCTTGGACCCTGCCCTGCCCAGGATCCCAGGCCCCTTGTCCAGGCTGCCTCCCTCACTCTTCCCTCTGAAGACAGACTGACCAGAGGAAGGTCCCCAGCTTCCCAAAAGGGCAAGGAAATGGGGGGACCCTCTCCTCTGTTCTCCTTAAATCCCTGAACCCAGGAATGGTTGAGACTTGCAGGTTCACAGGACTCATTCACCGCAGGTGGTTCCCTCCTAAAGGGAGGATGCAGTTAGAATCCGTCCTGTGAGCTGTTGCTTAGCACATCCATGAAAAGGCAAATACATGGCCTCTGTGTAGATGCAGGCAGCCACCCTTCCTCGCAAGGACAGCGGCTTCAGGGAGAGCTCCACGGCGCTTTCCAGGAACCTCCATATCAGAATTACAGGAGCAGTGTGGCGTCCCAGAACCTCATTGGTAACTAATTGCCAATGTAACTAGACACATGCTGTTCATCAATGCCAATTAATATTCAAATAAAAAGCACGGCACGTCTATTTATGTGCAGTTTGATGTCCCTGTAAGAAGCCTCATTCTTCAGACTGCCTCCTCCCTCCCCTTCCCTGGGGGGAGGCCACCCCCTTTGCAGCAGTCACCACTGGGGAAGGTGTTCACTGGAGATACTTTGTAGCTAAACTGTAACTCAGCCTCCTCCATGGCCACAGCTGCTCCTGGATCTGGGCACTGGACAAGGTGGCCACCCAACCTCCTCTTGATCAATTCTCCTTTCCTTGTACATCCAAGGACTCAGGACCCGCTCTGTGCTGTTTTTCACTCACAGAGAATGGGGTGGCGGTTTTGCCAAGCGCTTACTCAGGGCATGATAACTCTGAGGAGCAATTCCTATCTGTTTTTAAAAAGTAGGCATTGAATTAAGATATTAAATCATTTATATATTTATACCCAAGTTCATAGATATTAAATTTTACTATTTATTAAATGTTAATCATTCATTAGGTTTCTCAAATTAAACATCAAACCTCTAACAAATTAAATTTAAATAATTAAGTCTATTATTAGAGAGAGAGATTGCCGAGATGGAGGTGGAAGGAAATGCATTCCAGAAACTATTTTTTTTTTTTTAGTCAAAAGAGCACAGGGCCTTGTTATCTCCATGATACATATGGGGAATGGAAGACATGGGAAGTCAGAGGATTTGACCTTGGCCGCCATGCTAATGTAGCTCTGAGCTGGGCTGCAAACCCGCACCTGGTAATGTCCAGGATCCAGTCCGCTGTTTGGACCACACAGAGTATGTTGGATCTTTATGATATGAGGACAGGAGGGTTTGTCAGGCCAGGTTACAGACAGGATGCAAAATACGCTCATTTCCCAGGAGGAAAGGAGGTGAGGAGATGGGGTATTGCGTAGAGGGAACAAACACAGGTGGGGTCCCACAGAGGGAACAGTGGGTACCCAGGGAAGAGAAGAGGGTACCCAACACCCAAGGAGGGCGTGAAGGAGAGGGCAGGTAGAGACAGAACCGGAACATAGACCAGCCGCAGCACCTCAGAGGCTGGGGCACCCCCGTGGAGCTCACTCCTCTGCAGGCCTGTAGCGGGTAGAATGGTGCCCCCAAACCCGTATGTTCATATCCTAATCCCCAGAACCTGTGAATGTGACTGTATTTGGGAAAAGGGTCTTTGAGGATGTAGTGAAGTATCTCAGATGAGATCCTCCTAGATTATCTCAATGACAAATGTCCTTATAAGAAACTCAAGAGGGGTGGGCAAGGTGGCTCACACCTGTAATCTCAGCACTTTGGGAGGCCGAAGCTGGTGGATCACCTGAGGTCAGGAGCTCGAGACCAGCCTGACCAACATGGTAAAACCCTGTCTCTACTAAAAATACAAAATCAGCTGGGTGTAGTGGTGGGCACCTGTAATCTCAGCTACTTGGGAGACTGAGGCAGGAGAATCGCTCAAACCCAGGAGGCAGAGGTTGCAGTGAGCCGAGATCGCGCCACTGCACTCCAGCCTGGGCAATAAGAGTGAAATTCCGTCCCAAGAAAAAATAAAAATAAAAATAAAAAAGAAACTCAAGAAGAGAAGAACAGAGAGAAGAAGAGAAGGGCGCATAAAGACAGAGGCAGAGGTTGGAATGGTGCCACCACAGTGCGGGAATCAAGATGACCACCAGAAGCTGGAAGAGGCAGAGAACAGAATCCCCTAGGGCCTCTGCCAGGAGCACGACCCTGATGACCTCTTGATTTCAGACTCCCAACCTCAGCACTGTGAGAAGGGACACTGCTGTTGTTCTACGCCACCCAGTTTGTAGGAATTTGTTACAGCAGCCCTAGGAAGCTAATACAATGCCAATGGAACTTGCCTGTTCCCTCTGTGACAATGTCATGGAAAGATGCTGCAGGGAGGCCCTGCCCCCACCCCAGCTATGCCAGGCTCTGCTTGGCCCATTCCTCTGCAAAAGGATGCAGCACCGTGCTTGGGGCACTCACCATCCAATCAGCAGGGAGGGAGGGGGCCTACCTGACTTGTTGGGGCAGGGCCGGTGTGGAGGAAGGAGTTGCTCTCTCTACCACTCAGATTCAGGCCAGTGACAGACAGCATGGACAGCCACAGACAGGCTGTGATTTTTAAAAAATTCTACCCATGGAAATCCAAACTTATACGGACATGGGTTGGTCATGGTTAATCCTATCGTAAAATGATTCTTCACTTTACAACCAGCTGCTGCTGCCACTCCTCTTCCTCCTCCTCCTCCTTCCCTTCCTCCTCCTCCTCCTCCTGTTCCTTGTCCTCCTCCTCTTCCTCTCCTCCTCTTCCTCCTCCTTCTTCTTTGTCTTCGTCTTTGTCTTCATCTTCGTCTTCCTTGATAGGGTCTTGCTCTGTCACCCAGGCTGGAGTACAGTGGCATAATCACAGCTCATTGCAGCCATGAAGTCCTGGGCTCAGGGAATCCTCCTGCCTTAACCTGGGATTACAGGTGTGAGACACCACATTTGGCTAATTTTTAATTTTTAATTTTGTAGAGATGGGGTCTTGCTCTGTTGCCCAGGCTGATCTCCAACTCCTGGCCTCAAGTGATCCTCCCACCTCAGCCTCCTAAAGCACTGGCATTGCAGGTGTGAGCCACGGTGCTGCACCGCAAGCAGCTTCTTCTAAACAGAAGACCCTTTGGTCCATTTCAAGTATCGATGGATTTTGCTGATCACTTGCTGAGGCAGCTTTCACCCCTTCAGGGGTCACTCCCCGGCTGCATTTCCACCCTTAGGTTCAAGCCTGAACAGATCGCCCAGCCTCCAGGCAAAGCTACATCTCCCCTTCTGCCCTGCTCATCCTCCTGGCATCCTGGCCCTCATTGGCCTCCCAGCTCTAGGCTCTGCCCACTGTGTCCCACAATCCAGGATGCCACTGTCTTGCTCAAAGCCCTAAACTTCCTCACTGCCAAACAAACTCAGCACACACTCAACCACCTGCCATGCAAAGCCATGCAGACATGGCCTCAGCAACCTTTCTGGTCTTTTCTCCACCTGCACCCATGTAGACTCAGAGCTCCAGGCATGCTGAGCACAATAGAGACCTCTGGCTGTAGTCTAAGTGCTCCCCAGCGCTCCCCCGGCCCTGGCTCCTGCTCTTACCCTCTCCTGGAGGAATGCCTTCCCTCCCTTGACTTCTAGTACTTGCAGCCCGGTCACAGTACAAGGTTCACCTCCAATGAGATCTCTCCCACAAGGTCTCTTCAGTCTCCCTCAGAAGGATATGACCCTCCCCATGGAACTCTTCCCACCCCCACCACCGCCCACACACGCACATGGAATTTGCTCCCAGGGTCCTCTTTGCACTCCGTATATGACACCTTCATTCAGCTTCTTTGCTGCAGAGGACACATCTCATGGTGCACAGAGTGCAGACTTCGGGGTCAGAAGACCCAGTGCCAACCCCCATCCTGCATTTAAGCTGCAAGGGCTACCTTAAGCCACTTTGACACCCTCGGCTTCAGTCACCAGCTTAGACTACGGGCTGGTCTAGACCAGCGGCTTTCAACTTCTCTTTGGCTGTAGAATCTAATCTTCAAATAAAATCTTACGCGAGGAAGGAAAGATCTATTATCTCACCTGTGTGTCCCATCTTCCTCCGGCCCCACCCAGGTCCACCCCAGCCCATTTCAAAGGGAAAGAGCTTTGTCTCTGCCTCTCCCCAGCTCCACCTTCCTGCCTCTATGCCCTGCCTCCTGGGAGAGGTTCCCTCCCACCTAGCTCCTGGCCTCCTGGGGAGTGGAACTGGAAAGAGGAGGAGAGAGGCACTGGACCAAAGGAAATAAAGGAAATAGATCTTATGTGGGGAGTCAGTTCCTGGGCTTCTGTTGTGGAGAATCCAGGTCATTGGTGATGTAAAAAGGGAAAGTGAAAAAGGAGCTGGAGAGGCCAGGTGAAGTGACTTATGCCTGTAATCCCAGCACTTAGAGAGGCCGAGGCAGGAGGATCACTTGAGGTCAGGAGTTCAAGACCAGCCTGGCCAACGTGGTGAAACCCCGTCTCTCCTAAAAATACAAAAATTAGCCAGGTATGGTGGTGGGCACCTGTAATCCCAGCTACTCGGGAGGCAGAGGCAGGAGAATTGCTTGAACCTGGGAGGCAGAGGTTGCAGTGAGCTGAGATCGTATCACTGCACTCCAGCCTGGGCAACAGAGGAAACGGAAGAAGAAGAAAGAAGAAAGCAGGAGAAGAAGAAGAGGAAGAGGAGGAAGAGGAAGAGGAAGAAGGAGGAGGAGGGAAGAGGAGGAGGGAGGAGGAGGGAAGAGGAGGAGGGAGGAGGAGGAGGAAGGAGGAAGGAAGGAGGAAGAAGAAGAAGAAGAAGAAGAAGAAGAAGAAGAAGAAGAAGAAGAAGAAGAAGAAGAAGAAGAAGAAGCAGCAGCAGCAGCAGCAGCAGCAGCAGCAGCTGGAGAGACAGAAAGAAAGAGAGAGCGAGAGAAGGAGGGAGGGAGGAGAGAGAAATTGACTAATTGCTGCCTGGACAAGGTCAGAAAGCTTGGTGTCAGGGGTCTCCAGAGGGAGGTCTCTTTTTAAGGAACGGGCTTGCCTGATTAGGGGGACTGGTAAGTCTGGCATCTGTAAGACAGGCCAGCAGGCTGGACCCCAGGCAGGAGGAGATGCTGCAAGCTTGAGGCAGAATTTATTCTTCTCAGGGAAACCTCAGTTTTTGCCCTTAAGGTCTTCCACTGATGGGACAAGGCTCATTCACATTTTCGAGGGTCATCTTTTTTACTTAAAGTCAGCTTATGGTAGATGTCAACCACCTCTACAACATACCTTCACAGTAACACCTGGCTTCATGTCTGATCAAATAACTGGGTGCTACAGACTGGCCAAGTGGACTCACAGCCTGATCCTTGCCATTGGTGAGTTAGATGCTACAACATCTAAGAGAGCCAGGGAGGAGAGGAAGGATGCTGGGACATGAATCCCCTTTAATCCTCTTGGGGCTGCCAGATCCAGCCTCTTTGAGTGTCTGGAGACTGGGCCCCACAAGACCTTGGTTTATATTCAGGTTATTCTAACAAGGCAGCCGATCTATGCGAGAAGCCCAGACCTGCTGTGTTTTGAAGAGGGCTGGGGTGGCTGGTCCGGCTCTGCCCCCGACCTTGGTGCCTCAACTCTGTGCAACTCACCACACCCCCTCAGCAGGCAGCTCATTGCTCAGGGATGATCTTCCATGTAGACAAGATTATGCCTGGAGAAAGCGGAGAGCCAAAGGGAAAGACCTTATTATCCTGTAACATTCTCTATCCCTTTACAAACCCAAGTTGGCAGAGGCTGTTTGGTTCTCTAGTGCCAAGCACAGGATTCAGGCTGGAGTGAAGTTCTTCACAAATCACAGAGCAGGTCACTGAGGAAGTCCCCGCTTCCCCCCCACCCCACCCCCCCCCCTTTTTTTTTTGAGACAGAATCCCGCTCTGTCGCCCAGACTGGAGTGCAGTGATGCAATCTTGGCTCACTGCAACCTCCACCTCCTGGGTTCAAGCGATTCTCCTGCCTCAGCCTCCGGAGTAGCTGGGATTACAGGCTCCTGCCACCATGCCCTGTTAATTTTTGTATTTTCAGCAGAGACGAGATTTCGCCATGTTGGCCAAGCTGGTCTCACACTCCTGACCGCAAGTGATCCACCTGCCTCAGCTTCCCAAAGTGCTGGGATTACAGGCATGAGCCACTGCGCCTGGCCCCCACTTCTTTCCGTCTCTCCTAGGTCTGCACATTCAGTTGTGTGCAGACGTGAATGCACTCCTGCCTGCAGACACATTTAGCTCAGCCTGGGGCACCCCTGTGAGTTCATTAGGCCTGGTGTAGCCACAGGGGACACACGTGTACCAGCTAAAAGACAGACTAGCAGCCTGCATCCCCGTAGCCCCAAATCAAAGTCTGGTGAGCACCATAGTCTGGGATCCAGAACATCCCCTCTGCCATTTCCCATCAAGCAAATAATTCTCACTGCAGTGTCAGGATTGGACTTGCAAAAGACACAGACATTTGATGCAATCATCTCTGAGCCCTTTCTCATGCCCAGTTCCTCTCCTTGCTATTTAATCACCTCTGTATGGAACCTTGTGGTTTCTTTCCCACCCCAAGGCTGTGTCGGGGGCCAGGCTCCCGAGGAGTCTTGGGAAGCCTCCGGCTTATTGATGGAGATGCTTATACTGGCTCGTTGCCATGGCAACCTGCTGGCTGAGCAGAGAGGCGCAGCCAGGGCTCTGGGGTCTGCCGTGTGGTGCCGTGGGGGTGGGTTGCTGACGATGATTACCCAGGAATGTCTCTTTCGGGAGCCCCAGAGGAGGAGCTGCCTTCCAGTCTGACATGGCTGGGGTCTAGATCTGAAACCGCCACACAAGATAGGAACACCCTCCAGGCTGGGATCAACTGTCAGGAAGAAACTCAGATTCTTAAGTCATCCAAAAGGAAGAGAGGCTTTCGTGCCACGCCCTGGAAATCGCCTCAGTCCCCAGCAATGCAAGAGGAGCTCAGAGAGGCAGGTGCAGGCAGCTCCGCCCCACCTGGAGGGAGAAAGTCTCAGTCCTGAGCTGCCCCAAGGCCCCCTCCTCCCGTCTTCCTACCTGGAGAGGAGGGTGCACAGGCCCTAAGGTCCTCGCCTTCCTCCCCTGAGCGCTCCTGTCCCGCATCAGAGGTGGCCGGACACTCTCTGTGAGGCAGGGCAAGTGTCCCAGACATTTCCCAGCAACAGCGCTCCCGCCCACTCCCCATCCTCTTCGTGCTCTTGGCCCCAGTTCTGTCTGGCGATCTGATAGGAGCATGGGTTACTGGAACCTGTCACTGCAGGCAGCCCAGGTGCTGGGGGAGGGGAAGGGGAAGAGATGAGGGGGAGGGGAGATTCAGCATCCCCAGGCGGGGACAGACATCCAGGGAGACCCCATGCCCTGGAGAGAGGGAGGAGGCCAATCCCCTGGAGCCTGGGTTAGGGCCTTTCCATGGCTCAGGAGAAAGGCCAGATTCCAGAACCTGGCTCAGAGGCCCCTTCCTGATGCGGCCCTGCTGACCTTGGCACTATGCCTGCCTGTGACCCCCACCATCCTTATTTCTAGAATGTTCTCACTGTACTGAAACAGCTTCACAATCTTTAGCCTCTGGGCCTGTGCATAGGCTGATCCCCTGCCTAGAACCCTCTCCTCCCGGCCCCTGCAGGTGTCCATTTAGATCTCATTTCTGAGAAACTCCTCCAGTTCTGGACAGGACTTGTACCAGGTTGAACGGTGTCCCCCAAAATGCTCACCCGAAACCTCAGAAGGTGACCTTATTTCAAAATAGGGTCTTTGCGGATGTGGTTAGTTCAGATGGGGTCCCACTAGATTTGGGTGGGCCTTAAATCCAAAGACCAGTGTCCTTATAAGGAGAGGGAGATCTGGACACACAGAGATGAAGGCTGTGTGAGGACAGAGGCTGCAGTGAAGCAGCTTCAAGCCAGAAACTGGAAGGGGCAAGGAGGGGTCTCCCCTAGAGCCTGTGGAGGGCACAGCCTTACTGACACCTTGATCTCGGACCTGTGGCCTCCAGAACTTTGAGATAATCAATTTCCATTGTTTTAAGCTGCTGAGTTTGTGGTAACTCATCACGGCAGCCCCAGGAAAGTCACGCAAGGCCTGGGGTATGAACCCCACATTTCTGGGCACCTATCTGTCCTAGAGGAGCTGGGAGGTGGGCCACTCACATGACCCTTCCAAGGCAACCTTTGTTCTGGAGCTCCCTGTTGGGGGATCCTAGGCTTTGTCAGAGGGCACCCCAGTGGGAGGCTCTTCCTGCCCCATCCTGCACTCTCTCCTCCTTCCCTGCACAGGCATCGCCCCACCAAACTTCTCTCACTCCTGAATTATTCCAGAAAGAGCAAGACTTTGGGATCTGATGGGTGCAGTGTGGAGCTCTAGCCCTTCCCCATCACCACTGGGTCGCTAGGCAGGAGCTCGCCCTCTCAGAGTCTCAGTTTCCTCTTCTGTAAAACGGGGGTGGGGGCACTCATGAGTGGAAGGCACCTGGGTGGCCTGCAGCACTCAGCACTCAACACTTACCACTCTGCACTCAGCACTTTCCACACAGCACTCAGCACTCAACACTTACCACTCTGCACTCGGCACTTTCCACACAGCACTCAGCACTTTCCACACAGCACTCAGCACTCAACACTTACCACTCTGCACTCGGCACTTTCCACACAGCACTCAGCACTTACCATGCTGCGTTCAGTACTTACCACACAGCACTCAGCACTTACCACACAGCACTCAGCACTTACCATGCAGCACTCAGCACTTAGCATGCAGCACTCAGCACTTAGCATGCAGCACTCAGCACTTACCATACTGCATTTTGACAGCTCTTTACCTTCATTTCTCTCCTCCAGGACAAGGATGCTTTGCAGGCAAAGAGTGCATTTCGTGTGTGCCTACTGCCAAATAGAGACCTGATAGCTACTGGGGATGGTGAATGACAGCCCAGCCTCCAGCCAGCTCACAGGAAAGAGACAAACACGACCCCGGAGGGGAGGACAGGTTTTATAAGGTCACAGGCAATTACAGATGGCAAGATTGAGGCCTTGGTGTCAGCAGGTCTTAAGCCTTAGTTTAAAATATCTTGATTCTGCAGAAGTCTTCCCAACCTCTTGAATCCAGCCCGACCCTCCTGGATCAGGCCTGAATGTCTGTGTCTCTCCCCAGGTTCCCAGGCCTCAGCTGAGCAACCATTGTACCCTAGGAGGGAAGCCTCCTCATCTCTGTCCCCGTCCTCCCCTCTGTTCCCAGAGCAGCCCCTCCCACCTGCCTTTGTTACTCTCCCGCCCCATGCTCCCAGTCTTCACATTCTGCCTCTGGTACTGGTGGGACATGGGGCTTCTCCAGAAACAGGCTCACCCCTTATGTCTGCCCAGCTCCTGGGCCACTGTGACCAGCTCTGGACCGGACACTGGGGACTTAAGGAGTGGACAAGCACACCCAAGGAAGTCACCTCCTGTTGCAGATTGGAATAGAGGCCCCCAAAACATATGTCCACCCAGAACCGGTGAATGTGACCTTATTTGGCAAAAGGGTCTCTGCAGGTGTCATTAAGTTAAGGATTTGAGATGAGATTATCCTGGATAATCCAAGTGAACCCTGAATCCAATAACAAGTGTCCTCATGAGAGAAAGGCAGAAGATTTGAGACTCAGAGACACAGGGGGAGGCCACGTGCAGATGGCAGCAGAGACTGAAGTGCTGCATGTCAAGCCAGCAAACACCTGGGCCCCAGAAACTGGAAAAGACAGGGCAGGGTTTTCCCCTAGAGCCTCGAGAGGGAGTGTGGCCCTGCAGACACGGTGATTTCAGACTCCTGGTGTCTAAAACCATTGTTCTAAGCCATGCAGTGTGGGGTCATTTGTTCCAGCAGCAACAGGAAACCAATTCATCTCCTCCCAAGGCACTAAGTCACGTCAGTCACCACTTTGGTTTTTTTCTTTTTGAGATGGAGTCTCTCTCTGTGGCCCAGGCTGGAGTGCAGTGGCTCGATCTTGGCTCACTGCAACCTCTGTCTCCCAGGTTCAAGCGATTCTCCTGCTTCAGCCTCTCAAGTAGCCAGGATTACAGGCACTGGCCACCACGCCCAGCTAATATTTTGTATTTTTAGTAGAGACGGGGTTTCACCATGTTGACCAGGCTGGTCTCGAACTCCTGACCTCAGATGATCTGCCTGCCTCGGCCTCCCAAAGTGCTGGGATTACAGACATGAGCCACCGCGCCCAGCCAGTCAACACTTTCAAAGACTCCCACATGGAAGATGGATTGGTGCCGCCCTGATGCGGGACCATCTGTTAGCCTCTGTCAATGATTTGAATCGATGTCCCTCCCAGCCTCCAACCTTCGCCTTGCCCATGTTGCTCCCTAAGTACTGTCCACCTTGCAGCCTCCACGTCTCAGCCCAGCACCTCCACGTCGAAGATGCTCTCCCACAGGTTTGCTCAAACAACAGAGCAAAGGTACACACTTTTTCACACGTTCACATCTCTGAACTGTATGTGCTTACAGTGAACATTGTGCCATATTGTAACTAGCAGCATCTTTTTCCTTCTTGGTGCCACATAAGATAATAGTATGTTTTGTAATAAGTCCCATCTGATTTTTTTTTTTTTTTTTGAGTCGAAGTCTCGCTCTGTCGCCCAGGCTGGAGTTCAGTGGTGCGATCTCGGCTCACTGCAAGCTCCGCCTCCCAGGTTCACGCCATTCTCCTGCCTCAGCCTCCCGAGTAGCTGGGACTACAGGTGCCCACCACCATGCCCGGCTAATTTTTTTTGTATTTTTAGTAGAGACGGAGTTTCACTGTGTTAGCTAGGATGGTATCGATCTCCTGACCTCGTGATCCGCCCGTCTCGGCCTCCCAAAGTGCTGGGATTACAGGCGTGAGTGAGCCATCATGCCTGGCCTGATTTTTTTTTTAATGCAATACAAAATAGCCAAGGCTGTGCATTGTAGCATTGCTCTAACTGAGCGGAAAGATTGGAAATAAATGTCCATGAATAAGACGATACAGTGAATAGTGGTGCACACATCCCATGGAATACTATGCACCAGTCAACACACAGAAGGTCACTGAATGATCTGATGTGGAAAGCTCTCCAAGATATATTTTTAGACAAAAAAGCAAGCTTCAAACAATTATGTAGTTTTTAATATTTTTTAACAACTAAAGCTAGAAATATATAAATATGTAGACACACACACACATATATATTGTGCCTATATGTGTATATATTCTTGTACAGACAATTATGTAAGCTGTTGTATGTATATTATTGTGCAGAAAAGATCTGGAAGATATGCCTATTTGAGCATGCTCTAAAATGTCACAGTGTTTACATCTGGAGAGGGGCGTGGGGCGGAAGTGCAGGGGTTGTTGGACTGGCTCACTCTGCATCTGTTCCAAGTCTCACTCTGTTGCCCAGGCTGGAGTGTAGTGGTGCCATCTTGGCTCATGGCAACCTCTGCCTCCTGAGTTCAAGCAATTCTCCTGCCTCTGCCTCCTTAGAAGCTGGGATTACAGGTGCATGCCACCACACCTGGCTAATTTTTGTATTTTTAGTAGAGACAAGGTTTCACCATGTTGGCCAGGCTGGTCTTGAACTCCTGATCTCAGGTGATCTGCCTGCCTTGGCCTCCCAAAGTGCTGGTGTGAGCCACCACGCCTGGCCTTCAGCTTCATTCTTCATATCTGTAAAATGCCTTAGTGACAGTTCTCCAGAAAAACAGAGGAGTGCTGCAGAAGCGGGGAGAGCCAAGGTCCCAGCTCACAGCCCATCAGGTAGGAGAGTTCTCACTCACTCAGCAAAGGGCTAACCTTGAACTACACCATTGAGACCTTCAACTGATTAGATGAGGCCCACTCATGATGGAGGGTGTCTTCGTCCATTTGGGCTGCTTTTACAAAATCCCATAGACTCGGTGGCTTGTAAACAACAGAGAGTTATTTCTCATCATTCTGAAGGCTGAAAGTTTGAGGTCAGGATGCCAGCACGGTGGGGTTCCCCTGGGGGTCCTCTTCCAGGTTGCAGACGGCCAGCTTCTTGCTGTGCCCTCACATGGTAGAAGGGTGGGGGGTCCTCCAGAGGCTCTTTTATAAGAGCACTAATCCCACTGATGAAGGCTCAACCCTTGTGACCTGACCGCCTCTCAAAGGCCCCATCTCCTGACAGCATCACCTTGGGGATTAGGTTTTTAATATATCAATTTTGGGGGGAGAGACAAGAACATTCAGTGCATTGCGAAGGGTAATCTGCTTTACTCAGTCTATGGATTTAAGTGTTAATCTCGTCCAAAAGCACCCTCACAGAAACACTCAGAATAATGTCTGAGCAAGTATCTGGGCATTCCATGCCCCATTTAAGTTAATATATTAAATTAACCATCACATGGGGGTAACTAACAATATCTCATAGGTTTGTAGCATAGTGGCAGCCACCTGGACTCAATCCACATCAGCTGTTATCAATGGAATTTTCCTAACTACAGATTCCTGCGAGGGGCCCTTGGCAGCTTCCCAGGGTCCATGGGATTTTTCAGATTTTTCTGAAAAAGAAAAGATGGGGGCTGGGTGCGGTGCCTCATGCCTATAATCCCAGCACTTTGGGAGGCCGAGGCGGGCAGATCACCTGAAGTCAGGAGTTCAAGACCAGCCTGGCCAACATGGTATAACCCTGTCTCTACTAAAAATACAAAACTTAGCCAGGTATGGTGGCGGACACCTGTAATCCCAGCTACTCAGGAGGCTGAGGCAGGAGAATTGCTTGAACCCTGGAAGCGGAGGTTGCAGTGAGCCAAGATCGCACCATTGTACTCCAGCCTGGGCAACAAGAGCGAAACTCCACCTCAAAGAAAAGAAAGAAAAAAGAAAAAAAGAAAAGATGGGTGTCTGCGGCCCTCACCCCTTTTGTACACTCAGTGACAGCTTATCCAGAAGCTAAGTAAGTCAGCTCCTTGTGCAGGAGCTGAGAGCACTGAAGATGTCGCAGCCTCTCCTGGGCTGTGGCTGGCCTTTATAGAGTTGCCTTTGAAAATGTAAGTGCACATATATGAAGCAGTGGGGGCTACTGCAGGAGAGCTGCAGGTAGGGGAGTGAGCACGCTCAGGGTCTCTGATGCTCTCTGCTGAATGACTTTCTGTCTCTGTCTGCTCTGGTTCCCCTCTCCATCTCCTCCGCCCGGGACCTAGGGTGGCGGCTGCCACGACACAGCAGGACCTCGGGTATGCCCTGCACCTTCTCTGTCCTGGCCACGGTCAGACAAACCTTTTTCCCTCTTAATATAAAGAAGGTTAGAATTAAAACATAGACCCACATACCCAACGCCATCACCAACAGCAACTTTGAAAAGTGGGGAGCCCAGAGGGGAAGAATACAGTTGCAAAACAGCTGAAAATGAGAGACCAGGAAGCAAGGATTCATTCCGCCAGATCAACTTAAAATCTACCCAGTGGGGCCGGGCACCATGGCTCATGCCTGTAATCCCAGCACTTTGGGAGGCCGAGGTGGGTGGATCACGTAAGGTCAGGAGTTCAAGACCAGCCTGGCCAACATGGTGAAACCTCATCTATACTAAAAATACAAAAAATTAGCTGGGTGTGGTGGTGCACGCCTGTAATCCCAACTATGGTATGCAGGAGGCTGAAGCAGGAGAATCACTTGAACTCAGGAGGCAGAGGTTGCAGTGAGCAAAGATGGCGCCACTGTACTCTAGCCTGAGCAACAGAGCAAGACTCCGTCTCAAAAAAAAAAAAAAAAAAGCCAGGCGCGGTGGCTCATGCCTGTAATCCCAGCACTTTGGGAGGCCGAGGCGGGTGGATCATGAGGTCAGGAGTTCAAGATCAGCCTGGCCAAAATGGTGAAACCCCGTCTCTACTAAAAAATACAAAAAATTAGCCGGGCGTGGTGGTGGGTGCCTGTAATCCCAGCTACTCGGGAGGCTGAGGCAGAGAATTGCTTGAACCTGGGAGGCGGAGGTTGCAGTGAGCAGAGATCGTGCCATTGCACTCCAGCCTGAGCGACAGAGCGAAACTCTGTCTCAAAAAAAATATACATATCTACCCAGTGGTTGACTTGGTTGGCAGCACTAAGGTCATTTCTCACCCTAGCCCCCATGGAAGGACCCTGCCTGAAAGGCCCATTTGCAAATCTCACTCCCACCTTCCGTACCAGCAAATGCCCCACTCCTGGGGCTTTGCTGATTCCTCCCCAGCTCTTTTCAAAGGGGGCTGAAGGCCAGAATCAACACTTGATTTCTTGGCTTGATGACTGGGCTCTCCCCAAGTAAAGACAGACCCCAAATATAGCCCATATCTTGATTGTGGCAATGATTACATCGCGGTATACATTCGTCAAAACGCATAGAAATGTGTATCTAAAAGGAGTGAATTTTACTGTGTGTAAATTATACCTCAATAAGCATGACTTAAAACACAAGACGATTTGAATTAAAAGGAGACACTTCATTTCTTGCATAGGATAACTTATTATAAAGATATCAGTTTTTACCAAATCAATCTATTAATATAGATTAAAATTAATCTATATTAATTATTATATAATATATAATACAATGTATTCTATAACATAATTTATTTATATTGATTTGTAATGTAAATGAATATAAATTGATGTTAATTATAATTAATTATATTAACAACATTCTTTATATTAATTTGTAATTTAAATTTGTGTTAATTGTATTATAAATTAATTATAAATTATATATTCACTGTAATGAATCAATAAACTCAATACAAAAACCCAGAATTCTACTTGGATTTTTTTAAAGGAACTTGATAAACCT
This sequence comes from Homo sapiens, assembly GCF_000001405.40. Taxonomy (NCBI): domain Eukaryota; kingdom Metazoa; phylum Chordata; class Mammalia; order Primates; family Hominidae; genus Homo; species Homo sapiens. The sequence continues at coordinate 77,629,857 of NC_000017.11, read as the reverse complement.
ATTCTAAAATGTATACAGAGAAATAAAAGTAGACTAGGCACAGTGGCTCATGCCTGTAATCTCAACACTTTGAGAGGCTGAGGTGGGAGAATCACTTGAGCTCAGGAGTTCCAGACAAGCCTGGGCAACATGGCAATACCACATCTCTGCAAAAAATTTAAGAATTAGCTGGGCACAATGGTGCACACTTGTAGTTCCAGCCACTTGGGAGGCTGAGGTGGGAGGATCACTTAAGCCCAGGAATTCACTGCACTCCAGCCTCCGCAACAGAGCAAGACCCTGTCTCAAGAAAATAGATAGATAGGTAGATAGATGATAGATAGATAGATAGATAGATAGATAGATAGATAGATAGATGATAGATAGATAGATAGATAGATAGATAGATAGATAAAAATAAGGCTAGGTTAATAACACTGAAAAAAAGGAATAAAGAGGGGACTTGCCATCCTGGACATGAAGGCATATTCCACACCATAGTAAGAAGGCAGAGTGCCAGATACTCACACAAGAACTGATCAGCTGGTGGAAGAGAACTGAGAACTTAGACCTCGTGTTCATATGGAAACTGAATATAAGGTAAAAATGATTCAAAACAATGGAAAAGGAAGGATTATTTAATCAAATTTTGTTAACTCTAAGATACACTTTTTTTTTCCACACTCTAAGGATGCTACACTTGGGATATGTCTTAAAATTGTTGTCACTTGGGAAGCCGAAGCGGGCAGATTGCCTGAGCTCAGGAGTTCGAGACCAGCCTGGGCAACACGGTGAAACTCTGTCTCTACTGAAATACAAAAAATTAGCTGAGAGTGGTGGCATGCATCTGTAGTCTCAGCTACTCAGGAGGGTGAGGCAGGAGAATTGCTTGAACCTGGGAGGCGGAGCTTGCAGTGAGCCGAGATCGCACCACTGCACTCCAGCCTGGGCAGCAGAGCGAGACTCCATCTCCAAAAAAAAAAAAAAAAAAAAAATTAGTGTCATTGTTCTGTCAGTTGGGTGGGAGAATTGGAGAAGACAAATGTGGGCAAACGTCCAAGGCACCAGCATATTCTGCAATACAGGCACCAATGCCTTGGGAGACAATCCTGGAGGTGGCCAAGGAGAATTCTTCTAAGGAATCCTGCCTGACAAAGGCTCTTGATGGCTCAGAGGACAATACTGTGTGAAAAACAAGGACATCCCTCACTCCGAAGGCAAAGAAGTGTCAGGAATTTCTTAACCATTAGTTTTGTTTATATTTTCCTTTTTATTGTGCATAAAAGCAACATATGATTTAAAAACCCACTGTATCTAAGTAATTCTAAAAGAACTCTTTGAGTAAGTACAAAATAAAATTTCTGAGCAATAAAGATCAGCACTGAAACTAACCCCCACGCTCTAGTGTTTTGGGGGATGATAGCAAGGCCAAAACAGAGCTGCCCTCTAGGAGCATGCAGTCGGAAAGTCCAATGTCAAGCTCCACTTACATCCTTGGTGCAGTAAGGAGTGGCTGCTGCATTTCAAGAAAGAAAAAACAAGCAACTTCTCTATTTGGGTTCTAATGTACACGCCATTTGCTTCTGCTTCACTCAGCAGCCAGGATCTACACATCTGCTAAGCCCCAGATGTCCTGAGGGGCCCCTTGAGCCACAATCCTTAACCTCAGAGAGCTCCTGTCTTGTGGGAAAAGCAGACTAATTGAAAGTAAGGAAGGCAGCATGATTAATGCTGAGCTAGAGAACCTCAAAGCTGTATGACAACACATAGATGGTCCATCTCTTTGGAATGGGGAGAAAGTTCAAGGCAGGCTTCTGGGAAGAGGGGACATCTGAGTGGAGAGGAAGAGAAGGACTGGCAGGATAAAGGGGAACCTGAGTGTTGTTCCATGCACAGGAAACAGTGCATGCAAAAGCATTAAGTAGAGGAGGGAGGTAGCCTATTCAAGGAGAGTGGCATTGGTCAAGGATGGCTGGTTCATGGGGTACAAGGAAGAATGGCAGAAAACAAAGCTGGGGAGGTGAACAAGACCACATTGCAAAGGGCTTTGCATGCTGGACTAAGGAATTTAAATTAATCTAAAGGCTCTGAAGAGCCCATAGGACCAGACCCACCTGCTAGAAGGTGAGCTCTGGCTGCCAAATGGAAAATGGACTAGAGGAACCAACACTGAGGCAGGATGAGTGAAGATGCTACTGCAAAAACCCAGGAGAGTTCAAGTTGGATGAAGACAAGAAAATATCCACTGGATTTATCAACAAAGTAGCCTTAGTAACCTCAGCAAGCCCAAAAGAACTCAACACCACCATCAACCAATAGGATCTAATTGGCATTTATATACCGTTCCATCCAACAACAGCAGAATACAGATTTTTTTCCAGTGTGCAAGGAACATACACCAAGTTAGTCCTCAAACAAAGTAATCAAACCTCAACAAATTTAAAATGGTTAAAATCATACAGAATGTGTTCTCTAGCCAAAATGGGATCAAACTAGAAAAGAAAAACCGAAAGATAAGAGGAAAATCTCAAAACACTTGGAAACTAAATAACATTCTTCTAAATAATCCATGGATCAAAGAGGCAGCTTCAAGGGGGGAAAACTGACATTGAATTGAATTAAAATGAAAGTACAGCATGTATGCAAAATTTGTGAGACACAGCTAAAGCAGTGCTTAGAGGAAAATTCATAGGATTAAAATGTATGCATTTGAAAAGAGTCTCAAACAATCTATGCTCCCACCTCATCAACCTAGAGAAAGAACAGCAGAATAAACCCAAAGCAAGCAGAAGGAAAGAAATAATAAAGATAGTTCAATGGAACTAAAAACAAAAAGAAAAAAACAAAATTTTTGAGACAAGGAACCATTTCTTTGAAAGACCAATGAAGTTAACAAATCCCTAGCAAGACTGATAAAAATGAAAGACACAAAGTATCAATGTAAGGAATGCAAAAGGGAGTTTCACTATAGACCCTGCAGCTATCATAAGGATGACAAGTGATATTTCTCACACACACACACACACACACACACACACACACACATAAATGGCCAGTAAGCCCAAGAAAAGGTAATTAATATTTGTCTCTAATCATTAAGAATATGCAAATCAAAATCACAATGAGATACCACAAAATAGTAAGTGTTGGCATGCATGTGAAAAGATTGGAATCCTGTGTCCTGCTGCTGGGAATGTAAAATGCTGCAACTGCTGTGGAAAATAGTACGACAGTTGCTCAGAAAATTAAACGCAGAATTACCATATGATCCAGCAATCCAATTTCTGGGTATCCACACAAAAGAACTGAAAGCAGGAACTCAAACAGGTGTTTGCACCACCGTGTTCACAGCAGCATTATTCACAATAGTCAAAAGGTAGATGCAACTCAAGTGTCCATCAACAGATATAAACAGAGAAACCAAATGTGTGATATCCATACAATGAAATATTATTTAGCATTAAAAAGGAAGATAATTCTGACACCTGCTACAACATGGATGAACCTTGAAGACATTATGTTAAGTTAAATAAACCAGCACAAAAGGACAAATATTGTATGATTCCACTAAAGTGAGATACCTACAGTATCAAATTCATAGAGACAGAAAGTGGAATGGTAAATTTTATGTTATATATGTTTTACCACAATTTTAAAAAGAGAAAAATGCAAGTGCATAATAAACATTGTGAAAGGAATGAATCAATAGATAAGTAGATAAGGGAATGCTAGGAACAACTCTACGCACATAAATTTGGCAACCTAGATGAAATGGACCACTTCCTCAACAAACAGACAAATCCACAAACTACCACAACTCACCCAATATAAAATAGATCATTTAAATAACCCCTGTAACTGTTTAAGAAATCCAGCTGATAATTTTGAAACTCCTAGTAAAGAAATCTCCAGGCGTAGATGGTATCATTGGAGAGTTTTAGCAAGAACTTGAAGAATTTAAACCAATTCTACACAGTCTGTTCATGATAATAGAAGAGGAAGTAACACTTCTCAATCACTTTATGAAGCTAGTATTAACCTGATGTCAAAACTGTACAATGATCATACAAAAAAGAAAGAAAATTACAGAGCAATATGCCTCATGAATTTAAATGCAAAAATCCTTAACAAAATATTGACAGAGAATTCAGCCATACATTAAAAGAATCATGTAATATGACCAAGGATCTATCACAAGGATGCAAATCTGGTTGAAGATCCCAAAATAAATGTCCTCTACCGTATTAACAGGCTAAAGAAGAAAAACCACAGGATCATGTCAATCAATGCAGTGAAAGCATCTGACAAAATTCAACACTCTCATAATTTTTAAAAACTCTTAGAGAAAAAAGGAATATTGATATTAACTTGATAAAGCTCATTTACCAAAACACCCAGCAGCTAAATAAAGACAAAATGCTTTCCTGCTAAGACCGAGAATAAGGCAAGAATGTCCACCCTCACCACTCTTATTCAACATTATACTGCAAGTTCTCACCAGTGCAACGACAGAAGAGAAGGAAATTAAAAGCATCCAGATTTAAGAGGAAGAAATACAACTATGCCTATTAAGAGAAGGCATGCTGGCCGGGCGCGGTGGCTCATGCCTGTAATCCCAGCACTTTGGGAGGCCGAGGCAGGCGGATCACAAGGTCAGGAGATCGAGACCACGGTGAAACCCCGTCTCTACTAAAAATACAAAAAAAAATTAGCCAGGCGCAGTGGCGGGCGCCCGTAGTCCCAGCTACTCGGGAGGCTGAGGCCGGAGAATGGCGTGAACCTGGGAGGCGGAGCTTGCAGTGAGAGAAAACCGCACCACTGCACTCCAGCCTGGGCCACAGAGCGAGACTCCGTCTCAACAAAAAAAAAAAAAAAAAAAGAGAAGGCATGCTTGTCTACCTAGAAAATCCCAAAAAATCAAAACAAAACAAAACTCCTGGAATAAATAACTTCAGCAAAGTTGCAAGATACAAGATAATTATACAAAATTTTATTTATTTATATATACTAGCACCAAAATTAAAACTACAATGTCATTTACGATCATGAAAAAGAGAGAGAAAGAGAACTACTGAAGTGTAAATCTAACAAAACATGGATTTGTATGCTGAAAACTACACGAGACTTGTGAAAGAAATCCAAGAAAATCTGAATAAATGGAGAGATATATTGTGTTCATGTATTGAAAGGCTCAACGTAGTAATGATGTCAGTTCTTCCAAAATTGATATACAGGTTTAATGTAATTTCTACCAAAATTCCAGCAAGGTTGTTTGTACATATAGATGAGATTATTCTAAAATTTAAATGGAAAGGTAAAGGAACTAGAATAGCTAAAACAATTTTGAAAAATAATAAAATGGGAGGGAATCACCCTACCCCATTTCAAGACTTTGTATGTATTAATATCTGCACTAATCAAGATTGGTATTTGGCAGAAGAGTAGATACATTAATCAATGGAACAGAACAGAGAACCCAGAAATAGACCCAAAAGAATATGCCCAACCGATCTTTGACAAAGGTACAAAATCAATTCAATGTAACACAGATCAGCTTTTTGGGAGGCCGAGGCGGGTGGATCACTTGAGGTCAGGAGTTCAAGACCAGCCTGGCCAACATGGTGAAACCCTGTCACTACTAAAACTACAAAAATCAGCCAGGCATGGTGGCACGTGCCTGTAGTCCCAGCTATTCAGGAGGCTGAGGCAGGAGAATTCCTTGAACCTGGGAGGTGGAGGTTGCAGTGAGCCAAGATCATACCACTGCGCTCCAGCCTGGGTGATAGAGTAAGACTCTGTCTCAAAAAAAAAAAAAAAAGAAAGAAAGAAAGAAAAAAGAAAAAAAAAGAAAGATCACCTTCACAACAAACTAAGGCAACTGGACATCCATAAGAAAAAAAGAAGAAGAAGAAGAAGAAAGAAAGAAAGGAAGAAAGAAAGAAAATAAATTCTACTTAGGTCTCACACCTTTCATAAGAATTAACTCAAAATGGATCATAAACTTAAAGATAAAATATAAAATTATAACATTTTTAGAAAAAACATAGGAGAAAACCTTAGGGACCTAGGGCTAGGCAAATAGTTCTTAGACTTGACATCAAAAACATGATTCATAAAAGGAAAATTTGATAATTTGGACTTCATCAAAATTAAAAACTAGGCCAGGCATTGTCGCTCACGCCTGTAATCCCAGCACTTTGGGAGGCCAAGGTGGGCGGATCACTTGACGTCAGGAGTTCAAGATCAGCCTGGCCAACATGGCAAAAGCCTGTCTCTACTAAAAATACAAAAGTTAGCTGAGCGTGGTGGTGCACGTCTGTAGTCCTAGCTACTCGGGAGGCTGACGCACAAGAATTGCTTGAATCCTGGAGGCAGGGGTTGCAGTGAGCCGAGATTGTGCCACTGCACTCCAGTCTGGGTAACGAAGTGAGATCCTGTCTCAAAAAAAAAAAAAATTAAAAATAAATTTAAAATTCCTGCTCATTGAAAGATCCTGTTAAGAGGATGGAAAGAAAACCTACAGATGGGGGGAAAATATTTGCAGGCTACAAGTCAAACACAGGACTAGTAATTAGAATATACAAAGAACTCTCAAATGTAACTGTGAAAAAATTCAAATAGCCCAATTAGAAAATGGGCAAAAGACATGAAAAAACATTTCACTGAAGAGGATATACAGAAGAGAAATAAGTGTATGAAAAGGCACTTCATTAGCCATTGAGGAAATGTAAACTGAAACCATAGTGAGATGCACGACTCACCTATAAGAATGGCCAAAACAAAGTAATCACACGCAATGCTGGCCAGGATGCAGAGAAATCGGATCATTCATACATTTTCAGTGGGAACGTGAAATGCAAACACTCTGGAAAACAGTTTGGTAGTTTCTTTAAAACACCAAACATGCAACTGCCATACAATCCAGCAATGGCACTCTTGGGCATTTGTCCCAGAGAAATGAAGTCTTATGTTCACACGTACACAAAACCTGCACATGAATGGTTTTGCAGTGTTATGAATAATAGCAAAAAAACCTGGAAGCAACCCAGATGTCTTTCAAGAAGAGAATGGCTAAACAAACATACTATGGAATACACTCAGCAAAAAAAAAAAAAAAAAAGGAAAAAACAGAACAGAACATGCCATTCATACACACGGCAACCTGGATGAATTTCCAGAGGCTTACGCTGAGTGAAAAAAAGCCAGTCCCAAATGTACCCATTTGAAAATGTACCTGGGACTTGCTATGATCAGGTATGTTTGATAAGATAGGCAGACACTGAAATAATTGTCATGAAGAAAAAAGTTTATACTCACAGATCACAGATATGTATATTATATATTATCAAAAGAAAAAATTACAATTTAGTTTAAATATCTTAATTGGCTTTATTTGTGATTTTACAGTCAGGGCAACACTTCATTATATAAAATAGAATAAGCAGCATGGCGAGGCCGCTCATGCCTGTAATCTCAGCACTTTGGGAAGCCAAGGCTGGAGGATTGCTTGAGGCCAGGAATTCAAGACCAGCCTGGGCAACATAGCAAGACCCTGTCTCTGCAAAAAATTTGGCGTAGTGACGCACACCTGTAATCCCAGCTACTTAGGGAATGGGATGAAATGGAGGATCGCTTTGGCCCAGGAGGTCGAGGCTGCAGTGAGCTGTGATTGCACCACTACACTCCAACCTGGGCAACAGAGCAAGACTCTTGTCTCAAAAAAGAAAAAGAGAGAAAGAAAAGAAAAATGAAAAATAGAATAAGTGTTCCAATGAACTAAGCAGAGGAAGTTGGCTTTATAGACAGAGAAGGGTTGAGGAAAACAAAAACAGGCTGGGCGCGGTGGCTCACGCCTATAATCCCAGTACTTTGGGAGGCAGAGGAAGGTGGATCACCTGAGGCCAGAAGTTTGACACCAGCCTAGCCAACATGGTGAAAGCCTGTCTCTACTAAAAATACAAAAATTAGCCAGGCATGGTGGTGGGCACCTGTAATCCCAGCTACTAGGGAGGCTGAGGCAGGAGAATTGCTTGAACCTGGGAGGCAGAGGTTGCGGTGAGCCGAGATCGTGCCATTGCACTCTATCCTGGGCAACAAGAGTGAGACTCCCTCGAATACAAAAAAAAAAAGAAAGAAAGAAAGAAGAAAGAAAGAAAGAAAGAAAGAAAGAAAGAAAGAAAGAAAGAAAGAAAGAAAGAACAAAAAGCAGATGGATCATTTTAAAGCTATATCCCTTGTAAGGTGGGAACAGGGAGCACTGGAGAGGTGACTGATTGGCTAACACAAGGTTACTGCAGGTTACCTTTTTTTGGTAAGGATTAAAGCAGTGGGAACTTCATTCTCAAGCCTAGTGAAACTGGCCTGTTTGGGAAATGTGCCTGTTATCTGTCTCTGTTTTTTAGAAGGCCAGCTAACAACTCAGTTTTGGTTTGGTGATGTGGAATTTACTATGAGTGACTGCATTTTTCTTTTTAGTCTGGTCTGTTGGGGCCTAGTGCAGGAGCGAAGGCCAAAAAAATGACCTCCTATAATTTTTATTTAACTATAAATATATAATTTTTTAAAATTACACTTTGTATGTTACATATGGTAAAAGTGAATGGCCCCTCTCCTTATCTTCCAGATACCCATCTCACCCCTCGCCAAAAGTCACTTCTGCTAACATCTTTTGTGTGACCCCATCCAGATTTTTTCTATGTCTTTTCTTATACACATATGCACAAATTTAGTGGTGTTTTCAGAAATGGGATTTATAGACTGTTCCACGACTCTCATAGTAAGAGCTAGCTGGTAATAAAGAAGTTACAGAAACCTTAATAAAATGATTCTAACCCCCTGACTCCAAAATGGCAAAGGAATAAGCCACCCTGCCCTCCCTACCACAGAAAACAGGTTGCAGAGGGAGACAGGAGCCCCTGGTCTGAGTCTCTCCCAGGATAAGTGGCTCATGGAATGTTTTTGTAAATGGAATTCTGGTCTTGCAACTGCAAGGACTCCACTGGGAGAGGGGCTGGAGCTATAGCTTAAGAAGTGGATGGGGCTGCATGAGCCAACCCCAGGAACTCCCATCTTCTAGAGATGAGCCCATGGAGCTGGAGGGAAGAGAAGGGTATGAACTGGGAACAAACCAGAGCCTTCAAAGGACACAGCACACACACTCAGACACACCCTTTACAGCAACCCTCAGCAAGGTGGACAAGGACACACCAAGTCCCCCTTATATAGTTTGGCTGTGTCCCCACTCAAATCTAGTCTTGAATTCCCATGTGTTGTGGGAGGGGCCCGGTGGGAGGTAATTAAATCATGGAGGCAGGTATTTTCCATGCTGTTACTGTGATAGTGAATAAGTTTCACGAGATCTGATGGTTCTATAAGGGGTAGTTTCCCTGCACAAGCTCTCTCTTTGCCTGCACCATCCATGTAAGACATGACTTGCTCCTCCTTGCCTTCCTCCATGATCGTGAGGCCTCCCCAGCCATGTGGAACCCTTTTTCCTGTATAAATTACCCAGTCTCGGGTATGTCTTTATCAGCAGCAGGAAAATGGACAAATACACCCCCTCAAGAAGAGGACAAAGGCAGACAGTCTCAACTCTCGTCCTATTTCTGCCTGTTCCAGGAAAGAGAATGGTTTTTGAATTGAAAAGGTTAAAACAAAGCATGATGCCAGTCATATTGTGGGAGCTCAGGAACTGTTTGTTGAATTAAATGCAGAGAGGGGATAGCAGCTGGATATAAGTCCAGATATAAGTGAAAAGAGAAAATAGCTACCCCAGCTGCTATAAACAAGTTCCTTCCCCAGACCCTGATGAATCGCATCTCAGGTATTTAAGCCTCCAGGAGTCAACGTCTCAGAGCTATAACCAACAATTCTAAGAAATGACGAAGGACAAGAGAAGTGCTGAAAACAGGCCGTGAGCTGCTGACCTGATTTCAAAAAGGGGCAAGGAAGAAAATTCTAGAAATGATAGTCCAGTAAATGTGATGTAAATCGTTAGAAAAGGATGATTTTACAGCTGGTTAATGAATGTGTAAAGGAAGTCAACACAAAACCGAAACTCTTCAGGAATAAAACACATCACAATATTGTTGGACATTTTCAGCTAAAGTTCAGCTAAAGACGGGTTCCTTGTCACACGGCTGTGAAAGATTAGGCTCGCAGACAATTTGAAGGGTGGGAATAATAGTATTTATTGAGAAAAAAGAAAAAAAGGGGAAACAGACTCAGCAGAGCAAGTCCACCTAGTATAGCATTCCCACCTCACAGATTGAATCCCAGGTTCACCCAAGAAGAGGAGCAGCCAGGCTCCTCCCCACTGCACATGGTGCAGACTTCTGTGGCTCCACCCCAGGGCGGATTCCTCCCAGTACGCAGGCCGGCTGGAGTTTCTCTTGGGACCCCTTCCCACCTGGTTGTCTCAACAAAGGACCTTATTTCCATTTTCCATGAGTTACCAGATTTATGGATCCAAAGAATGTCTCAGACAATATACTGACTGGCATATATCTTTGTAAATTAGGTGCTCAAACAGGGACTAGATGGTAGCACCACCAGGTCAATTCATAGCTAGATGGACAGCTGCAGACAATGGGTCACCCTGAAGGACAGCCACAGTGGAGGCCCCAGGCCTCCTTGTTTTGGTGCCAGCCAGCACTTCCATAGAGACTTAGAGAGAAGCAGGGGCATTTTTGTCAAATTTGCAAATGGCACACACCTGGGAGGGATGTTTCAAGTGAAGGATAATGGAGTCGATACAGAAAATCAACTAAATCAGATGCCTCACTGTGGCAAAACCGGTGGGTCAGACATTGCTGGAGCTCCTTCACACTTAGGGCGCCCTCACAAGCTGGGGAAGCCTAGCCCAACAGCAGGGTGCCGTGTGGGAAGCTGCTGACCGACGATGGATAGGGATAGCAAATGTCATGGAAGTTGATGATGGGGACACTGCCAGGAGAAGCCAGCACAGCCTGGATTGCGTGAAGCTAACCCCTGGGAAAGCCTCACGCCGCTGGTCAGGTCACATCTGGAATTCAGCCTTCCATTCTGGACGCCCTGGTTTAAGAAAGATGGGAGCAAACAAGGGTGTATTCACGGAAGAGGCATTCAGGGGAGTACATTCTGGACAGAAGGTGAAGGGTCTGGAAAGAGGAGGAGTGATGGAGAGACAATGTTAGCTGAGCTTGAGCTTGGAAGGAGGACAGTTAGGGACCAGATCTTATCACAGGCTGAAAGTATTTCCCATGCTGCAGGGAGAAAACAAATGGTTATTGAAAACCCAAAGTGACTGTGGCTGGCCCTGCCTCCCAGGGAGAGAGGTGTAACTCCTGCTGGGGGGGACTTAAATCTGGCCTCCTGCCCCCTACCCTTGCTGAGGAACAAAGAAGAAAATCATGGGCCTTTGGGGACCCTGGCAGTGCTGCTGTGCTGCGGAAGTGGAGGCTCACGGTTGTCAGAGCTGGGGAGAGGGGGAACGAGGGTGGAGCCTGGAGGCCACGGGGGCTGGGAATATATGGCCCTAGAAAACACCAATGAGACTTCAACTGGGGGAGAAGGAGGCAGGGCGTGTGTAAAGCAGGAAGTGGGCTAGGAGGAAAGGAGGTGCCTGAGCCAGTGGGCAAAGGTGCTGGGGTGGGAGGGGGTCCTACTCGTGGGAGGTGAAGGAGGTGGAGGGACGGCTCTCTAATGTATGACTGGGGCTATTGGTTGAGTGGGGCTGTGGTGTGAGCTTTTCTCCATCACCAGGTCAAACACTGCACAGTTGCTTGCACACAAATATTTGTGCGAACATGTTGGGGAAACAGACCTGTGTTCCAGGATGATGGGGGCCATAGGCAGCCAGTGCCGGGGATGCTGAGGTGAGGGCCCCTTCAGCAAAGGTAGGACTGAGAGGAAAACCGTAGCTACCCCCTACCTGCTCTCCTTGTCCCCTAGACTGCAGGAAGCTCAGGAGGGAGGTGGGGTCCCCCCACATGCAAATGAAGAGTTTGAGGCAAGAATTTTTGGAGCTCAGCTAACAAAGACGTTTTACCCAAAAGGGGTCAACATGCTTCGTGCTGTTCCCTAAAGAGAATTAGGACATTGGGTGAGGCCACTGGGGAGAGCGTCCTTGTCACCAGACAGAGGAGCCGATGATGGGCTGGGCCTCCATGGGATGCCATCTAACCCCCCAGGTTTTAGGCGAAGTTGACAGTCACGCACACAGATAACGGAGGGGGCACTAGAGGACAAAGAGCCAGAGATCAGCTTAATTGGCTGAAGTTTTTTAAAAGGTGGTGGGAGCAAGTTGTGGTTCATATAACTAAAAAGTCCAGAATGTTCCACATGGCTGGACTCAAATGAGCAGACAACGTCTCCAAGAACCTCTCACCATCTCTCAACTCCGCTGTGCTGGCTTCATTTCCCGGCAGATTCTACCCAAGTAGCAGCAGAAACAGCAACTCCAGCCTTCCATCCTTCTGACCCTGCACACCCAAGAAAAGAGAACTAGCCTTTCCCTGTGAACCAGCTGAGACCCCGGGACTGACTCACGGGAGACTGATTTCGTTACCGGAAAGAGGACCTTATCCGGACCCCAAGAGAGGGTTATCGGGATCTTGCTCAAGAAAGAAGTCAGGGCGAGTCCACAGAGTAAAGTGAAAGCAAGTTTATTAAGAAAGTAGACGAGTGGGCCGGGCGCAGTGGCTCAAGCCTGTAATCCCAGCATTTTGGGAAGCCGAGGCGGGCGGATCACGAGGTCAGGAGATCGAGAACATCCTGGCTAACATGGTGAAACCTCGTCTCTACTAAAAATACAAAAAATTAGCCGGGCGTGGTCACAGGCGCCTGCAGTCCCAGCTACTCGGGAGGCTGAGGCAGGAGAATTGCGTGAACCCAGGAGGTGGAGCTTGCAGTGAGCCGAGATTGCGCCACTGCACTCCAGCCTGGGTGACAGAGCGAGACTCCGTCTCAAAAAAAAAAAAGAAAGAAAGTTGAGGAATGAAATGTCTACTCCATAGACAGAGCAGCCCCAACGCCTGCTGGTTGCCCATTTTTATGGTTATTTCTTGAGGATATGCTAAACAAGGGGTGGATTATTCATGCCTCCCCTTCTTAGACCATCTAGGGTAACTTCCTGATGTTGCCATGGCATTTGTAAACTGTCTTGGTGCTGATGGGAGTGTAGCAGTGAGGATGACCAGAGGCCACTCTCATCACCATCTTGGTTTTGGTGGGTTTTTTACTGGCTTCTTCACTGCAGCCTGTTTTATCAGCAAGGTCTTTATGACCTGTATCTTGTGCCGACCTCCTGTCTCATCCTGTGACTAAGAATGCCTAACCGTCTGGGAATGCAGCCCAGTAGGTCTCAGTCTCATTTTACTCAGCTCTTATTGAAGATAGAGTTGCTCTATTTCACACATCTCTGACAATTTGACCACCTTGGAAGAAATCACTGTAACCAGGAGGATGGAAGTCACTAATGGGCCAGGACAGCTCAGGGGACCATCTCTGCACAGGTGTGTGTGTGAGGGCAGATGTCAGCCTCACGGGTGTGGGGCTTGAACTGGATGACACATGGCAAGTTTCCATCTAAGAGTCTATGACTCTATGCCTCTGAGGTGTTTGTTCCTTATGCAAGAACCCAAAAGAGAGTTGAATATACAGCAGAAATTGGGCAAATCATGGTTTGTCTGACTTTAGAAATGCATCACCAGATTTTCTGCAGTCCTTTCCTAATTACATTCTTATCAGACTTGATATTCAAATTAGTTAGGGTCCCCTGGGGTCACCTCCACCACCAGGAAAGAGCAATTACCCTGGCATATGCTGAGTGATGAGGGACCAGCTATGGGCATGGATAGTCCCTCTGTGCATCATTAAATACTGCCCTCCCTTTAAAAAATAATTTTATAAAGATGAGGCCAGAACTTTCTTGCTTTGGGCTAAATGCCATTTTAAAATTCCTGGCACACAGAACAAGCACAAAGTCCTCTTCAGAAAAGTCATGAGGGTTCAGACAGGGAAGGGCTGTACAAAGGATTCAGGCTATGCAAACAGACAACGTTTCAGAGTGGGGCTAAGGAGGGGGTCGTGATTCTGCCACTTCTACTTGACCCGAGTATGTAAATGATTCCAGTTCTGATTCCAGAGGCAAAGCTGAGAGAGACTCAGAAGTTAAGTTTATTTTAGAGGCTATCGAGCCTACTGTTCCCAGAACTGTCCTCAAGTTCATCCTACTTAACCCTAGGCAGCTTTCTCTTGGAAGGGGGTGAAGGTCTCCAGCTCCACGTTGGCCAATTACCTCTGGGGCATGAATCCTGGGCTTTGGTAAGGGCTGGACATAGAGCACAAAGGCAGAGTCTACCAGGCAAAGCGCTGCCCTAGGACCACTTTCTATTAATGTGCCATTCTGAAAAAAATACGTTCCTTATAGTCACCCTGCATGCCCACTGAAGCCCCTAAAAATTCTTAATGCCATCCTTCCATGAAAATCCTCTCCAGGTTTAAGACCTTATTGTCATTCATGGAGACTTTTGAAATGGCCTTTGGGCTGGGCGCGGTGGCTCACACCTGTAATCCCAGCACTCTGGGAGGCCAAGGTGGGTGGATCACGAGGTCAAGAGATCGAGACCATCCTGGCCAACATGGTGAAACCCCGTCTCTACTAAAAATACAAAAAATTAGCCAGGTGTGGTGGTGGGCGCCTGTAGTCCCAGCTACTCAGGAGGCTGAGGCAGGAGAATCACTTGAACCAGGGAGGTGGAGGTTGCAGTGAGCCAAGATCATGCCACTGCTCTCCAGCCTGGGCAACAGAGCAAGACTCCGTCTTAGAAAAAAGAAAGAAAGAAAGAAAGAAATGGCCTTTGAACACTCCCTTCTGCCACCCTGCCTGGATGGCTTTTGTCACCTACCCTGTCCTTTGAGCAACCTTCTAAAAGTCCACTGTGGCCATTCCCCATTCTTAATTCGTACCATTGCTCAGCCTCATCTTTTACAATTTTAAATTGAGATGAAATTCATATAATATAAATTAACCGTGTAAAAATAAACAATTCAGGGGCATTAGGTACATTCACAATGTTGTGCAGCCACCCCCTCTATCTAGGGCCAAAACATTTTCATCATCCCAAAAGCAACCCCTGTACCCATCAAGCAGTCCCTCCCCTTCCCTCCCCTCCGCTAACCCCAGGTGACCACGTGCTTTCTGTCTCTGTGCGTTTGCCTATCCTGGACGTTTCATGTAAATAGAACTATACACTATGTGGTCTTTTGTGTCTGGCTTCTTTCACTTAGCTAATGTTCTCAAAGTTTGTCTATGTTGTGGCCTGTCTCAATATGTACTTCATTCCTTTTTTAGGGTTGAATGTTATTCCCTTGTGTGTGTATAACACAATTTATTTCTCCATTCATCTGTTGATGGCTCTACTTTATACAGGACAATCTGAGCTCCTTGGCTATCTCCTTTATTTGTTTATTTATTTTTTTTACTTATTTATTTGTTTATTTTTGAGACAGAGTCTTGCTCTGTTGCCCAGGCTGGAGTGCAATGGTGCGATCTCGGCTCACTGCAGCCTCCGCCTCCCAAGTTCAAGTGATTGTTGTGCCTTAGCCTCCCTAGTAGCTGGATTACAGGCGTGCGCCACCACACTCAGCAAATTTTGTTGTATTTTTAGTAGAGACAGGGTTTCACCATTCTGGCCAGGCTGGTCTCAAACTCCTGAACTCAAGTGGTTCTCCCATCTCAGTCTCCCAAAGTGCTGGGATTACAGGTGTGAGCCACCGCGCCTGGCCAGCTTTCTTCTGATAAAGCCCTCAAGCCCCACTCAAAACTTCCACATTTTCAAACAGCCTGGGGTTGCTGTTTGGCTCCTCTCTGCCTTATTCATGCTGTCTTCTTACCCACAATCATCTAGCCACCCCCACTGATCCCTTAAAGACACCAAGATGACCCTAACCCTCCTGGTCTGAGCCAGGGGCACCTGCTCTGTGTTCCCAGTGCCCTCCGGGCATATACCTCTTCCCAGCCCAAACTGAAATTCTTGCTCAGTATCCGTGATCCAGCCTCACCCCTCTGCACCTGAGGCTGCAAGCCTTCCACCGTGGGGCTCAAGCCTGCATCCCTACTGAACCTGCATTGCCTGGTGCGTGAGGGACGCTGAGCTGAGCTGAAAATCCCACCATGGAGAGGAGTCCCCCTCGAAACAAGACTCATTCGTGTAAGGGGAATGAGTTTCGAGTTTCTGTCCTGGCTCCTTTCCTTCTGAAAGTGAGCATCACACAACTTGGACAGGGAGGGCTCAGGGGAATCTCATGACTTAAAAAATGAAATGTTTTGAAGATTTCATGATAGTCGTGCGAACTTGGGCTGTAACTTCCTTCAGAACAAAGCACTCACTTGGCCATTGAAAGGGCCTCTCTGGACGGTTTCTGCTGTCTCTGCAAAGCACTTGGGACGCAGCTTCCGTCAGCTGGGTCAGGGAGAATCCTTTGTAAGAGTCATAGAGTCGGCATCCCATGGCAAGGGCTGGTGAGAGCACGTCATTGGATAGCACCAGCAAATTGTTGTATAACACAGAATTGGACTGGCCTTTGTTCCTGGGAAGTCACCCCCAAATCCTTGGCAAGTCTTTGTTATTCACAGTGAGCCCTCAAAGTCTTTGCTAATGAGGGGACTCAGGGTTAGGACAGCCCATGCCAGAAAGACTGACCATGTGAACAGCAGGCTGAGGCCCTTCTCCATCACCTCCTGGAGAAGAAAGGGACTGGAGATCAAGTCCTATCAGTCACTCCTACATCATGAAACCCCAGTAAAACCTCTGAGCATCAGAAGCTCAGATGACTGTCCCTGGTTCGTAATCACACATCAGTCCCCCGGGAGGCTTTGCATAGTCTTGAGGACATGGAAGCTCTGAATTTGGGACCCTCCCAGACCTCCCCCTCTGTGCCTCTCCCAGTAGCTGGTTCTGATTTATATCCTTGCTAATGACACCGCAATCCTAAGTACAGCACTTTCCTGAGTTGTGTGGTTCATCATTGTGAATTGCTGAATGCCAGGAGGTCAGGGAAACTCCTGAATTTGTAGCTAGTTGGTCAGAGGTGCATGTATCCGGGGGGGCCAGAACTTGCAGCCAACATCTAAAGTGAGGGCCTTCCTGTAGGGCACAGAGCCCCCAATCCGTCATCTGCACCAACTCCAGGTGGTTAGTGTCAGAGCTGCACTGCAGATATTATGGTGGATAACCGTTTGATCATGCCGTTTATGCCATAAAGGAGCACAGAAGTGGGGTATAGACACTTTGCTTTGTGGGTATAGACACCTTGCTTTGTGCCTGTCAGCCAATGAAGTCACATATGTGAGCCTCTACAGGCAATCGGTCCTACACCGCTAGAAGTGAAGTCCTGGTCAAGTTGCTGAGACGAAGATGAAATAATGTTGGACCTTGGAGCTAGCCAACTTCCGCCAAGTCATTAGGCGGGTTCATTTGGATTCTTAGGGTCTGAAAGCAGAACCTGTGGGAACACCAACATCACCACCACACCCACAGCCACACCCATCTACACCCCCGAGCAGTTTATCAATCAAGGGGAACTTAGTGAACAGCTGCTGCTGTGCCTGGCCCTCTGCCGAGTGCTGCAGGGGGTAGGAATATGGAGAATGGGTGACCGCCCTCCTTCTGGAAACACTGACGTGCTTGCTAATCTCTGTGGTCTGTGATGGTCGCTAGGGAAGCAGAAGACCGCCTGCCTGACTGAAGTCATCAGGGAAGGTATCAGAGGCCAGGTGGGGAGTAGATGAATGAGATCAGGCAGAAGGAAGGTAATGGAAGGCCCCAGGAGGAAAGGGTCCACTTGAGGAAACCCTCAGCGTCCACTGGGGCCAATGCAGATGCCTGCTCACATGAAGTCCGGGGGCACCAGGAAACGGCTCGTGGAACAACTCTGAGGTCAGGGGTTATTCCTGTTTAACAGATGGGAAAACTGAGGTCTAGGGGTAAATGCCCAGCCTAAGAGCACTCCTCTCTTCCGGATGACATTAACCCCGGAGCCTCCTGATGGACCTGGCCATTCAAGAAGGTGCACTCTTCCTCTTTGACTCATGATACGGGGCCATCCCATCAGTCACCACGCCTGAACATCAGAACAATTTCTAGAGCAGAGCACACGAACCTTCCCTCCCTCAGCAGCACCTCCTAGACCTCAAGAGCCCTGACTGCTGAGACATGCATCCCTTCGGGGGCCTGACATCTCCTCCACTGCGATTTGAACCACCAGAGGATCAGTCAAGCTCTGGAAACGAGACCCAGGGAAAAGGAAATCTCAAATTGAACACGAGACCACAGAAGGTGTCCACATTCTCTAAAGCCCAGAAACCCAGCAGGACCCAGGAGGCTTCCTGGATTTCAGAGTGGGGTTTGCAAGCCCGCCTTATTTGGGGATAAACTGAACATCACGCTAATTCCTCATTAGCCCTTTCCAGCTGTAAGCATGGGGCTGGTGCAGGAGGGATCTCCCATTTCCCCCGATTGGGACCACAGAAAAAGGATGGAAAGTAACTTAACAAGCTTTTTGGATGTCAAATTGCTGTTACAAAACAACGTTTTTAGGAGTTAAGCAATTAATCCAAACACACATGGATTCAATTTCCTTGAAACCCAAATGGCTTAAAAAACCAAGGGAGAAAAATGCTCAGGGACAAATCCCTTCTGAGTTTGTGAACCCCAAGCCTGTGGAAAGAAAACAACAGAACTGCGGTGCTGCCCCCCTTAACACACTGGAAGCTCCCTTCTCGGTGGAGGGAGGATGGGGCAGGCGCCCAGGCCCCACAGTCACGTGGACTGGGGGCCCAGAGGACGTGGACAAGGGAAGGAAGCAATATGCTTCTCCTCTGCTCAGTGCTCTTTCTCTTCTGGTTTTCTATAAGGCAAGGGAAGAGGTTTCAAGGCAAATATTCGCTTTTCCCCTGCAACGCTTTATAACTTGGCCTTAGATACTCACTTGGAAGAAAAAGCTTTAATAGAATCCTGTTGGGGCCTTTTTATGACCTCCCCAAACAAAGGAAATCAAACACAAGACAATGTTTATATCCAACTTCTAGGGTCAAATGGGAAAGCAATCAGCTCAAAGTGCAGAAACATTGAGGGCTGCATCCTCTCTCTGGTGCCACTCACTCTGGGGCACAGATCGGGGACCCGCCAGGCTCAGCCACCCTCTGGTGTGCATCCTTGGGCAAACCACATCCCCGAAACTCCGGTCCCATCTGGAAGCTTGGGGAAGAGCAGTTGAAATAACATTGAGTTCAGAAAGCTAAATGCATGTTGTTAAATCAAGTTTAGCCTAAAGCTGCCTCCTTACATATTTTAAGTTCGGCCTAAAGGTTTTTCTGTACATCGTGAACTATCGATGTAACAAGCGGAGGCATCAACAGACTGTAGCCTGCACTTGTGCCAGTCACTGAGTTTTGGCCAATCAAAGGGGGCCGACTGAACGGTGTTCAAATAAGGCAAACACCAACCTGTAACCAATCCAGCTGTTTCTGTACCTCACTTTCGCTTTCTGTAGTCGATTTCCTCTTTCTGTCCATAAATCTTACTCCACCACGTGGCTGCCCTGGAGTCTCTGAGCCCACTCTGGCTCGGGAGGCTGCCTGATTCACGAATTGTTCATTGCTCAGTTCAACTCCTTTCAATTTAATTCGGCTGAAGTTTTTCTTTTATCAGAGTGAAAATATTATATATTTTTTAAACTTGTTAAGCACCGTGCAACTGTTTGTCCTTGTCACTTGCTGAGGGGGTGTGGCCTGAGCGCTGACAGCCCCCCAGTGATGACAGCCTTATTGTTTTATTTTTACTCTTCACAACATGGCCCCTCTTCCTTCCTCACCCCCTTCCAACTTCTTTTGCTCCTATGGAGGTTCCAGCTTCACAGTGGAGAAGAACAGGACCCACGGTCTGACTGCAGGCCTGCTGCCATGTTTTTCACAGAATTAAATCCACCAGGAACTCTCTCCTTCTCAATATCTGACCTGCCCACAGTCCTTAATCCTCTTGCAGTCCGTAACAGATCAGGAGAAGGTCAGGGGTGTTGTCTGAACCCTGGGAGGGAACCCGTTCAAAGACAGCAGAGGGGCCCCTGAGGAGCTCCCACCCCAGCATCCACCTCCCCGTGGGGCCAATGTCTGATCTCCCTACCTCCCGTTCCACTCGTGGGGCCAATGTCTGATCTCCCTCCCTCCCGTTCCACCCGTGGGGCCAGTGTCTGATCTCTCTCCCTCCCGTTCCACCCGTGGGGTCACTGTCTGATCTCCCTCGCTCCCGTTCCACCCGTGGGGCCAGTGTCTGATCTCCCTCCCTCCCGTTCCACCCGTGGGGCCAATATCTGATCTCTCTCCCTCCCGTTCCACCCGTGGGGTCACTGTCTGATCTCCCTCCCTCCCATTCCATCTGCCATGGGTGATTCCCTCACTGTGGGACAATTCTCACCAGCATGACAGCACATGCCACTTCTCCTGTCCCCAAAAACCAAACTAAACCCTTTTGCCCTGTTTTTCCCTCGAGCAATCACTCCACATCTCCCCTTTCCTTGGCAGCAAAACTTCTCAAAAGAGCTGTGCACCCTTGCCATCTCCATTCCTCTCCTCTCATTCTCTCCCAGCATCCAGCCTGGGCATGGACCCCATCACCCCATGGAAGCTCCCGTTGTGCAGGTCACCAGAAATGCCATGCCTAGGGATCACCCCCAAAGAACTGAAAACAGAGACTCGAAAGGAGACACGGCCACACATGTTCATAGCATCATTACTCACAGCAGCACAAAGCTAGAAACAGCCCAACGGCCGTCAACAGATGGATGGGTGAATGCAGTGTGGTCTATCCATACAGTGGAATGCCATTCGCCTTAAAAAGAAACAAAATCGCCAAAAGAGTAGATTGTAAGTGTTCTTACCACAGAAAAATGATAGTTTATGAGGTAATTCATGTGTTAATTTGTTCAATGTAGTCACTGCACTATGCATACATATTTCAAAACCACATTGTACAGCATAAATATATATCTATAAAATTTTGTCAATTTTTTTTAACAATTAAATTCAAATGTAGAACAAAAAGAAGTGAAGTACCAACATGTGCTACAACGTGCATGAACCTGGAAGACACGACGCTGGGTGAAAGGAGCCAGGCACAAAACACTACATTGTGTGATTCCACGGATATGAAACACTCAGATTAGGCAAACCCCTAGAGGCAGAAGGCAGATGAGGGGTTGCCGGGGGCTGAAGGCGGGGAGACGGGGAGTGACTGCTGACAGGTGTGGAGCCCCCTTTGGAGGAAGGAAAATGTTCTGGAACACAACAGTGCTGATGATCTCACGGCATTAGGAAGGTGCTTACGGCCATGGAAATGTGCGTTTAAAAATGGTTACTATGGTAAGTTTTATGTTATGTGTATTTGATAGTTAAAAGAAAAGATCACCAGTGGCCTCCACGTGGTATGTCCAGTGGTTGGTTCTCGGTAGTCATATGACTTGGTCCTTCTGCGGTGTGGATACAGCTGCCCATCTTCCCTTTCCCTTGAGAATTCTCTTCCCTTAGCCCACAGGACCCCACTTTGCCTGGATCTCCTCCTGCCCGCCTGGCTGCTCCTTCTCGGTCTCCTTCGCTGGAGCCCTAGTCTCCTCACACTCTGACCCCACGAGCCACCCGAGGCTTGGACGACTTTTTTCTGTATCCACCTTCACTCTCCCTGGGACTTCATTGAGTCTTGTGGCTTTGAATACCACATAGATGCCCACAAGTCCTATATTGGCTATCTCCAGCATGGTCTCTCCTCCGAATTCCAGACTTACACATCCCACTGTGTCCTCAGCCCCTTCACTCAGACAGACGTTGAATGAGCCTGATATACCCAAACTCAGCTTCCCACTACTCCACATCCCGAATCTTCCCATCTCAGTTGACAGCAGCTCCCGCCCTCCAACTGCCTGGACTTGCCCTTGACTCCTCCAAGACTCTTGCACCCCCCATCCACCCGCCAGCACATGCTGCCAACTCCACCTTGGAAAGTGCCCAGTGTCCAGCCGCTCCCACCTCTGCCATCTCCAACACTCTGGAGCAGCCACCATCACCTTTCACCTCCTACGAGTCTCCTTGCACCTCCCCCATCCCCATGCCCCCATAGACTGTTCTGTACTATCACAGCTAGCATTTTAACATGCGAATCAGATGTCACTCTCCGGCCTTAATGCACTTGGAGAGGAAGCCAAGGCCTCATCCAGACTTGCCTGTTCACGAAGCCTGCATCCTCCTCGGCTGCTCTGGCCTGAGCTCACCTCTCCGCGGCTGGTGCGCCAGCTCCCTGCTATCTTCCCGCAGACCAGGCGGGCTCCCACCTCTTAGCCTGTGCACTTGCTATTCCTGCTGCGTGGAATAGTCTTTTTCAAGAACACCTCTTCTTGAAGATGCTCTTGAATTCAAAGATATTTGAATTACCAGCTGGAGTTGAAGAGAGGACATGCTGGAGATAAACAGTTTGGGAGTTGTCAGCATCTACATGGTATTCAAAGCTACAAGACTCAATGAGGTCCCTTCAGGTCTGTGCTTACAGCTCCTTGGTGAGGCTCTGCTGGAAGCACATTGGACAGAGCACTCCTTCCAGCCCCGGCTCTCCGCTCTTTCTGCTTTGTTTTCTGCATGGAAACCGTCACCTTCTAAGATGCGTGCTGTCTCTGTGTTTTGCCATTCTTGTTGCTCATCCCTTCCCTCTAGAATGTCAGCTCCGTGAGAAAAGGAATTAATTTTTAAAAATTCTTTTGACTGTTATGCCTCATGTCTACAACAGTGCCCAGCCAGCAGGAGGCGCTTGCTAAACAAAGGTTGGATGAATACGGATGAATAAGTGAATATATGAATGAATGAATGAATGAATGAATGAATGAATGAATGAATGATGAATGAATGAAAACATGGCAAAGATGCCCAACTCTGCTTGTTATGAGAAATGCTTACGTGGGGAGCCTTTGTCCTGAGGGGTCCTGCAGTCTGCCCCAAGGGCTTCCCCATGGGTTGGGATATTAGAATGCGGAGTCTACTCCAGGTCTTTGGGGACCCATAGCTCCTTGGGTGCAAGTTCACATCTTACCCAGCCACCTCCTGACCTGACCAGGGGTCTATGCCAGCTCACGCCTTCTTTGTGTGACCCGGAGCAAATGACCAGCCTCCTGGGCAGGCACTGTCCACCTCTGCTGGTATCACCGTTTTTGTCCTCACTCCATAGACGGTGCCTGGGTCTCTTGTTGGGAGCATTGTTCCCAGAAAGCTAGAAGCCACTTGGCAGGAGGACTGGAAACACATAGGAATTTATGTCTCCCTTGCCCGTGACTGACAGGCTGAGTTTTACGTTCTTAGCTCCTGGGTCCCTGACTGGGACATCTCTCGGGCATGATCATCATCATCTCCAAAATTTGCCTGTGCTTGGCCTGATCCTGCACTGCGTAGCCTCCTCCTCCTGGTCTCTCTGAGTCCCTGTTCCATTGCGCAGCTTTCCAGGGCACATCTAACAAATCCCTTTCATGCAGGTCCTCCTCCCAGGGCCTGCTCCTGGGGACCTCAGCCTAAGACACACTTTCTAGTGTTGCGAGAATTAAAGTTAGATTTGGCAGCACGCACATGCCAGGCACTATGCTGTGTGCATCCACACACTGAGCCCTCACAATGCTCCCAGGGGCATCATTACACCTATTTAAAAGATAAGAAAACTGAGGCCCAAGGTCACATGATAAAGGGCAGCACCAGCATTTGAATATACACGTTTTCCTGACATGAAAGTCAGTGTCTTTCACCCCTCAGCATGCTCCCTATAAATGGCAGCAGCTATGAAATGCCACTATACTTACTAGTATACAATGTAGCAACTAGGCAGGGCAGGGTGGCTCACACCTGTAATCCCAGCACTTTGGGAGGCTCAGGCAGGCGGATCACTTGAGGTCAGGAGTTCGAGATCAGCCTAGCCAACATGGTGAAACCCTGTCTCTACTAAAAATACAAAAATTAGCGGGGCGTGGTGGTGCCTGCCTGTAGTCCCAGCTACTCAAGGAGGCTGAGGCACCAGAATCACTTGAACCTGGGAGGCGGATGTTGCCACGAGCTGAGATCATGCCACTGTACTCCAGCCTGGGCGACAGAGAGACTTGTCTACAAATAATAATAATAATAATAATAATAATAATAATAATAATGTAGCAACTATAGAAGGCCATAATACTCTTTAGCATACATTGTAGCAGGTATGAAATGCCACATACTTACTGGTATACATTGTAGCAGATATGAAACAACACATACTTACTGGGATACATTGTAGCAGGTATGAAATGCCATAATGCTAGAATATAATGTAAGAGGTATGGAATGTCACCACACTGATTAGTCTATACTGTTTTACATCAATGAAAATGTGTGTTCATGACTTTTCAGCCAAAATGGTTTTTAAATCTTCAACTCATTTCCCCTTTTTAGATTGAAAGAGACTTAAAATTGTGCCCCATCCCATCCCTGAAGAATTTACTACAGGAGAAGGCAAAGTCATCCTGCCGTATTTTTAACTGATCGCCTGCTTGTGCCTGTTTGCTGAGATTTATTCTCCCATTAATCACTGCCCTCCCTTCATTCATGTTAAATATAAAATTGATTAGGAAAGATCCCCAACATGGTTTAAAAAAATAATTAGCTGCTACATCATGTTGCCCACAGTGTGACAGAAAGGAGTGATTAAATTAGGAATATTAAAACCCCATTAATCTGCGCTTAACTTAAGCTCTGCTTGTTCATCTCATGGTGGTGCTTATTATTTCTGACACTGAAAGATATTTGAATTACCAGCTGCAACAAGGTCACTTGCTGAAAGATGTCAGGTCAGCCATTAGTCAAAGGCGGGAGAGGCGACCAGAAGTGGGGACTGCCCATGTGTCAAGGAGGCCCCCACTTGAAGATGCCATTGCGAAAGTGGGCAATGTACCGCACTCTGGCAGGGCCGGGCTGCAGGCACCCTTAGGGCTTTGCCACACACCTCCTCTCCGTCACTTCCCACTGGTCACTTGTGAGGGTAGGGACATCTGTGGTGTCCTGGGCAAGCATCTTTTGCCCCAGCCCCAGCGGAGCCTCCACCTCTTGTCTGTGGGTTCTTGAATGCATGCACTCTAATGACAGTGATTATCTAAGAATGGCAAATGTCGCCTGTTGGATGCTTGCACGTCCCCAGCACCAAACGGAGCTCCTTTGCATCTTTTATCTCCTTCATTTCATCAACAGCCCTGAAAAGTGGCCAGCTCTGGCCTCATTTAACAGGTGAGGGATCTAAGGCCCAGATCCAGACACTCGGCTAAGGTCACACAGCGGGCAACCAGCAGAAGTGGAATTCAGCCCCATCTGTTGGGCTCCAAAGGGACACCCTTGGCCACTCGGAGTCCACAGGTCTTCTTCAAGAGGACGTGGCCATGCAAAGGCACAGGGATGCTGTTTTGGGAATCAGTCCTGTGTTGCATGATTTAAAAATGAGTTCCAGGCCAGGCACGGTGTCTCATGCCTGTAATCCCAGCACTTCGGGAGGCCAAGGGGGGCAGATCATGAGATCAAGAGATTGAGCCCATCCTGCCCAACATGGTGAAACCCCGTCTCTACCAAAAATACAAAAATTAGCTGGGCATGGTGGGGCATACCTATAGTCCCAGCTACTCAGGAGGCCGAGGCAGGAGAATCTCTTGAACCCGGGAGGCAGAGGTTGCATTGAGCCGAGATTGCACCACTGCACTCCAGCCTGGACAACAGAGTGAGACTCCATCTCAAAAAAAAAAAAAATGAATTCCAACAGCAATGACAAATCAACTACTATTGCAGAGTGTGGAGCTGGGTACCAAGCGAGAATCTCCCTAGAGCCTGCCCCACCCCCACCCCTGTAGTCTGGTACCTGGGAGCTGGAGACAAGTCAGCAACAGGGATAAAAGGCTTCTCACCCCTCATTTCTCCTTAGAGTAAGAATTTGGCTAATGTCTGCTTTCAGCCATGTCTTCATCTACTTCTTCTTCCCCTTTAATGTCACTTGTGCTCTGTTACATGAATCTGAATCACACCCAAATACAGTCATGACTCTAGCCCTGGAGGGACAGGCAGGGATGGTCGCTTTCCTGATGTCAGGCCCACTTGCGCTGCCCATGCTGGTGTCCCCTCTGCTGGGTCTGGGGTGGCTGCCTGAGGTCTGCGTTCAGAGTGTGCCTGGGGCTGGGCTAGACCAAGGAGGCATCTCCCTGGAACAGCTGGAAGTGGCAACATCAAAAGGGTGAAGGTGAGCTGATCTGTGGGGAGAACGCCAGGGTCCGTGGCTCGGGATCCGCCGTCAGGTCTGAACAGAGAGTGAGCGTGCCTCATGGCGGTAGTCCATAGATCTCTCCTGAATAAATGAAGCCAGGGAAGGGCAGCTGCGATGTGAGGTCAACGCTAGTTCAGGAAGGAGAGCAGGAGATGCACAAGGCCAGGGGCTCGGAGCAGGGAGGCTGTGGGGGGCGGGGGCTTTTGCACCAAGTCCTGGCCACCGGGCCCCAAGGGGCAGGCCCCTCAGTCTCTGTCTGACCCCAGACATCTCCTCTGATGCAGACTGTGCTGTGCACTGTCCCTGCGCTCAAGCTCCTCTTCCTCATCTTCATGAGTGCTCTGTCCACACCTCCCTCGGGGCTCTGGGCTCTTTCTCCCCGGCGCCGGTAATCCCTTTCCTCCCTCTCCCTTCACAAGGAAAAGCTGTGTTGAGCATGGATAGAGACCAGCTTTCCTGGGACTTTTGGCCATCTGGTTCTCTGAGCGAGCACAACCCTGCCTCGACCTCCGTGGCTTCTCCCCACCCCTGACCACACGCTCACAGGGCCCTGTGGGCCCCACTCCTGGTACCAAGTCCCTCGGTTCCCCAGGTGCCCGGCGTGCTCAGGTGCTTGGTTGAGGTTATGGAATTGAGTCTAAGTGGGACTGGAGACCCCCTGGTTCACCCCCCTCATGCCACTGATGAGAAATGAAATCCAGTCCATCATTGACTTTGCCCTACTCGAACTGTTGGCTAGTCACTGGCTGCTTAGAAGAAATTCACACTGATTATTTAAGAGCAGAAGCATTCAGATCCCATAGAAAGAGTTTTTCTCCATAAAGGATGCCTGGGACAGCCCAGCGTTGGTTCCTGTTACACAGTGTTCTCTCCGTCGCATGCTTACCAGATGTGTCAGTGAGGGACAGGCCTGGGAGGAGATGTGTCTGGACTTGGGCACCCCTGCTTGCCCCAAATAACCACAGTCACGTGCTGGCCACAATGCCAGACAGTCCAAAAGTTGTGAGCCAAGCGGGCTGGCAGCCCCGGCCCCCACTATTCCTTCTTAAATGGCAGAGAAAGAGCTTCCCTTGACCCCCACAAGTTTTCTGCCTGTGGCAGATGTGGGGTTGTCAGTTCCCTGGTGGGGGCCCGGGTCCAGAAGCACTCAGCTGGATTACTGGAAAAACGAAGATACAAGCCTATAAAAACAGCCTGGCTCCCAGTGAATTCCTGAAGCTGGCTATTTATAGAGGTGGTTTGGAACAACCTAGGGCCTCCCCGCAGGCCTCCTCAGAACCTCCAGGGCAGCCACACAGAGGGAGCACATGACAGATGGGACAGAATGCCTACCTGGCCCACTATTTCACAGGGCACACAGTACTTCTGTGTCTGCACGTGCTCTCCAGGATGCTGTACCAGGCAGATTCAGACCTCAGGCTCCTGGAGAGCTGCCATTGCTCAGGCTGGGGCCAGGCTCTGCGATATTCTGGAAGGGCAAATTGAGTTCCCACCATCTTCAGCACAAATACTGGGGTTAGGGGAGGCACTGAGAATGGTCTGACAACAGTCGGTTTGATTTTACACCATTAACTGCATAAAACGTTCTGGAGAAAATGTATTTCATCATGAATTCTGGGCAAAGTATATTACAAGAATAAGAGAGAGATCCTTTCCATCTTTCAGGCTCTTTATGAGTGGCGGGACAGCTTCTGGGTAGGGCCCTGGGAAGGGAGACTGCTGTGGGCTCAGCACCTCCTCCATCCCTCCGCCCCCATCCTGCCCCTGGGGAGCACAAGGCTCGCCCTGCGTCCTGGCCCTGGGACTGCGCAGAGCTTGTCACATTGCAAGAATCATGAGCCAGCCAGAAGGAAAGGGCAGAGAGACACCAGCAAGCCTCAAAAAAATAACCCTGCCCTCCCCGCCTGTGGCCTGAAGTCATTGCGTTAGCCAGAACCCGGAGAATTAAAATCAATTTGATGTGTAGCTTTCTCTGGCTAATGAGCTTTGAAGAGGATTGAGAGTTTAACGCTTCCATTTTCTCAGCAAGAAGGTGATCTGGGCAGGCAGGGGCAGCCCCAGAAGGTGAGGGTTGGGATTTGAGCAGGGTAGAAAGGGTTAGCGCTGTCATTCTGAGTGGTGACCTGGGACGGGGTTGAGGGAAGGGGTGGTGTTGAGGGGAACCTTTACTTGGACAGTCCTGTGGACAGCGAGCAGGGAAGGAGGTGAGAGGCTGTGAACCCACCTCCCACTGAGCAAGCTTGGCACAGGCACCAATGCCAGCAAGGGCTTCTGGGCAGAGAAAGTTGGAGCCTGAACAGGAAGGGGTGTGAGAGAGAGTTAGGAGAGCCTGACTTTGCAAAAAACACAGCGGAAGGTTCCTGGGGAGGAAGGACAGTGGCTGGGAGCTGGCGGGAAAATCCAGTCTTGACTGGAGGGGACCAAGGGAGGCTTCAAGCTACGCCCAGCTCAGTGAGCCACCTCAGACCAGCCAGCGGGGCGAGGACAGGAGCCCGCACCTGGAGTGAGAGGCCCTGGACTCCAGCCCCCGCTCTGCCATTTACCAGCTGTGTGGCCTCAGATCCTTCCTGATGATTTTAGGCCTCACTCCCTGCATCTGTAGAATGGGGTGATGATGAGTTCATGTGAAGAGGGAGTAAGCCTGGCACACAGTAGGTGCTCAGTAAATGCTTGTGAGGCTGGACCAACCCCTTTCTTGTACTCTTTATACACTGGGAGGATTCACGAGACAACAATTGAGACAGGGTCCTGCTGCTGAGGGAGGTCAGACGCCTGGCCGGTCAAACTCAGGTGTCCTCAAGGCCCTAATACCTCTCAATTCACCTGCTTCAGGTGAGGTTGACCTCTCTGCCTTTCGGGGTTCCCCCAAAACAGAGCCTGAGACAAGGCCTTGGGTGCAGGTAGTGTAGGTGGGAGGTGACTCCAGGAAGCTGGAGTGAGGGGCAGGGCAGTGAGATCCGGGTGGGGAGAAAGCCAATGTGAGGATGTCACTGGGCTGGTGATCAGCGTGGCCAATTGCGAGGATGCCACTGGGCTGGTGATCAGCGTGGCCAATTGTGAGGATGATACTGGGCTGGTGATCAGCGTGGTCAATGGGAGGATGACACTGGGCTGGTGATCGGTGCGGGCAACAGGGGCTCAGACCCACCAGGAGCCCTCTGAAAAATCCGTGGGATCTGCCTCTGAGTTGTCCCTCCATGGGCGCAGACTATTGTCCCCCATTGGCAGACGGTTGTCCCAGGGCATGGTATCTCCCAAGCTTACCCTGCCCTTAGCTATGGAAAAAGCCCTGAGTCAGAAGACAGGAGGAAAGATGGGACCTACCCACACAGCCACACCTGAACTCACAGGGGTAAGAGGCCATGGGCCCAGAAAGTGTCTGCTGTACCTTCCCCTCAGCTGCCTGCCCGAATATGAGCCCTCCATTCAGCATGTGCTGTGATTGGCTCCAGTCTCTCCAACAGCCTGTTGGGAAAGCATAGCTGGCTTTCAGGTGGTCTTAAAGTTGGTGAGACAAAAGTGTGGAGCTTCCACCATGGAAAAACAGCTCACCTGGGAATTATGTGAACACACAGGAGACCAGCAAGAGACAGAGAGACACTGGATCCTGACCATATTGTTGGAGCACCTGGATCCAGCCATACCTGAAGCTGTTGTAGCCAATGAATTTTCCTCTTCTTTATTTGAATTTGGGATTTTGGTCACTTAGAAAAGGACTCCTGATTACTACAAGTCCCTGCCATGTGCTGGCAGTGTCTAATGCACCTTTTCACAGAGTCCCTCTGCAAGAGCTGGACAGAGCCAGGGCCAAAAGTCAGGCTTGGTCTAATTCAAAAGCTCATTATGGTTTTTTTCTCCCACCAGATCTGAGCTCAACTGAAAAGGCAGTTCATAAGAGAGCAAGGCAGCACCAGCCTGTGTCTAAGAGGGACATTCCTGAAATCCTAGCTGCCTCCTAACATCGGTAAGTGACTATAGGTGATCACTGCTTATTCAGTATTTCTGTTATTTTAATGAAACACAATGCTGATTTGAAAAGGCACAATCAAGCACAACCTTTCCTGAGGGTTAGTCTTCCTTGCTGGTGGAGACCCAGGGCCACTGCGTCTCTGACACCACTGCAGGGGGACAACACCCCAGATTCCAGCAGAGTTTGCCTCTAGGGACCAGGCTGGTGGCGTAAACCTCAAACGGGTACAGGCCACGCCATGTTGTCAGAGATCCTTTGTGCTCTAAAAAGGGAATCCTGTCCCTGTTTGGTGGGCAGTGTCGGGGGGCACCCTTCTTGGGGGGGGGGGAAGAACTTTTGCCCAGCAGGTGCAGTCCCTTAAGAAGCATAGCCTACTCTGCTCTGAGCAGTAGCAACAGAAGTGATCCCAGAGTGGGGTGAGAAACCCTAGCCAGAAGCTTCCATCAGGGCCGTCCTGAAAGGCTGGCTCATCCCAGGACTGTGCACAGCCCACCATCATCTCATATCCTCTCCCACAGAAGACACTGTCCCAATCTCCCAGCAGCCAGGGAAAACACAGAACCTATGCTAACTTCATTAAAACCATGTAAAGAAATTTTGTATATATATATATATATATATATATTTTTTTTTTTTTTTTTTTTTTTTTTTTTTTGGGAGGCCAAGGCGGGCAGATCACGAGGTCAAGAGATCAAGACCATCCTGGCCAACATGGTGAAACCCCATCTCTACTAAAAATACAAAAATTAGCCGGGCGTGGTGGCACGGGCCTGTAGTCCCAGCCACTCAGGAGACTGAGGCAAGAGAATCACTTGAACCCAGGAGGCGGAGGTTGCAGTGAGCTGAGATTGCTGCATTCCAGTCTGCGTCAGAGTGAGACTCTGTCTCAAAAAAAAAAAAAAAAAAATATATATATATATATATAGAAAGAGAGAGAGAGAGTTATAGAGGAAAAAACACAGAATGTGGGTTGAAAAGCTCCAGGCTGTGGACCCAGCAGGGTCCTCAATTTCCCTCTCAGGGCCTTGTGTTCTCATTGGTCCGGTGCAGGGGCTTCCTCTGAACAATGGGAGGGGAACCTTCAAAGCACCCTGTGTGGAATCCTCCCTGTGACCATCTGGGCCAGCACAGACAACTGCTGCCAGAGGCCATCAGATGGACCAGGCCTATGAGTTGCTCACTGCCCCTGCTCCTGGCTCAGTGCCGCTTCCGTGGGTCCCCACCTCTCCTGGAGGCAAAAGCTCGTCTTTGGTACCTTCTGCCTTCAGTCATGCCCAAGGGACTCTGTGACTCTCTCCTGTTCCCAAAATCTGCCTCAGCCCCATCCTGCCACTGGGCAGCCACATCCCCTGCAGCCCCTTCCAGGTCAGAGCCTTTGATGCCAGGATGTGCCCTCAGACAAGACTCACTTGCCTCTGACCTATGCCGCTGGGCTAGCTGCGTGGCAGGGGCCTGAGGTGCTGTCCATGGGCTGGAGCTGGAACTCCACCTGCAATCAGCAGACACCCCCAGCTGGAGGCCCCAGAGAGGCGGCGGCCAGGCCCTCTGTTTATTCCATCGCCAGGAGGGAACCCCAAGGTGCCCAGTTAACATCTGTTGACTGACTCAGCTCTGGAGGCTGCTTCAGGCTGGGGATCCTCATTGCAGTGCCCACCTTGGGGATAAAGCAGCCTCTGGCTGGGGAACAGCCAGGCAGAGAAGATCCAAGAGCCATCCTGGATGGTGCATCCTACAGAGTAGTGGCACTGCCGCCCAGAGAATCACACTCCACAGGGAATGAGAGCAACACATTCCTACCTGGGACCAGGACGCAGCTGGCCCAGGGCGCAACAAAACAGAAAGCATGGCAGGGCGGAGGAAAAGTGAGAACAGGGAGGAGTGATCCTAGCTAGCGACTCTAGGCAAGTTTGCCCCCAGCAAGTACACACCCCACCACTGCTCCAAAGCAAAAGCTATCCCACCTCGGGTGACAATCCCCGCCAGGAAGCTTTCAGGGCTCTCCGCAAAGCCCACCATCGCCCCTGATTCTTGCTCAGAGGAGAGCGTGGCCCTGCTCTCCGGGCAGGCAGGAAAAAACGGAATGGAGGCTAAATTCATAAAAATCATGCAGCGTTTTATTCTGTGGTCCCTACCAACTGCTCACCTGTGCCTTCGTTGCCTGTTACCCTGAGGCCAGGTCTGACAGCTGATGGCACCTCTCAGCTCAGGGAGGAGCAGTCAGGGCAGCTTGAGGTGTCAGTGGGGCAGAGCTCTTTAGAAACCTCACTTCTCCAGCAAGCTCAAGCCTCAGCCGGCCACGCGATGAATGCTTTTACTGTTCTCTTTGAGAAAGGAGGAGAGAAAAATGTTCAAGGCTCATGCCATTTCTGTACTTCCAAAACAAAACAAAATGCACAAATCAAAACACCTATGCCTCTGGCCTCTCTTGTAGCTGACCCAAATACTGCTGGCTTATGAGATAGCCAGGCTGAGGTCATGAGGACCACCCCAGAGAGGGCGAGAAGGATAATAAGGCACCTCCCCATCTCCATGGTGGTTCAGGCCCGTGGTTACTGCGGTGGGTCTCAGGGCTGCTGTGTCTTGGTAGGACGGCCCCTCCCTTTTCCTCTTCCATCATAGCTGCCTGCCTGTCCTTGGGAAGCATCTGATTTGCAGGTACCTGGGTTTCCCAGCCCGGCGCTTGCTGGCTGCAAGATAGTGTGATTGTCGCACTGACACTGCACAGGCTGCAAGCTGAGGGGTCGATGTGGCCCAGGAAGGGCGGGCCCTGTGCAGCTTCCCTGGCTATGGATGAAGGTGCAGGCTGCGGAAGGCACGACTGTTCCTGCAGGGAATGCGTCTCACTGGAGAAGACGAGGTAGCAGGGGAACAGTTACCACCTTCAAGCAGAGACGGAGCCTTGGCAGGGCCGCCCAGGGGAGCCGTGTCGGAATCAAATGTCCTGACAGCCTAGAGAGCCAGCCGTGGTGTGCTGGGCTGTGCATTTTAGGAGAAAGTTAGTACAGCCCAACACAGAGATGACAGACAGGGGGCTCTGCTGGCAACTCGAGCTCCTCTCCCACCAGGCACCTGGCAAAACCTTGGCCCAGTGGGATGAGAGAAGCTGTTTCTGAGTTCCTCCTGGAGCAGCCAGGGTAGCCCTGTTTGCTGGTCCCCCTCTGGGGGCCACACTGTGCCTGGGTTCACTTTGACCTGAAATGGAATGACCAATTCTTTGCATTGGGGCATGGATGGTAAGGACGCTCAATCTTGTCATCTCGAACTGCTCGAAGTGCAGACTTTTGGTGTCTGTATCAATGATAATTCTGCAACTGGGCTCTCACTGTGCCTGACGCCCCACTGCACAGCCCTGTGCAATGCTAGGAGGTAACAGGCTGGCCCCTCATAGGGCACACCGACCACAGACCCACCTCCCGCTGCCCAAGAACCCAGCTTCTCTACTTTTCATGGGTGCTCTCCTGGCATCAGTCCTGACCCACAGACACGAGCGGTTTCTACAGATGTCCTGGATTTGGGCGGTACAAGAATAACCCCCTTTTGCCTTCCACTAGTGTCTCCCCACCTTGCAAGAGGTGAGTGCTCCATGGGCATTCCTGCATCTCACCCTCCAGCTGTTCCCACCCCATCCACCAAGCACAGACTCTCCTTCCTTCCCAGCCTTGAGCCGGGCTTTTCATCCCCTCCTTCCCTGCTCAGTCCCTTTGCTGCCCTCTTTCCAGAACAACTGGCTCACTCAGGAAAGTGTTTCTGGCAGACAAGGGCATCTTAGTTACTGCAGCTGAGGTCGGAGTTCGGCTGCTGTTGCAAAGGGCCTGCAATTTCCTTTCACGTGGGGCAAGAAGGTGGTGCTCTCTGCAAAACTAACTCAAACCAAACACAGGCAATGCCTGTTTTATTATCTCCCTTAAAAAGTGGAGCAAGCAGGCCAGGTGCAGTGGCTCACGCCTGTAATCCCAGCACTTTGGGAGGCTGAGGCGGGTGGATCACCTGAGGTCAGGAGTCCAAGACCAGCCTGGCCAACATGGTGAAACCCCGTCTCTATTAAAAATATAAAAATTAGCCAGGCGTGGTGTTGCACACCTGTAATCTCAGCTACTTGGGAGACTGAGGCAGCAGAATCGCTCAAACCCGGGAGGCAGAGGTTGCAGCGAGCCGAGATTACACCACTGCACTCCAACCTGGGCAACAAGAGTGAGACTCTGTCTCAAAAAAAAAAAAAAAGTAGAGCGAGCATACCATATGGATGTAGACACAGCATAACCAGGATTGATCTCTTCTCACTTTTGCCACGTGGAACTAGGCGGAAGAGCAAAATGAGAGACATGTGGAGGCAATTGCAATAGACATGCGCTGCAGAAAAAATCACAAGAACATTGCTCTAAGCTTCAGAATAGGCAGTGAGGTAGCCACAGCCAAAAGTGTACGGAGAAGGGAGGGCTCTGGACTCACTGAGTGTGAAGCCCAGGGACCAGCAGAGCCCCAGGGAGGTGAGTATGTGTAAGCAGGGGTGGCTGGAAGTGAGCTGTGGTGGTAAGACCACTGAAACAGGATTTGGCCTGCCACGAACTGGCTGTGTGGCTTGGTTAAACCACTTACCTTCTCTGAGCACCTCATTTCCTCTGTCCATCAAGACAGCTGGATTCAACCTCCTGTTTCCTGTTTTCTTTCCAGCTCTAATGTCTTTGATTCTATGACTAGGAATTATGAAAATGAAGATACTGACAGAGAACACAATAATCCCCTACTTAAACTGCTTTAAATCTTGCTCTCATGTGTGATCTCTTAATTTGAATAATTAGGAATGTCTGTGCTCTGCTCAAAGTCTGCACTTTGAACAGTTCGAGCTGAGGAGATGATTGAGCATCCTAACTGTCCACGCCCCACTGCAAAGAATTGGTCATTTCATTTCAGGCCAAAGTGAACCCAGGCACAGCATGGACCCCAAGAGGGACCTGCAAACAGGGCCACCCCCGCCGTTCCAGAATGAACCCAGAATCAGCTCCTCTCGCCCCTCTGGGCTGAGGTTTTGCCAGGTGCCTGGTGGGAGCCACCCTGCCTGTTAATATTTGTAACTTGGGCTGTATTAATTTTTTCTTGAAATAAACATCCTGGCACTCACATGTGTGGGAATATATGGTCATAATAAAGAGCTCAACTTTTAAATAACTTGGTCTTTGTTTGCAATCTTTGGTCTAGTGCTTCCCTTTCTAGGAGTTTACCTGAACAAAGGGTCAGACATTCAAAGGTTCGTGTACAAAGATGTGTCATTTACCCTTAGTAGTGAAGGGGAAAAAAAAGGCAAAAACAAGAAATGGAATTAAAATAAATGATGGTATAGCCATTAACATGTTTTCATTTAAAAACATTGGAAAGTATTCATAGTGTAAACACACACACACACACTTGAAATGTATTGCTAATATCTGCAGTGTTCTTTTCCTCTTGGAGACTGGATTCAGGCTCAGAATCCTTCTTAACACTGTGAACAACCACTACCAATCAATTGCAGTTGGCATTCAGATGAAACCTATGAGCCACCTCAGTGTGGGGACCCTTAAGTGACAAGCACAACAGTGACATTCGGGACAGAAAAGGAAGCTAAGTGGACTCTCAGTAGCCCAGAGGCCCGGCAGAATCAGGTCCCTGAGGCTGTGATGGTTTCTCTCAGACCAAAGACCAGAATGGAGGAGGAGGGCCCAAAGGGGTTCGGGATATTCCAGTTTGGGAGGGTAAGATGGCACCAAGCATCGGGCAGAGGGCTAGGATCACAGAAGGTCAAGTGAAGGTGAGTGCCGGGTCACGACAGAGTCGTTTCCTAGGAGGAGGTTGTCAGAAATTCGGTTCCTACTGCTTCACTTGGAATGATCAGAGCAGAAAAATGCTTTTGAGACAAACTCACAAGGTTTTCGGTTTGCTTTCTTTCCCCAGATGGCAGGGTGATGGGACTGCAGTGGGAGACACAGCCCCTTGGGAATGCAGGCTCCCAAGACTGAATGGGTGATGTGTAGTTTTTCTTAGTTGTTGGAGAATTGATAGACTTTTGGAGGAAGCTGTTTTAAAAGAAATTTGCGTTAGATCTTCAGTCACCACGGGACCACTGCAGTAACTAAGGGTGCTACCTGAGGGTCTCCGGGTTGGCAGACAGAGGAGCCAGTGGTCCCTCTTGACATCCCAAGGGAAAGACCGAGAAGTGTGACTTGTCTCCTCAGAGTAGGGAGATTAAGAGGCTGAACCATGGAGATTTCTGGGCCACCCAGGGGGCGGACAGAGGTAATCCTGCTGCCAGGGGACACTTGGGCCCCTCACCTGCCCCTGACATGAAGGCCTAACTGCTCTCAGAGGCCATCTGTCTCCTCCCCCAGCACCCTCCACCACCCTTGGGAGGCTGTTTGCTCCAAGGACTACATTTCCTAGATTAGGTCCTTTATTAACCCTAGGCTGGCAGGGGGGAAAATGGGCAGAGACGAGGGTCTTCTTGGCGTCTTCATTTCTTCTCCCCCGCCCAACTCCATAAATCCACTCCACGTCGATGATATTTGCAGAGTATATTTTCACGGGTCTCCATAATCCCTTCAGAATATTAAGGCTGCCTTACTTTATCTTTGGTTACATTAACTTCAATTTTCCTTATGAGTGAGTATTTGGCTAAAAATTAATATAGTGAAGTTGAAAAGAATCTTATGATAGGAAAAAGACTAATTTCATCTCTGGCTGCTCAGATCCTGGAGTACACTGGGGTTAATGTAATTAACTTACAATTTGAGCCCGGGTTGTGTACATACACTGAATCTCCCCGCTGGAAACGAGATTAGATTTTATTACTCTATATATCCTGGTTGTCTTCACCGCGCCTCCGATATTACTTCCCACAATGACTTCAAGGTTTTGTGCTGCCATGAAAACGCAGAACCATCTGGTACTGAGCCCAGGCAGTTTATTTAAGGATTTAATTAAATGCTCTAAATGGAGAGCTTCTCTGAATTAACATTTTAAATGTGACTTATTGCAGGTTTAATATTGTCTTAATGCCAACCTGGGAAACTCCATCGCCAAGTTGTTGACGTTCAAATTGAATTGATTTGGGTGGCTCCAGGGGGACCCATTAATTAATCTAAACAACTAATGGGGATTGGTTCTGACTTTTGATGAAGATTATTTACTGAGACAATTTGCAATGAATAAAGAGTCACAGTAGGCAAATGCTTAATTGAATTCAAAAAAGTCTCATTGTGTTTAATATCAGGGATGCATCGTGTGAGTAAGCTTTGAAATACCATGAAAGGGGCGATTGCTTCAATCTTCTTAGCTGTGCACTAATAACAAAGCAAATGGGTAATTACATTTTCCTGGGTAATTTGCTGCTTGCAAAAGGACAACAGGTCTGGCTGGCTAATCGCTTCCTCGGAAAGAAATTTCTAAAAGCACAAACTTTGCCCTTGGATGGCTTGTGGACCCACTGGCTGCCCAAAGGCAAGAGGATCACAGGTCCCGGTCACAGAAACCCCGTGCCACCTGCTGCTCCCTATCCACTCCCCACCCATCAGGAACTTGCCTGCCTGGGAAAGCCCTTCTCCCACCCCCACCCCTCTCCCCAACTCCCACCCCACCTCCACTTCCCTGTTGCTTTGATTCCAGTTAAATGAAGTGAGGAAGAGTGTGCCTGTTCACCCATCCTTCGGTTTTTACCTTCTGGATCAATGCATGTCAGACCTTCACTTCCAGGAAAATGGAAGGTCTAGAGTAAAAACCTCTTTACAGAATAAAAGCAGCCTAGGCAGGGGCTGGGGGCCTCCCCCCTCTGCCCTTTCCAGCCCCACTCCTGCCCTGTGACATCCTGGCCTCCACAACTGCTACTGCCTCCAACCTGTCTCTCCTTCAAGGTCCAAGGCAGCCCCCAGCAGCCTGCAGTGTCCCCAGATCACCACAGCTCCCTGTGCCCCCTCCCGTGCTGATCATGGGGCTTTACCTGGCTTCTCAAAGTGTGGCTCAGGATCAGTGGCATGAACATCACCTGGGCAAACCGGAAATGCAGGTTGTTGGGCCACACCCCAATCCAGCAAATCAGAACCTACATTTTGACAGGACTCCCAGGTGACCCGTGCGCACGTCAGCTTCAGATGCGCCAATCCGGGGCACTTTTTCCACGGCAGTCATTGAAGGAGCTTTCTTTCTTTCCCACTCACTCGCATGCCAAATCCTCCGGAGCAGCGCTCAGGGCTTCACTTCCCTCATACCTGCAGTAGCACTTGAGACTGGAAAAAGCTAATTAAAAGGGCTGAAGTGACTTAATGATTTCTCTCCAATCCTCTCCTCTACCTGGCTAGGTAGGGGTCTTGGGAGTTGACGATATTGCACTGACTGAGTACGACAGAAGCCTAATCTCACCAAGGGCAGGATGCACCTGCTTCCTAGGGGGACCCTCTCAGCGCCCAGGGCATGGGGAATGCTCAGTAAATATGTATGGAATTGACTTAGCCAGTCATTACCGTGGGCTGGTCCTTCATGTCCACATCTGGATGCATGAAAACAGTTCCTGTAGACACAGTTCTAGATAGTGACTGTCCTCCAGAGGGAGGACTTGGACCCTCCGGAAAGGTCCCTCACCTCTGTGTCCTGCCACCCAGATCTTCCAAATGCAGATTTGTTCATGTTTTCATGGGAAGTACATCTAGTATCTGATTTTGTAAAGCCTGGACTAATGTGATATTTACCAGACAAATTAATGATGAAAAGGCGATCCGTGTGGCAGAAGGTTTTGTGTTATAAAATGGCTCATCCCACAGAGGAAGCTCCCTAGCGCACTTACATTTTGTTTCAGGCCACTAGTGACTTACTGAGAGTTGAAGAGGTATGGAGTAATAAAAACAAAACTAAAGTTTTAAAAAGCCAAGCTGATCGTGGCAAAGCCGAGCGCAGTGGTTCACCCCTGTAATCCCAGCACTCTGGGAGGCCGAGGTAGGTGGATCACAAGGTCAGGAGATCAAGACCATCCTGGCTAACACGGTGAAACCCTGTCTCTACTAAAAAATACATTAAAAAATTAGCCAGGCATGGTGGCGGGCACCTGTAGTCCCAGCTACTTGGGAGGCTGAGGCAGGAGAATGGCGTGAACTCGGGAGGCGGAGCTTGCAGTGAGCCGAGATCGTGCCACTGCACTCCAGCCTGGGCGACACAGCGAGACTCTGTCTCAAAAAAAAAAAAAAAAAAAAAAAACAAGGAAACAATCAGCAGAGCGAAAAACCCACAGAGGGAGAGAAGGTGGGACCCTGCACTCCAGGTGTCTGGCGCCTCCTCCCTGAGCAGGCTGGGTCCCTCTTCACGTAGCCAGCACAGCTTGGGAAGCAACTGATACCGGCAAACCCTGCATCTGGCAAGGGATTAACATAAAAAGTATGTAAGGACCCAAACTATTCAATAGTAAGAAAACTAATAACCCAATTAAAAAATGGGCAAAGCACCTGAATAGACATTTCTCCAAAGAAGAAGTACAAATGACCAACACGTATATGAAAAAATGCTCAACATCACGAATCATCAGGGAAATGCAAATTAAAATTACAATGAGACGTCACCTCACACCTGTTAGAATCACTATTATGAAGAAGACAAAAGATAACAGGTGTTGTTGAGGATGTGGAAGAAGGAAGCCCTGGCACACTGTTGATGGGAATGTAAATTAGTATAGCCATTTTGGAAACCAGTAGGAGGTTCCTCAAAAAATTAAAAATAGAACTCCATATGATCCAGCAATCCCACTACTGGGTACATACCCAAAGGAAATAAACTTAGTATGTCGAAGAGATATTTGCACTCCCATGTTTATTATAGCACTATTCACAGTAGCCAAAATATGGAATCAACTTGTGTCCATCAACGGATGAGTGAATTTTTTTAAATGTGGTATATATACACAATGGAATATTATTAAGCCTGTTGTATTCTTGAAAATTGCCAAGAGAGTACTTTTTAAGTCTTCTCACGAAAAAAATAAGTATATGAGTAATGCATATGTTAAGTAGCTCAATTTAGACATTCTTTAATGTATACATACTTAAGAACATGTTGTACATGATAAGTGTATATACTTTTCATTGTCAATTGAAAAATAAATTTTAAAAGGCAATCTATGAGGCTGGGAGCAGTGGCTCACACCTGTAATCCCAGCACTTTGAGAGGCCAAGGTGGGTGGATCACCTGAAGTCAGGAGTTCGAGACCAGCCTGGCCAGCATGGTGAAACCCTGTCTCTACTAAAAATACAAAAAAATTAGTCAGGCGTGGTGGTGTGCAACTGTAATCCCAGCTACTCAGGAGGCTCAGTTAGGAGAATTGCTTGAACCCAGGAGGCGGAAGTTGCAGTGAGCCAAGATCGTGCCACTGCACTCCAGCCTGGGCGACAGAGTGAGACTCCATCTCAAAAAATAAATAAATAAAAAATAAAAGGCAACCTATGGAATGAGAGAAGATTTTTTTTTTTTTTTTTTTGAGATGGCGTCTCACTCTGTCACCCCGGCTGGAGTGCAGTGGCACAATCTCGGCTCACTGCAACCTTCGCCTCCTGGATTCAAGCGATTCTCCTGCCTCAGGCTCCCAAGTAGCTGGAATAACAGAGGTGCCCGCCACCACGCCTGGCTAATTTTCTTATTTTTAGTAGAGGCAGGGTTTCACCATGTTGGCCAGGCTGGTCTCAAACTCCTGACCTCAGGTGATCCACCTGCCTCGGCCTCCCAAAGTGCTGGGATTATAGGCGTGAGCCACCACGCCCAGACAGAAGATATTTTCAAACCACATATCTGATAAGGGGTTAATATCCATAATAATACAAGGAACTCCTACAACTCAGTAGCAAAAAACAAATAACCCAATTTTAAAAAGAGGAAAAGAACTTGAACAGGCATTTCTTCAAAGAATATGTACAAATGGCCAACAGGAACATCAAAAGATGCTCGACATTGCTAATCACGTAGACAAAACAACAGTGAAATACCACCTCACATCTGTTAGAGCAGCCATTTTAAAAATAATAATAATGTGTGTTGATGAGGATGTGAAGAGATTGGCACACTTGTGCACGATTGGTGGGAATGTGAAATGGTGCAGCTGCTGTGGAAGACAGTCTGGAGGCTCCTCGAAAAATTAAAGATAGAATTACCATAGGATCCAGCAATCCCACTTCTGGGTATTCATTCAAAGGAACCAAAATCAGGACCTTGAAGAGATATTTGCACTTCTGTGTTCATTGCAGTGCTATTCACAACAGCAGGCCAGGCGCAGTGGCTCATGCCTGTAATCCCAGCACTTTGGGAGGCTGAGGTGGGTGGATCACCTGAAGTCAGGAGTTCGGGACCAGCCTGACCAACATGGCAAAACCCCATTTCTACTAAAAATGCAAAAATTAGCTGGGTGTGGTGGTGCATGACTATAGTCCCAACTACTCAGGAGGCTGAAGCAGGAGAATCGCTTGAACCTGGGAGGTGGAGGTTGCAGTGAGCCAAGATCGTGCCTGGCCAACAGAGTGAGACTCCATCTCAAAAAAAAAAAAAAAGCATTATTCACAATAGCCAAGATGTGGAAGTAAACTGACTGCCCATTTACTGATGAATGGATAAAATAAATATGGTAAATATAATGGAATATCATTCATCCTTTAAAAAGAAGGAAGTCCTGCCATATGCAACAACACACATGAACCTGGAAGACATAATGGTAAGTAAAATAAGCCAGACACAGAGGAAAAGCAATGCATGATTCCATTCATATGAGGTATCTAAGAGTCAGACTCATATAAACAGAGGGTAGAATGGTTAGTTGCCTGTAGCTAGGGAGAGGAAAGTGGGGAACAGCTGTTCAGTGTGTATAAAGTTTCAGTTGCACAAGATGAAAAGTTCTAGAGGTCTGCTGTACACCATTGTGCTTATACTTACCAATAATATACTACACACCTAAAAATGTGGTAAGAGGGTGCTATGGTCTGAATGTTTGTGTCTCCCTAAAATTCATATGTTGAAATTTAATCCCCAGGTGATAGTTTTAAGAGGTAGGGCCTTTGGGAGATGATTAGATTGTGAGGGGTCTGCCATCATGGATGGGATTAGGGGCCCTTATAAAAGATCCCTGATGCCAAGATACAACAACAAAGAAATCACGATATCCCTAACGAACATAGACACAAAAATCCTCAACAAAATATTAGCAAACTGGATCCAGCAGCACATCAAAAAGATAATCCACCAAGTTCAAATGGGCTTGCTTCCAGGGATGCAAGGATGGTTCAATATATGAAAATCAATAAATGTGATTGACCACATAAACAGAATTTAAAACAAAAATCATATGATCATCTCAATAGATGCAGAAAAAAAGCACTCAATAAAATCTAACATCCCTTAATGATAAAAACCCTCAAAAAACTAGGCATCAAAGGTACATACCTCAAAACAATAAGAGTCATTTATGACAAACCCACAGCCAATATCATACTGAATAGGCAAAGGTTGGAAGTATTCCCCCTAAGAACTGAAACAAGACAAGGATGTCCACTCTCACCACTCCTATTCAACGTAGTACTGGAAGTCCTAGCCAGAGCAATCAGGCAAGAGAAAGAAATAAAAGGCATCCAAATTGGAAAAGAGGAAGTCAAATTATCTTTCTTCACTGATGATATAATTCTATAACTAGAAAACTCAAAGATTCCACCAAAAGACTCCTAAACTTTAATAAATGATCAGTAAAGTTTCAGGATACAAAACCAATATACAAAAATCAGTAGCATGTCTATACCCCAATAATGCTCAAGTTGAGAAACAAATGAAGAATGTAGTTCCATTTATAATAGTCATACACACACAAATACCTAGGAATACATCTAACCAAGTAGGTGAAAAATGTCCACAAGGAGGACTACCAAACACTGCTGAAATAAATCATAGATGACACAAACAAATAGAAAAACATTCCATGCTCATTGATTGGAAGAATTGATATCATTAAAATGTCCATACTGACCAAAGCAAGCTACAGATTCAATGCAATTCTTATAAAATTACCAAGGTCATTCTTCACAGAATTAGAAAAAACTATTCTAAAATTCATATGGAACCGAAAAAGAGCCCAAATAGCCAAAGCAATCCTAAGCAAAAGGAACAAGGGAGGAGGCTCACATTACCTGACTTCAAACTACACTACAAGGCTACAGTAGTTTGGTGCTGGTACAAAAATGGACATATAGACTAATGGAACAGAATAGAGAACCAAGAAATAAAGCTGCATAACTACAACCAACTGATCTTTGACAAAGTCAACAAAAATTAATAATGGGGAAAAGACATCCTATTCAATAAATGGTATTGGGAAAACTAGCCAGCCATATGCAGAAGAATGAAACTTGACCCCTACCTCTCACCATATACAAAAATGAACTCAAGATGGATTAAAGACTTAAATGTAAGACCTCAACCTATAAAAATCCTAGAAGAAAACCTAGGAAATACTTTTCTGGACATTGGCCTAGGCAAACAATTTATGACTAAATCCTTAAAAGCAAACACAACAAAACCAAAAATTGACAATTGGGACGTAATTAAACTAAGGAGCTTCTGTGCAGCAATATAAATTATCAACAGAATAAACAGACAACTTACAGAATGGGAGAAAAATTTGCAAAATATGCATCTGACGCAGGATTCATGTCCATAATCTATAAGGAGCTTAAGCAAATCAAGAAGAAAAAAAGAAACAACTCCAT
The DNA here is from genome assembly GCF_000001405.40 of Homo sapiens. Classification (NCBI taxonomy): domain Eukaryota; kingdom Metazoa; phylum Chordata; class Mammalia; order Primates; family Hominidae; genus Homo; species Homo sapiens. The sequence continues at coordinate 77,585,833 of NC_000017.11, read as the reverse complement.
TAAAAAGTGGGCAAAGGACACACAGTGTCTTTTGAGACACTGCTCAAAAGAAAACATATAAGCGGCCAAAAACGTATTTTTTAAATGCTCAACATCACTAATCGTCAGAGAAATGCAAATCAAAACCACAATGAGATACCATCTCATACCAGTCAGAATGGGTACTATTAAAAGGTCAAAAAATAACAAATGTTGGCAAGGTTGCAGCAAAAAGGGAATGCAAATATGCAATTGATGGGATTGTAAATTAGTTCAGCCCCTGTGGAAAGCAGGTTGGAGATTTCTCAAAGAACTAAAAGTAGAATTATCATTCAACCCGCAATCCCATTACTGGGTATATACCCAAAGGAAGACAAATCATTCTACTGAAACGACACCTGCACTGACATGTTTTTCCCGGCACTATTCGCAATAGCAAAGACATAGAATCAACCAAGGTGCCCATCAATGGGGGATTAGATAAAGAAACGTGGTACATATACACCATGGAATACTATGCAGCCATGAAAAGAATGAAATTATGTCCTTCACAGCAACATGGATGCAGCTGGAGGCCACTATCCTAAGTGAATTAATGCAGAAACAGAAAACCAAATGCCACGTATTCTTACTTATAAACAGGAGTTAAACAATGAGTACAAATGGACATAAATATGGAAATAATAGACACTGGGGATTCCAAAAGGAGGTGGGATAAGGACTGAAAAACTATCTATTGTGTACAACATTCACTATTTGGGTGATAGTTTCAACGGAAGCCAAACATCAGCATCATGCAATATATCCATGTAAGGAACCTGCACATGGAACCCCGATCTAAAATAAATTTTTAAAAATTAAAAAATAATAAAAGAGGCCGGGTGCAGTGGCTCACGCCTGTAATCCCAGCACTTTGGGAGGCGGAGGCAGGTGGATCACCTGAGGTCAGGAGTTCGAGACCAGCCTGACCAATATGCTGAAACCCCATCTCTATTAAAAATACAAAAATTAGCTGGGTGTGGTGGCGAGCGCCTGTAGTCCCAACTACTCGGGAGACTGAGACAGGAGAATTGATTGAACCCAGGAGGCGGAGGTGGCAGTGAGCCGAGATTGCGCCACTGCACTCCAGCCTGGGCGACAGAGCGAGACTCCATCTCAATAATAATAATAATAATAATAATAATAAAAGAGGCCCGAGGGAGCTTGTTCACTCCTGTCACATGAGTACACAAAAGTTGACATCCATGAGGAGCGAGCCCTCACCAGACACAGAATCTGATGGCAACTTGATCGTGGACTTTCCAGCTTCCAGAGCTGTAAGCAAGAAATTTCTGTTGCTTATAAATTATCCAGTCTAAGGCATTTTGTTATAGCAGCCTAAGTAGACAGACAGAGGTTTAAAAAAAGCCAGTGATCATAGAATCGTACAATGTTAATTTCTTAGTTTTAATAAAGGTGCTGTGGTTATTATAAGATGCTGACATTAGGAGAAGCTGGGTGAAGGGTATGGGCCGACTTCTCAGTTCTGGCACTATTGCCACGTTGGGCTAGATCATTCGTTGTTGTGGGGCCATCCTGTGTGCCATAGGACGTTCAGCAGCCTCCCTGTCCTCTACTACCCCCAAGATGCCAGGAAGAACCGCACCCCATCCCAGGATGGGACAACCAAGAGTGTCTCCAGACATTGCCAAATTGACGTTGCTCCTAGTTGAGAATCAGGAACTCTCTGCATCATCTTTGCATTATAGATAGATCTAAAATTATTTCAAAATAGAAAGTTTATACCAAAAAAGATCAACCGAAGTTAAAGCATCTCAGAAACAATGATGTCTTACAAGTCGATGGGGAAATCATTCCAAAGATCAACATTTTATTGACACACAGGTTCCAAATATTACCACTCCTGGATTCCCATTCATCCCACCCTGCCTGCTGGGGCACTTTTGCTTGTTCATGTCTGAATACCCCAACCCCCACCAGGCAGAATTGTCCATCCTCCTCTGCCTGTTCTGCTTCAGTTACCTAAGGTGCGAAACGGATTTCGAAAGTGAGGTGCACCTAGATGAATGATGTGGCTGTCCCAGGCACTAATTGCCTGTCTAAATTACCTTTTTCTTTTTTTTTTTTTTTTTTTTTTTGAGACAGAGTCTTGCTCTGTCGCCCAGGCTGGAGCGCAGTGGTGCGATCTCGGCTCACTAAAATCTCCCGGGTTCAAGTGATTCTCCTGCCGCAGCCTCCCAAGTAGCTGAGATTACAGGTGCATGCCACCACGCCCAGCTAATGTTTGCGTTTTTAGTAGAGACAGGGTTTTGCCATGTTGGCCAGGCTGGTCTCAAACTCCTGGCCTCAAGTGATCTGCCTGCCTCGGCCTCCCAAAGTACTGGGATTACGAGCCCTCGGCCTCCCAAAGTACTGGGATTACAAGCATGAGCCACCGCGCCCGGCCTAAATTACCTTTTAATCGTTGGTAATATTGTGCATTTGTTGCTCTCATAACTTTGATGAATGTTTAATCAAAGTTTAATTCTTTAACCCAGTGACTCTGCATCCGAGAGTATTCCCCCATGATACACCAGCACAACTGCAGAGAGAGACGTGCAGAGCTGTGCAATGCAGCAGCACTTCTAACAGTTACTATTAAAAAAAAAAAAACTAAATAAATAAATCAGGTCTGACCCATAAACTGGAATGCTGTGTCTATTACAATACAATTGAAATCAATCTACAGCTAAATGAAATTATCCAAGATCTATTATAGAGTGAAAAAAAAGGATTAAAACTGTAGATGTAGTATGATCCTAATTGTGCAAAAAAAATATATACAGATATTTGTTATGTATCCATACACAACTTCTGGAAGGATATTCAGGGTATTCAGGAATCTGTTACTTATGGTTGTCTGAGGAATGAGACTGAGAAGTGCAGAGGGTTGAAGAAGGTGGGGGTGTCACTTACTCTTAAGCCAACACCCTTCTGTATCTTTCTATTTATCAGGACGTAAACTAGCTTCTGTTCAGTAGACAGTGATTTCTTTCTGGCCATTAGCCTGTTGAAATCCAGACAGACCAGACTCTACGAAAAATAAATTCCGAATTAATAATATAAATAAATTGAATTGAAGGTAATAGTTCCACCCACAGGATGAGCTACAGTTTCCCTCACTGCACAGAGGGCTCATCACACATTCTCTTGAAATAATCAGGTTTTCAAACCCTTTAAAAACCAGATCCAAGTTTTTTTTTTGTTTTTGTTTTTTTTCAAGACGGAGTCTTGCTTTGTCACCCAGGCTGGAGTGCAGTAGCGTAATCTCGGTTCACTGCAAACTCCATCTCCCAGGTTCAAGCAATTCTCCTGCCTTAGCCTCCCAAGTAGTGAGATTATAGGCACGCACCACCATGTCCAGCTAATTTTTGTATTTTTAGTAGAGATGGAGTTTCACCATGTTGGCCAGGCTGGTCTCGAACTCCTGACCTCAGGTGATCCACCCACCTCAGCCTCCCAAAGTGCTGGGATTACAGGCATGAGCCACCGTGCCTGGCCTGAATCCAGGTTTTTAAAATGCAATGTATATATACCTTAATTAAATATAGAAATAATAACACAAATAGAAGCCTTGTGATTAGAGAATGTCTGAGGTGCATCACAGAAAGTTGGGCCAGCAGACTCCACGGGGATGCTTTTTGGAGAAGCACATGTGTGGGACCCCCCCCACCCCCACCCAGAAGCCCCCTCTCTTCCCACCCATACGGCATGCCTCTCCTAAAAGCCAGCAGGGCCGAGGGGAGCAGCCGGGAAGAATGGCATCTGTCTGCTTGAGAGCTATTGGGGACTCAAGGGACATGCCACTCATCAGGGCCTGTCCACCCTCTCCCCAACATGCCTGTCAGTGACATCTCTCTAGTTTAGGAGGGATGTGGCAAGCCTTTTTAGTAGGACTTTTGTGTACAAAAATTAAGAGAGTAGAAAATTACTTGCATTGGTTATATTAGATATATCATCTATAATATATTCATTTAAACCAAGTGAGTAGCCAAGAGGATACAGAGAAGGACACTAGCTAAAAATACTGAGCATAGGCTGGGAGCTGTGACTGTGTCAATGCAAAAAAAAAAAAAATCACGTATCCAGGCCAGACACAGTGACTCATGCCCATAATCCCAACACTTTAAGAGGCTGAGGCAGGAGCATTGCTTGAGGCCAGGCATTCACAACCAGCCTGGGCAACATAGTGAAGCCTTGTCTCTACAGAAAAATTAGCTGGGCATAGTGGTGCAAAAAAATTAGCTGGGCATGGTGGTGCATGCCTCCAGCCACTCAGGAGGCTGACACAGGTAGATCGCTTGAGCCTGGGGGTTTGAGGCTGCACTGAGCCATGATTGTGCCACTGCACTCCAGCTTGAGCCTGGGTGACACAGTGAGACCCTGTCTCTAATAATAATAATAATAATAATAATAATAATAATAATAATGCTTCCTAACTACCAGGGTCACCAACTTAGCACTGAAGACCCTGCATCTGGGGGATCCTCTTAGTCCTGAGCAAACCAAGACTGTTGTTCACCTTACACTATTAAGAAACATGAATGCACCAAAGCATAAGGCCAAGGGGCTGAGAAGACAGCCAGAGAGGACCGGCCTTTAATGAGGGCCCAGAGGCTGACAGGGGTCTGGCCACCACTTCGTGTGTGTCCTCCCACACCCAACTGGGGCACAAACCTTTGCATAAACACCCCATGAGGAAGAGCCTCTGCAGCTGCCACCTCCTCACAATCCCAAGTGCTCCCATCCCCTGCAGCTTTCATGGGGCCTGAGGATGAGCAAGTTGAGGAGCCAGGATGCAGGGAGCAGTGTGGAGGGGATTTCCCTTTTTCTCTCTGGCTCTTTCTCGATGGTATTGGGCAAGCAGGAGGTGGGAAGAGCAGGAATTAACAAACTTTTGCAGAAGCCACAGCCTCAGCCTTGGTCTGTGATTCCTAGCACATCTTGGATAAAATAGTCTATCAAAGAGAAAACCAGCACAGAACCACAAATAGGCTGTGGATATGGCTCCAGTGACCACAGTCAGAGCAGGAGCAGGTGGCAGGCTACCTGCACTCCAGAGCAGCCGGAGGCTCGGACGGTTCCACGCAATCCACCTGGTTCTGAGTGTTGTCATCAAGTGGAAAGGGGTGGGAGAAAATCCTACTTGAATACAGCAGAACCACATGGAAAAACTCAACTAGACCCCAGGACCCTGCCAAGAACGGCTGCCCCACTGCAGACCCAAGAAAGGGAGGCCAGTAGGGTTTTGTTTTTGTTTGTTTTTCTTTTTCAGCAAATAGACATGATGGTAAATGTCAGTTGGCTCTGGAAATTTCTTTCCTCCTGCAAGAATGAATAAAAAGACAAGGAAGGCCAGGTGCGGTGCCTCACACCTGTAATCCCAGCACTTTGGGAGGCCGAGCTGAGTGGATCACGAGGTCAGGAGTTCAAGACCAGCCTGGCCAACATGTCAAAATCCCGTCTCTACTAAAAATACAAAAATTAGCAGGGTGTGGTGGCACATGCCTGCAATCCCAGCTACTCGGGAGACCGAGGCAGGAGAATCGCTTGAACCTGGGAGGCGAAGGTTGCAGCAAGCTGAGATTGCACCACTGCACTCCAGCCTGGGTAAAAGAGCGAAACTCTGGCTCAAAAAATGAAAAAAAAAAAAAGAAAGAAAAGAAAAAAGACAAGAGAAGAAAAACAATAAGCCCACGGTAAAAAGGTGACACAGGACAAGGAAAAAGGAACAGAATTTTGCAGACTTGGAGGAAGCACAGATTCTATACGAGCTCTGGGGAAATTTTAGGAAGTTGTTTGACGTGCTCCACATGAGATGCAAAAAACATGGTCTCTGTGAAAGAGAAATCAAACAAAGCCAAAAAGCAGCAGAAAGGCCAAAGGAGTTCCGACTCTTGTGGCACTCACGGTTCTGAGAAAAGAGAAATTGTGCAGGTTGACGTCATCCTAGAAAGTGTGGAGAAGGAAGTGGAACTGGTTTGGAGCATACATTTGATATCAGCCGTGAATAGGCATTTTAAGTGCAGAAAGCAGTATGAGAGGCTGGGATCCTCACTGAAGTGGAGCCTGCTGCAGGGTTTCTGGGGGTGGATGTGGCAGGTGGTCATGGGAAGCACCTGCAGGGGAGGGGGTAAGTGGGGCAGGGAAGGTGAAGCAACCTCAAAAGGGTGAGGTAGCAACATGTCTCCTCCGAGAGAGAGCGGAGCTTAATCCCACTGCAGAACTCTGGAAAATGGCATCCTTGCCATGCGCCTCAGAATTATCTCACCAGAAGAGCAAGAAAGATGAGGTCTTTATTCACTTACTCCCACAAGTCACTGGATAAGGGCTGCTCCCTGGAGGTGCTAATTCCTTGGGGCTTCCTAACTCCTGCTGTCCACAGGCCAAGAGAACCTCATGGGAACAGAGCGTCTCAGGCAAAGAGCCTTGGTGCAGCCGTGGAAAAGACAGGCCAGAGCTGAGGACCACAGGGGTACGCCAGGGCAGGGGCAATGTATCTTTCAACAAGGGTAGGAGGAGTGACCAGAAGAAGCATGGGCAGGGCCGGGAACATGAGCTCGACTGAGAAGATGGTCCTGGGGGTGGTGGGATATAAGGGTGAGTCCATAGATCGGAATGGTGTTTGTAAAAACTCAGCCTTAGCCGGGTGCGGTGATTCACGCCTGTAATCCCAGAGCTATGGGAGGCCAAGGTGGGCAGATCACCTGAGGTCAGGAGTTCGAGACCACCCTGGGCAATATGGTGAAACCCCATTTCTACTAAAATACAAAATTAGAGGCCGGGCACAGTGGCTCACACCTGTAATCCCAGCAATTTGGGAGGCCAAGGCGGGTGGATCACGAGGTCAGGAAATCGAGACCATCCTGGCAAACACGGTGAAACCCCATCTCTACTAAAAATACAAAAAATTAGCCAGGCATGGTGGTGAAAGCCTGTAGTCCCAGCTACTCGGGAGGCTGAGGCAGGAGAATGGTGTGAACCCAGGAGGCGCAGTTTGCAGTGAGCCGAGATGGCACCACTGCACTCCAGCCTGGGAGACAGCGAGACTCCGTCTCAAAATAAATAAATAAATAAATAAATAAATAAAAATAAAATAAAATACAAAATTAGCTGGGTATGGTGGCGCACATCTGTAGTCCCAGCAACTCGGGAGGCTGAGGCATGAGAATCACTTGAGCCAGAGAGGCAGAGGTTGCAGAGAGCCAAGATCATGCCACTGCACTGCAGCCTGGGTGACAGAGCGAGACTCCATCTCGGAAAAAAATAAAAATAAAAATAAAAACTCTGCCTGGGCCAGGCACAGTGACTCACACCTGTAATCTCAACACTTTGAGAGGCCAAAGCAGGAAGATCCGTTGAGACCAGAAATTTGAGACCAGCCTGGGCAATGTAGGGCGACCCTATCTCTACAAAAACATTAAAAAAAATTAGCCAGGCATGGTGGGTCACACCTCTAGTCCTAGCTACTCAGGAGGCGGAGGTGGGAGGATAGCTTAAGCCCGAGAAGTGGAGGCTGCAATGAGCCATAATTGCCCCACTGTACTCCAGCCTTGGGACAAAGTGAGACGCTGCCTCAAAAAATAAATAGATAAATAAATAAGTAAAAGCCTGCCTAGGAAGTTTGGACTTGATATCCAGGAACTGGGATTCATTGCACAGCTTCAAACAGTCTCTTGGGTCGGTTCTTAAACAAGGGTGTACTGGGTTGAATCGTGTCTCACCAGAATTCATGGTTCAAGGTTCAGAATCTGTGAATGTGGCCTACTGTGTAAATAGGGCCTTTGCAGGTGTAATGAAAGTTAAGATGAGGTCCTACTGGACTACAGGAGGCCCTAAATTGGATATGACTGGTGTCCTTTGAAAATAAAAAGAAGAGAAGACACACACACACACACACACACACACACACACACATGCGGAGGCCATGTGAAGATGGAGCAGATATCAACGGGAGGCAGCTGCAGGCTGCCAAAGGACACCAAAGATTGTCGGAAGCCCCCAAAACCTAGGAAGAGGCATGGGTTAGATCCTCCCCTACAGCCTCCAGAAGGAACTGACCCTGCCAACCCCTCGATGTTGGACATCTGGCCTTCTGAACTGTGAGAGGATACACTTCTGTGGTTTCAAGCCCCTCGGTGTGTGGTACTTGGCTACAGGAGCCCCAGAAAACTGCCACAAAGGGTTAGGTGAGGAAGACCAGGCTGAAGGACCGTGGGAACAGGCTGGAGGGAGGAAACCCAGGTTGCCGAACTCCTACGATGCTGGTCCTTCAGGTCTCAGGCAGAAAGCTGTTTCCCCAGAGGGTGCTTCCCTGGACATCAACGCCCACCAACTCTTCCTGGCTAAGTCACATAACCCTGCCATACGTTCTCACACCTATCCTTTTGCCTGCAGCATTTCTGTGGTTTGTCTGGGCAGGGGCTTTGGGGATGATGCTGAGAACCATTTTGGAAGGAAAAAGACAATAAATATGATGACAGATAATGTCTAGAGTTTGAAGGAGTAGAGACAATGAGTGACTCCAAGTCTCATAACCTAAGAGTTGAGCTGCTACTCTTTTTTTTCTTTTCTTTTTTTTTTTTTTTTTTTTTTTGAGATGGAGTCTCACTCTGTTGACTAGGCTGGAGTGCAGTGGCGCGATCTCAGCTCACTGCAACTTCTACCTCCCAGGTTCGAGTGATTCTCCTGCCTCAGCCTCCCGAGTAGCTGGGATTACAGGGGTGCACCACGACGCCCAGCTAATTTTTGTATTTTTAGTAGAGATGAGGTTTCACCATGTTGGCCAGGCTGGTCTCAAACTCCTCACCTCAGGTGATCCGCCTGCCTCAGCCTCCCAAAGTGCTGGGATTATAGGCAAAAACCACCTCACCCGGTGTGAGCTGCTACTCTTAACAATGTGGTCCATGTGAAGGAAACTGTGGGGAGAAATGGAGGGAAGGAGAAGAAAGGTGACGAATTTAGTGTCAGTCCTGTAGGATTTAAGACTAGAGCCCACAAGGAGGGAGAGAGTTAAAATCACCAATGGCTTTTGAAACAAAACTAAATACTGTAACAGAGCAAATCACTGCCGATGGGCAATCCAACTTAGAGACTGTGAGTGGTAAATTTATAACCTAAATAAGTATCTCCATACATACAGCATGCTTCCTCTCCCCTTGTCTAGCAAAAGACGCAGTAGACGCTATCGCTTCTCTCCTGCACCTCCTGGAAAGCATGTGTGATAAGAACTAAAGAGATAAATACATGAACTGTCTACTCTGGAGCCCTTCATAAACACAGATAAACAAGCTGTGCTCCTCCACTCTTGAAGAGTCACTAATCTGGGCAGATCTGCCCAACTTCCACATCGAGAATGTTCCTCTTTGGGCATGATCCTCTCTGACAGCCACACCTGTTGTTCTCAAGCCGCACCATCATTAAACACTCTAGGTATTGGTCTCCGAGACTCAGCAATGGGACAGACAGGCTTAAATGATTCCCCACCAATGCCAAACACTTGTTTTTTCTTCCCCAGTGATGTTGGGTCATCTGTTGGACAAACATGGCTTGTTATCCTTAGAATGACATCATTTTACTGGAAAGTGCAGGCCAGGCACGGTGGCTCACGCCTGTAATCCCAGCACTTTGGGAGGCCAAGGCGGGTGGATCACCTGAGGCCAGGAGTTTGAGACCAGCTGGACAACATGGTGAAACCCAGTCTCTACTAAAGATATCAAAAATTAGCTAGGCATGGTGGCGTGTGCCTGTAATCCCTGCTACTCGGGAGGCTGAGGCAGGAGAATTGCTTGAACCCGGGAGGTGGAGGTTGCAGTGAGCTGAGATCTCACCATTGCACTCCAGCCTGGGCGACAGGGCGAGACTCCGTCTCAAAAAAAAAGAATTGGAAAGTGCTGTGGCCTGAGGGCAGGGGGGCTATGGAGAGGTTCAGGCAGAGCAGGAAGCAGATGTGGAGACAAGCTGTGCCCGCCACGTTCCAGGCAGCAGGGCCATGAGGTATTCACAGTACATCACCAAAAATGTTGCCACTGAACTATGAAAAATGTGGCCAAAGTCTTTACTCAAATTAAAGGCAAGAACCTATATGAAACAAAAGAATAGATCAGAGATACAAGAGCTCAGGAGAGATAAGAGGAAATGGTTTGTGATCTGGAATAATGCAGAGAAGTGGAAGGAAAAAACAATAAAAATAAAAATAAAACCCCTGAAGAAATGAAGATGTTCTAGAAAGAATCACAGGAGAGGACACTCTGCTGAAAGCCGGGTAAAGAACAGAAGAGAAGTGAGAAAAGCGATCCAAAGCAAATGGAGGCAGAGCCCTGTTAAATCTTTTAACTGTGTTCAGCCCACAGTTGATCAAATTCTGCTGATTTCAGGACCTCACTTTTCAGAAAGTACTCACTGGCATTCCAGTAAACTTGGGTTCCACAAAACACATTTTGGGAAATGGTGTTCTAGATCAGCAGTTCTAACTGGGCATGACCAGGGGACAACTGATGATGTTGAAAGACATATTTGGGGCCAGGTGCGGTGGCTCACGCCTGTAATCCCAGCACTTTGAGAGGCCAAGGCAGGCAGATCACTTGAGGTCAGGAGTTTGAGACCAGCTCGGGCAACATGGTGAAACCCTGTCTCTACTAAAAACACAAAAATTAGCCAGGTCTGGTGGCAGGTGCCTGTAATCCCAGCTACTTGGGAAGCTGAGGCAGGAGAATTGCTTGAACTCAGAAGCTGGAGGTTGCAGTGAGCTGAGAACACACCACTGCACTCCAGCCTGGGTAACAGAGCAAGACTCCATCTCAAAAAAAAGAAAAGAAAAGAAATACATATGTGGTTGTCATGACTGAGTGGGTCTAGTGTGTAGGGATCAGGGCACCCTACTACTGGCATCTAGTGGGTAGGGATCAGGGACACTGCTAACGTCCTACAATGTTCAGGACGGGCCTTCACAACACAGAATTATCTGGTCCCGTATGTCAACAATGCCATTGCAGAGACCCCTGCCCCAGAGGATCATGGGGTATTTACACTTATGCTGCAATAAATTCTGCCGAAATAACTTTGTACAAAAGAGGCCCCATGGTTCGAGTATTGCTTAACCACGCCTATGGCCTTTGGGGTTCCCTGTTGGTAGAGCTGGCTGTAATGGGAATGATGGGAAGAAGGGAGTGGACTTGGAAGGGCTTTGGAAACAAGTGGCAAGTTCCAATTCCTGCAAAAGAAGAGCTGCAAAGAAGCATGGAAAGTTTGAGGTGTCATCGGAGAGAGGACAGAGTGGAGCAGGCGGGAAACCTCGCTGTGTGGGCTGACCTTCATACCGTTCATTCGAGATTTTCATTTCAGCCACTCTCATTCATGGTGTGTGGACCCCAAAATAGAGGGGGAAAATGGAGCAGAAATATTACCCAAGACTCCAGGCTGATCTCTGCTTCTCCCCCACAGGAGTGGGGAGGGCCCTGCCAGCAGGTCCACCTACCCAAAGAGCACAAGGCCCCAGCCTGCTGGCCTACTGCACCTGAGGGGCAGTTGGTACGTATCCAGGGCTCTGCAGAGGGCGGGTCTTGGCAGAGTGGCAGCTCTTCCTCTTCCTCCTTTGACAGCCCATTCAAGGGCATTAAAAAGAAGCTTCCAGTGAACTTCTATTTGACTCCATTACCTCACTGGTAACCTGCGAAATGCCAAATGCTGCCACTTGCCCTGCGGGAAGTGATTTTGTCTCTCACCCATGAATGTCACCACAGAAGCTAACTTCAATCCCCAGTGATGGATTGGCTTCTCTTCCTTCAGCACAACTCAAATGCCAGGCGTCAAACACAAAGAGACTCACCTCTGCCTCTCTCTGAGCTCTGGGCTTTCTTTGGTATTAAAATCACAAGCTGCCACTTCCATAGCCTGAAAGAGACATGGAAAATCATTTATTCAAAAAAAAACGCTTAACTATGATACAGCCACACTATAAAATATTATGCAGCCACTAAAAAAAGGATGTATTAAAGACTATTTAAGGAAATGGAAAAATGTTCACATTATGATGATAGCTAAAAAAAGCAGAATACGATATGATCTCAAGTCTGTAAAAATAAAGAGAAAAACTAAAAGGCAGAAAAAGATTATCTTTTATCTCCAGACAGGAAAACTGTAGATACTTTATTTCTTCATACCTTTCTATATTTTTCAATTTTTCTACATGAGAATGTATTACTTGGCTGATAAGCAATTAAAAGTTTGTTTTCAAAAGAAAGCATAAATCATTTTACTCTCTTCAGACTCAGAGTAATAATGTTCTGATAACTGACATCCCCACAAGAAGAGCCTACAGCTGAAGACACCAGCCACCTGCTCTCCTAATTTATCCCAAAGAACCTCCCAAAACTGGCCCACAGACATCTTCAGGGGTCCTCCTTCTGGTGGAGGGAGTGGGCAGGAAGGGGTACTGGGAATCACAGCACGACTCATTGTCACAAAGCCAGAGATACAGAAAGAGCACGTTAACTGCACGAACCCATTCCAACCACAAAGCAAGAGCCACCCACCCTCCAATGAGATGCATTCTGTTCCTCCAACTTTGACACCTATGGAACTTTCCAGAAGCCAGCTGTCCCCGCAAGATGGTTCTGGACCCAGGAGCATGTCTTAGACCTGGTACCAGAACTCAGTGACATGTCTGGGTGACCTGTTCATAGGGGCACCTGACAGAGGGGTGCCAGCCAGTCACAGAGGCCCAGACAAGTAGGAAAAAAGGCTGCCATGAGTCATCCCTCTCCAACCCCAGACCTTGGGTTGCGAGCCTGGAAAATCACCTGCTGTGTCCTCACGGCCCTCGGCTCTCCCATCACACACCAGAGCATGCTGGGGAGGCTGGCAGGTGGGCAGTGGGCACAGAGGCTGGCCAGAGGGTGGGAGATTATACTGCAGGATTATTTCCCCAGATCCATTCATTCCACACCCACTTATCGAGCACCTGCAGGCTATGAGGCAGGGCGTGTGGCAGGCAAGGGGGCAGGATAATGCATACCTGGGCACCATCTGTCTTTAACACAGCGGTTCTCACCCTGCAGCTGCATCAGCCTCACCTGCAGGGGCTTCCTTAGAACCTGCCTCTAGTTCTGATTCAGCAAGTCTGGAGTGGGACCCCTACATTTTGCATTTTCCACAAATCCCCAGGTGACGCTGCGGTTGTGGCTGCCGGTCAGGGGACCCTACTTGGAGAGCCACTGAGGAAACAGCAGGGAGGAGGCAAGGTTGAAACCCATTAGCTCCTCCACCCTATGGAAACAGACACAGCACGTGGGATGGCGGGACACAGTCACAAATCCAGACGGGCACCAGCCTCGCCTCCTTTTGGGTGTGGAGCTGACCAGGCTTACATAAGCAGCCCAGTGCCTGCAGAGGGCGAATCCCTCCTCCGGGAAGCCTGTGTCTCAGATGGAGGGGCAGGAGGAGGGCATCGTCCCAGCCCCTGGTCCTGAGCTTTTGTTTCTCAGGGACATCTGTGCCCAGAGATGGAGCCATCTTCCAGCCATCTCGTCGGAAGCCAAGTTGCCCCGAGACTCATTGGAATTCAGCTTGCTTATAAACACCTGGAGGTTTTGAGATTAGGCTGAGGTCTGGGGCTCGGGGATTTTGCTTGGGGAGTTTATCAGAGTTAAGTCGGCGTAGGTGAAAGGCGGTGGATGAGCCTGATGGGGGAGGTGGCAGGCATCAGTAAAGTGAGTGCATTATTCACACATCTCCTTCCACCAGAACGAAAGCTCGCCTTCCACTCAAGAATGCTTCTCAACACCCTTCGATTTTTTTTATCCGTTTTTAAAGGAGGCAGAGAGGAAAAGATCATAATTTTTAATTAAGAAATTAAGCCATCCCCTTCCTAAATATTCACTGTGCATTTATCGCCTCCAGGAAGGGGGAGGGGAGAGTCCAACCGTTGCAGGAAAATGGTTTTCATCATCCGCAAAATCCGATGCCCAAAATAGCCCCATCGTTGCCCTGGCAACTAACATTTGCTCCCCCTTCCCCCTCCTCCCCGATGCCTTTGCATATTGCTGCATATTTCTATCATCTCTTTCCAGGCACAGTTCATAAACACGACGGCATAATAAAGAATGTTATCACCAATGACTTACAGCCCAGCTGCGCCCGGCGAGATAGGAAGTGGCAAGCAGATACAATTTCATGCAGCGAGGGCAACGGAGCGATTGGGTGCCCTTCAAATGTGATGCCACTTCTTTAAGTCAGTCCAAATTCAGAAATAAAGTTGGCCTCGCCCTTTTCCTGGCCGCCATCGACAACGCATGCAGGGATAATGCCCCGGAGTCTAATTAGGGCTGGAAAGATGTTGCCCTGAGATGGGGATTATTCCAACAGCCTCCTTCGCGGCCCCGCTCGGCCCTCGCCTCCCCTCCCGCCTCCCCTCCTCTCCCTTGTCAAAGGGCCGAGGCCCCAGGATGTGGCCTTTTTGAATTAATTATCCTCTCTTCGCAAGGATTATTCGGGCTCCCATGGCTAGGGGCAGTGGGGGTGGGGCAGGGGCCGCCGCAGATGAAGATCCGGGAAGATTTTCCACACCCGAACCCCGCTCCTTTAGTTTCAGGGGGTGGCAGCGTTAATTGCGGGGACTCACTCTGCATGGGGTTAATGCAAGGAGAGAGGGCACTCTCTAGACCCTCAGCAGCCACTTCTGTCCAGAGAGGGTGGAAGGTCGGGGACCTTTCTCTCACTGCCCCCCAAGGCTTACACAACTCTATAAGCCTCTCCTCTGGTTCTTGTTCTAGACGGGGCCAGAGCTTTAGTTTTTTTGCTTAAAATAATAAAGATATGGCTGGCCGCAGTGGATGGGCCCATCCAGAAGAAGAGGGAGAAGTTTATTCTGGCTTTGGGGGCTCCTACAATTTCCTTGGGCAAGGATCAGGAGGTTAAAGATCAAGGCCAAACTTATCTGCCCGCCTCCAGGGCCTGTGGAACCAGCCAGGCCTCCCCTGGGCGGTGTGGCCACCACACGCAGGGCCCTCTAGCCCACCGGATCTGGTGGACTGCCAGAGCCAGGGGTCCCGGCACTGTCCCCCGCCCACTGTTCCATGTGGGTCCTTCCAGGCCGCCCCCAAGCCTAGCTAGACAGTGTCCAGGCTGAGCTCAGGCTGGCCAGTAGCAGCCTCCCACTCCTCCCAGGGGCTTCCAGCCAGGGGGACAGGCAGCCAGGTGGGGACATAGTGGAGGAAGGGAAGGTGTCCCAAGGGCATCACTAGGCACTGGAGAAGATCGTAATCAGGGTGGGGTGAACATGGGGGCTGGTGGGCAGGGCAGCAGAAGCTGCAGGTTCAGCTGATCTCTGCCTTGTGGCCCCAGGCGCCATGCAGAGAAGGCCCCACGCGCCATGCACAGAAGGCCCCACACAGCCTTTGCAGGGCAGGAGAGGCCCCGCGGGAACGTGACAGCCCTCCAGGAGGAGGCTTCTCAAAATCCAGTCCACAGTGGAGTCGGCAAGGAGAGCTCTGAGGTGTGATCCCGGGGAACGGAGCAGGTAGCAGAATGTCCGCCATCCCATCCACGAAGGTCCCGTGCTGCCTGGGACCCCAGCACCACCGAGAGTTTCACCCTTTCCTCCATGGACGCCACTGTGGAACCAGCCTAAGGGGCTGTCCCTGGCTACCTCCATGGCAGGAACCAGATATCCCCAGCCAGGCCCTCGTGGTGCCCACAGGTGGGTGGAGACAGAAGGGCCACAGCCTCTCTGGGGGCCAGGCTCACCTTCCACGTGCTTGGCTGCCTGGAGCCATCCCCTCACCTGTGCTGTTCCCACGGGCCAGCTTATTCCCTAGGTGGAGGGCTGGACATTTGGGCAGGTGGTCATATTGGGGGCAGGGGGATTTTGCAGCAGGAGAGAAGATAAGCAAGGTTGGTAAGATGCCATTTCGTGTCCCCTGCGTTCTTGGCTCTGTCCGAGGTTACTCCCAAGGAGGAGTTTATCTAGTACCTGATGCTCTTCTCACACCTGTATTACTAAGATGGGGGAAGCAAGAAATTCTGAAGAAAAACCAACCTCCCCTTCACCCATTCACAACAATTTCCCTTGAGTCAGCCCGGCTCTCCCAGCCTGCTTCCCAGGGCCCTGCTTGAATTTTGTATAGACATAAACATGTATCTATTCATTGATGTAAAATTCATATAACATAAAATGAATGATTTAGAAGTGAACAATTCTGGCCAGGAGCAGTGGCTCACTCCTGTAATCCCAGCATTTTGGAAGGCCAAGCAAGGTGGGAGGATCACTTGAGGTCAGGAGTTCGAGACCAGCCTTGGCCACATAGTGAGAACTCATCTCTAAGAAAAGTAAACAAAATTGGCCGGGTGCAGTGGTGCATGCCTGTAATCCCAGCACTTTGGGAGGCTGAGGCAGGTGGCTCACCTGAGGTCAGGAGTTCGAGACCAGCCTGACCAACATAATGAAACCCAGTCTCTACTAAAAACACAAAAATTAGCCAGGCATGGTGGTGCATGCCTGTAATCCCAGCTACTCAGGAGACTGAGGCAGGAGAATCGCTTGAACCTGGGAGGCGGAGGTTGCAGTGAGCCAAGATCGAGCCACTGCACTCCATCCTGGGCAACAGAACAAGCCTCCATCTCAAAAATAAAATAAAAAAATTAGCTCCATGTTGTCGCTCACGCCTATAGTCCCAGCTACTCAGGAGGCTGAGGTGGGAGGATCACTTGAGCCTGGGAGATCAAGGCTACAGTAAGCCGTGATCGCGTCACTGCACTCCAGCCTGGGTGATAGAGCAAGACCCTGTCTCAAAAAGAAAAAAAAAAAATAGTGAACAATTCAGCAGCATTTTATATGTTCACAATGCTGTATCAATCAAGTTCCAAAACATTTTACTCACCCCAACAGAAAACCCTGTACCTGTCAGTGGTCACTCCCCATTTCCCCTCCCCACAACCTTGGCAACCCCCAATCTGCCTTTTGTCTCTGCGTGTGTCCCTCTGCTGGATATTTCCTATAAATAGGATCTACAACACGTGACTGGTTTCTTTCACTTAGCGTGATGTTTTTGAGGTTCACCCACCTCGTATCATGTGTCAGTACTAGATTCCTTTTCATGGCTGAATAATATTCCATTGTATTTATAGACCACAGTTTATTTATTTATCCATTGACAGACATTTGGGTTGTTGTCAGTTTTGGGCTATTGTCAGTAGTCCTGCTGCGGGCATTCGTGTACAACATTTGTTTAAATAGCTGTTCCCAGCTACGTGTGGTGGCTTATGCCTATAATCCCAGCACTTTGGAAGGCCGACGCGGGTGGATCACCTGAGGTCAGGAGTTTGAGACCAGCCTGACCAACATGGAGAAACCTCGTCTCTACTGAAAATACAAAATTAGCCAGACATGGTGGTGCATGCCTGTAATCCCAGCTACTCAGGAGGCTGAGGCAGGAGAATCGCTTGAACTTGGGAGGCGGAGGTTGAGGTGAGCCAAGATCATGCCATTGCACTCTAGCCTGGGCAACAAGAGCAAAACTCCATCTCAAAAACAAAAACAAAAAAAAACAAACAACATACTTGTTCCCAATTATTTGGGGCATATACCTAGGGACAGAATTCCTGGGTTATATGATAGTTTAATGTTTAACTTTTTCTCTTCTTTTTTTTGAGACAGGGTCTTACTCTGTCTCTCAGGCTGGAGTGCAGTGGCATGATCACGGCTCACTGCAGCCACAAATTCCTGGGCTCAGGCGATCCTCCCACCTCAGCCTCCCGAGTGGCTGGGACTACAGGTGCACACCACCATGCCCAGCTAGTTTTTGTATTTTTTGTATAGATGGAGTTTTACCACATTGCCCAGGCTGCTCTCAAACTCCTGGGCTCAAGTGACCCTCCCACCTCAGCCTCCCAAAGTACCGGAATTACAAGTGTGAGCCACCCCACTATGCCTGGCCTTTCATGTTTAACTTTTTGAAGAACTACAAAACCATTTTTCGAAGAGGCTGCCCCATTTCACATTCCTACAGGCAAGGCACGAGGGTTCTGAACCCCCCACACACTCACCAACACTTGCTGTCATCCGTCTTGACTCCAGCCGTCCTAATGGGCATGAAATGCTATCTCATGTGGTTTTAAATTGAATGTCCCTGAAAACTAATCAATTTGAGCATGTTTTCATTTGCTTGTTGGCCCCTACTTGAATTGGATATTGGTTTCTTTTCTTTTTTCTCCTTGCAAAAAAGAAATCTGGTTCTTCAATAAAGATTTTCACTCATACAGCCAAGAACTGCAAACGGGGCCCTGGAACACATGAGGCCTGGGGACAGGGTCCCTCGGAGAGAGAACTTTCCACCTCTTTCCTCAAACCCTCCTGACCGCAGAGCCGAGGAGAGAAAACTGTAGATGACCAAAAGATTTTGAAAAGTATTTAGCATTAAACTCTGTGCTGTTCCAGGAGAGGACCTCTTAAATCTCCCTTGAAGGGGAACAAGAAGACACATCCCGCTTCTTCCAAGCAAAACGGAGGTTCAAGGGGGGAGGGTTCTTTCCATTTGCTTTGCATGCAGGAGGAGGCTGGTAAATCCTATTTACCTTTCTCCTCTCTAGCACATTTCCAAGAAAAGCAAAGCAAAATCAACTTTGTATTCTATAGACCATGAGAGCCTTTGTAGGACAGAAAGTTCACAATCATTTTTCCCTCTCCTCAAACCTTCCACCCTGGCACCATAAAACATCTCTTTCGGCCATCAGATGATCCGGTCCCATAATCTATGGGAACATTAAAGGGAGGAAAATTGTGCTGAAAAATGACAGCCTGTCTCTGCCCTCTCCACCCCTGGTGTGCCTTCACCGCTCCGTGTTCTCTCATCCCAGGTCAGACACCTGCTCCCTCTTTGTCATTCTCCAACATGATAAATGCTCTTGCACACCAACTACCAGCATCTCTGTGGTCTGTGAGCCAGTGTACATGACTGTCCTTTGTCTTGGAGAAGAGGCCTGAGGGGGACAGTGGATCCCCTCCATGCCATCTTCCGTGAAGGCGCATCAGTCAGCCGAGATTTCACTCCAGCCCGGGTCGGACTGTGGGGCGGGGTGACCCCACAAGGAGAAGGCTGGGGTGCCGAATGGGGGTGAGAGGGCCATGAGTGGAGCGGGTGGGCCATGCAGTTGCCTTGAGACCTTGAGCGGGTCATTCACACAGAAGGACAATTCCAGACAGTCTTATCTCCTGTTTTTGCTAAAACTGAATCCTCTCACTCCAAGGTCCAGGAGGACTGTGTCTCCCCATGGTCCACACCTCCCTGCCACTCTCCACTGATCATAAAGACCCTTTCTGATATGGTTGGGATCTGCCACCCCACCCAAATCTTATGTCGAACTATAGTCCCCAGTGTTGGAGGTGGGACCTGGTGGGAGGTGACTGGATCAGAGGGGCGGAGTTCTCATGAATGGTTTGGCACATTCCCCCTTGGGACTGTACAGTGAGTGAGTTCTCACGAGACCTGTTTGTTTAAAAGTGATGGCGCCTCCCCGCTCTCTCCCTTCCTCCTGCTCCAGCCATGTGAGGACGCCTGCTCCTCCTTTGCCTTCTGCCACTACTGTAAGTTTCCTGAGGCCTCCCCAGCCATGCTTCCTGTACAGCCTGCAGAACTGTGAGTCAATGAAACCTCGTTTCTTTATAAATTATCTGGTCTTAGCAACAGACTAATACGGTTCCCCTAGAAGTCACTTGTGCTGCTGTCTTATGAGGGAATCAAGGGTGGGAGGCAGGAGGAGAATGAGAGAGTGCCCAGGCTGATCTCCTGGGTCCATTAGGGAGGGCCTGCTACACATTCAACACCGTGCTAGGAACCATGGGGAGGAGGGCAAGAGTAAACCATGTGACTCACAGACTCCTGCACGATGCCTACTATGTGCTGGGCAAGGATAGGTGCTTCCCCTGTGTGTTCTGATTTAATTTCAGCAAATGGTAATAAGACGAATGAGAAAGCAAGAGAAAAAGGAAGAGGTGCAGAGTCACCATAGTTGGAATCCTGTAATCACAGAGGCTGGGCTTCCTGGTAATACAAGTGGTGACTCCAGCCATAATACTCTGAGACCATCTCATTGCACACTGGCCATGCACGGGGCACAGCTCTAAGCACTTCATCTCTACTGTCTCATTTAAAGCCCACAGACCTCCCAGAGACAGAGACCAACTGTGATCCCTACCGTGTGGATGGTGACACGGAGCACAGATCGTTTCAATCATTCACCCAAAGTCACACAGATTATATGGTTAAGCTGGGATTTGATCCCAGGACTCTCTGACTCTACAGCCTGAGTTGTCAATCTTCCTTTCTTACCTTGAGATAAGGAAGTATGGAGGAAAGAGTGAAAGGACCAGGTCACTGCCCAAGCGCCGCACTGCACAGTGACCTCAGACCCATGTGGCATCCACAGGTGTTGCCAATCCTGGGGTCCCATTCCCGGAGCTGGGGTGGGGAGGACCCTACCTGGCCCATGGACTAGCGGCTCTGGCTGGTGGCACGTGTCATGTGCTATCTCTGCATGGCAGCAGCCGGTTTTAAGACATGTTCTGACAAATCATCTCTCCCAGGTGAGAACAGCAGCTCACCCTCAGCCTGGTATTAGCAAATGGATTTTTTTGTCCGAGATGGAGTTTCACTCTTGTTGCCGAGGCTGGAGTGCAATGGCATGATCCCAGCTCACTGCAATATCCACCTCCCGGGTTCAAGTGATTCTCCTGCCTCAGCCTCCCGAGTAGCCAGGATTACAGGCACCTGATACCACGCCCGGCTAATTTTTTGTATTTTTAGTAGAGATGGGGTTTCGCCATGTTGGCCAGGCTGGTCTCGAACTCCTGACCTCAGGTGATCCACCTGCCTCGAGGCCTCCCACAGTGCTGGATTACAGGCGTGAACCACTGTGCTCGGCCAGCAAATGGATTTTGAACCTGTTCTGTGAAGTCTTACAGAAAAGGAGAGCTGGGAAGGAGATGGATGTGAGGCCCCTGGAGAAAGACAGACCTGGGCCCAAGCCTGGGACCTGCAGGTTCCGTCATCGCTGCGAGACTCGGTCATTCATCAGCAGGATGGGGCTCCCCAGAGTAGCTCCCTGGCAGGATTGGTGAGGATGAAAATAGAGATGCCTGTCCCAGCCAGCACTCCAGAGGCGTTGGCAATCACTGCTAAAGGTGACACACTATTTTTGGTTTTTAGGGGTAAAGCAAGACCTTAGCAAGGTCCCAGGCTGCAGGGCTGAATGCTGTGGTGGCTACAGGGGTGAGCGAGATGCCTGGCTCCGGGATCCTAAAACCAGACAGTGTCTGTAGAGGGAAAACATCCTCCATGTCACTGGAAGGGCCACCATCCAGGGTGCACGTCACCAGGGCTACAGGGAAGGGACATGGTGCTCTAGGCTCAGAGAAGGGAGGGATCTCCCTGGCTCGGGCGGGGTAGGAAGATCCTTATGAAGAAATGACATTTGCAGAAGGCCTCTAAGAAAGTGGAGGGTTTTCACAAACCAAAAGCAAGCAGAAAGCACGGCTGGAGTGAACCTTGCTATGGGGGCTCACAGGGTTGCACCTTCTCACCAGAGCATAGGGCAGGGGTGGGGAAGGAATGAGAGCCACAGACGGGAATGAAGTGGAAGGTAAGGTCTCAAAGGCAAGGCTGAGGGACCTGCCCTTCACTCCAACTTGCCCCAGGCCTAGCAAGGTGAGCAGGGATGGTTTCCTGGAGGGAAACATCAGCTCCGATCAGAGAGGAAATCCCAGGCCACCCCCTGCCTTTGTGGCAGGAAGCACTCAAGGCCTCTGGCTAGGATCTGGAGCCCCTGAGGCTGAGGTCAGGTGGCAGGGCCAGTGTCACCCTCCTCTGCCCCAGGGTGAGTGTGGCACTGAACCCCAGCACCATTTGTGCTTTCTGTCCCCCTGGATCTTGGGCCCGGCTGCCCCCCAATGCAGGGATGCCCACCACGGCCGTCCTCCTGGATGCAATCCTTCCCAGCCCTCAGGCATCTGCCAGCCTCCTCCTTCTCTGGCCTTCCCACATCTCAGCCTGGTTCCTGGACACAGATGCCGTGGTGTGCTGGAGCCGGCTCCTACTAGCTGGCAGGAGTCAATCTGCACATCTCTCCCCAAAACCATGATCAGCGAAATCCTCTTAGTAAGCTTGAAGTTGGCCATGCTGGGAGTATTTACACCATGGGAAGTGGCAAATGCTACCAGTTAGGTAGGGCTACTCTCTCTCAGAGAGCCAGTTGTTAGACTTACTAGCACACCTCTACACAGACAATGCTAGCCAAGCTGGTCTGGATTAGAACTCATTTAAAAGCTGCTCTCTCTGCATGCTCAGGGTGAGCAGAGCTGCTGAAATGGCAGAGTGAGGGACAGCTGATGAGTAGGAGAGACCCTCCAGCTGGGTCACTGAGGGTCTTCCAGGAGAAATGACACTTTCTATTCAGCATACTTGTCAGTGGTTTCAGTGAGGATGCCACTCGCCTGGAGGTCTCTGTATTGACTTCACAGGTTCTAATACCTCTCTCTTCAATAATATTCTAAATTCCTAGAAAGCAGGGGGCGCCAGCTGTGCCACTAACCTTGCTGCTTTATTTCTCTGGACCTGAACTCCCTCATGCGCAAAAAGGAAGATGGTGCTAGAAAGGAGCTTCTCAAGCCCTAATGCATCTACGAAACACCTGGGAGCTCGTTACACATGCAGATGCTGGACCTAACCTCACACTCGCAAAATCCAGCTCTCCAGGCGTGAGGCTGGGAACCCATATCGGTTCCAACTCAGGTGGTCTCAAAACCACATGGAGAAACACTGAGCCAGGCCAATGTGTTCCAACCCTCAGATTTCAGAAGGAGACAATGTCACCAGCAGCTGATTGGGCGTCTATGTGAGTGTCTGTCCTCAGATCTCAGAAGGAGATGATGTCACCAGCAGCTGGTTGGGTGTCCATGTCCTCAGATTTCAGAAGGAGACAATATCATCGGCAGGTGTTTAGGTGTCCATGTGAGTGTCTGTCCTCAGACCTCAGAAGGAGACGATGTCACCGGCAGGTGGTTGGGTGTCCATGTCCTCAGATCTCAGAAGGGGACGATGTCACCGGCAGCAGGTTTGGTGTCCATGTCCTCAGATCTCAGAAGGAGACGATGTCACTGGCAGGTGGTTTGGTGTCCATGTCCTCAGATCTCAGAAGGGAACGATGTCACCAGCAGCAGGTTGGGTGTCCATGTCCTCAGATCTCAGAAGGAGACGATGTCACCGGCAGGTGGTTGGGTATCCATGTCCTCAGATCTCAGAAGGGGACGATGTCACCGGCAGGTGGTTGGGTGTTCATGTCCTCAGATCTCAGAAGGAGACGATGTCACCGGCAGGTGGTTTGGTGTCCATATCCTCAGATCTCAGAAGGAGACGATGTCACCGGCAGGTGGCTGGGTATCAATGTCCTCAGATCTCAGAAGGGGACGATGTCACCGGCAGGTGGTTGGGTGTTCATGTCCTCAGATCTCAGAAGGAGACGATGTCACCGGCAGGTGGTTTGGTGTCCATGTCCTCAGATCTCAGAAGGAGACGATGTCACCGGCAGGTGGTTGGGTGTCCATGTCCTCAGATCTCAGAAGAAGATGATGTCACCGGCAGGTGGTTGGGTATCCATGTCCTCAGATCTCAGAAGGGGACGATGTCACTGGCAGGTGGTTTGGTGTTCATGTCCTCAGATCTCAGAAGGAGACAATGTCACCAGCAGGTGGTTTGGTGTCCATGTCCTCAGATCTCAGAAGGAGACAATGTCACCGGCAGGTGGTTGGATATCCACGTCCTCAGATCTCAGAAGGGGACGATATCACCGGCAGGTGGTTGGGTGTTCATGTCCTCAGATCTCAGAAGGAGACGATGTCACCGGCAGGTGGTTTGGTGTCCATGTCCTCAGATCTCAGAAGGAGACGATGTCACCGGCAGGTGGTTGGGTGTCCATGTCCTCAGATCTCAGAAGAAGATGATGTCACCGGCAGGTGGTTGGGTATCCATGTCCTCAGATCTCAGAAGGGGACGATGTCACTGGCAGGTGGTTTGGTGTTCATGTCCTCAGATCTCAGAAGGAGACAATGTCACCGGCAGGTGGTTTGGTGTCCATGTCCTCAGATCTCAGAAGGAGACAATGTCACCGGCAGGTGGTTGGATATCCACGTCCTCAGATCTCAGAAGGGGACGATATCACCGGCAGGTGGTTGGGTGTTCATGTCCTCAGATCTCAGAAGGAGACGATGTCACCGGCAGGTGGTTGGGTGTCCATGTCCTCAGATCTCAGAAGGAGACGATGTCACCGGCAGGTGGTTGGGTATCCATGTCCTCAGATCTCAGAAGGGGACGATGTCACTGGCAGGTGGTTTGGTGTTCATGTCCTCAGATCTCAGAAGGAGACAATGTCACCGGCAGGTGGTTTGGTGTCCATGTCCTCAGATCTCAGAAGGAGACAATGTCACCGGCAGGTGGTTGGATATCCACGTCCTCAGATCTCAGAAGGGGACGATATCACCGGCAGGTGGTTGGGTGTTCATGTCCTCAGATCTCAGAAGGAGACGATGTCACCGGCAGGTGGTTGGGTATCCATGTCCTCAGATCTCAGAAGGGGACGATGTCACCGGCAGCTGGTTGGGTGTTCATGTCAGTGCTTGTTTTCACTCTCAATAGCCTAAAAGTGTAACAGCCAGATGGGGATTTGAACGTCTTTGAAATTCAAAAGGAGCTGTGGCATCCAAGACCTCCTCCAGCCTGGTGTTCGATGACGCCATGACTAATTGTCGCCGGGTCCTTAGGATGCCACTAGCCATGTGAAGGGGCTTCATACGCACTTGCTGGCTCCCGAGCCGTATGTAGAACACCTGGAAAGAACAAATAATTCCCACACAAACAGCAAAAGGAAAGACAATTTTCATCAGCCGAGACACCATGAATCGTTATATATTTTATGAATCTCACTTACATTTCTTGTCCGACTTGTGCATAAAACTTCTCCAGATTTATACAAGCCCACTGCGTAAGTCATTCCCTTCCCAAACGGGCTTTATATCTTGATGACCTTTTAGAAACCAATGACTGCTTTTCTGTTGTTATCCATAATTGGAAAAGCACTGGAGATAAGAAAATTTATGGCAATGAATGATCTACCTGAGCAAAGCCATAAAGAACGCCGGGTTTCTAAAAGAGGGGCGGAGGGGGAAGGCGCTCACCCTGTTTGTCAAATGTTATCTCCATCAGCCAGGGCCTTCTGCAGCCACCGTGCTCTTGGCCGACTCCTGAAAGGTGGGGACGTGGCTGCTTCAGGGCTGTCCCGGGCAGTGTGGCTCCAACACGGGTCTAGGAGCCAACTTATTTTTTGTAAATGAAGGTCAAGAGAGGCACAGTCCTCCCCCACCCCAGTTTTCTCCCAGGCCCTCATTGATATAGGCTGTGTTTTAACGGAGGAAAGGTGGGCAAAGACAGAGGGGTTGGATTCAGGGGGATCACAGGGCATTTCCTTGACCCCCTCAGTTCCTATTGGTTTGCTGAGTGCCTACTATGGGCTGTTCAACAGGCTAGAGACATTGTCATGAACAGAATGCACAAAAATCCCAGGCTTTATGCAGTCCATACCCTATTAGACCTGAGATATATTCTTCTGGTTCCAGCCACAGAAAGGAGCGGGAAATGACTCTGAATGCCCAGGATAGGGGTCAACCAGCTTTTCCCCCTCTGGCCTCATGGAAACCAACCACTCCCCTGGCAGGGACGCTTAGCTAAAAGAATGCATCCCACCAGGAGAGCCCAGGAAAGCATGGATTGATTTATCCAGCATTTACTGAGCACCTTTGATGTACCTGCGAGCTTTAATGCTCAAACACACTGGTCAGGGCCTGGAAGGAGCACAGAGTCGGTGGTTCACACAACTTGGGGCACATGAGCACATTTTTGAGACAGAAAAAGGAACAGCATGGACCCTTCCTCACAGAGGATGGGGCAGAGAAGCAGGTAGCAGGCGTTGCTCCAGGAACCACACACCGCAGGGGTGGAAAATAAGTTAATTGCAGCAGGAGGGGCTCCAGTGTACAGCCCTCCCGGCTGTGCAATCAGGAGCAATCACTCCATTTCTCTGTATGAGAAATCCCAATTTCTGTATGAGGAGAGGGTAGACAGAGGAATAAAAGACAGGCAGTGAAGGGAAGAGGCACCTGAGACCAAGACCCAGCGAGCAGATGGAGTGAGGAAGGAGACCCATCCTGGCTCCCCCGTGGCCACATGTGCCAGAGAAGACATCAGCCTGGGGAGGTGACTCATGGTGACTCGATTTGCTCCCCACATTTGGGGAATCACAGGATTCCCTTGAACCAACGTTACCATGAAAGGGCAGTCGAAAGCAAAGTAAACTTATGAATGACTTCTTTGTATTACTGAGCTGCCCATGAACACATCCAGAGGGCAGAGTTTAATCCCCCAGAATGACAAGGATGTGACAGCATCAGTGCAAAGGAACTATCACTGGGCAATGGGGTGGCTGAGAGGAGTCTGTCCCCACCTAGAGATGCGTGCTAGGACCAGGCTCATACCTGCATCCCTGAAACACTCCCATTCTCCGCCTCTGAATCAGGACCACATGAGCCCACTGCCTAATACCACCTACCTGAGAAAGGTGTGCTGAGCCCTCCAGGGACACCACCTGGCCACACCCAGAGCCCAGCTCACCTCCACGCAGTATGCAATTATTGAGCACCAACTGCCTGGCCCTGGAGGGATCCATGGGAGACAGCGTGGCTTAAGGTTGAGAGTCAGGGGCTCAGGTCCAGCAGGCTGGGTTTCGGCTCCAGTTCTCACACTTACCCTGACTTTGAGCAAATCATTTAGCCCCTTGGAGTCTCAGATTCTTTGTCTGTAAATGGGATAATTGAGAGAACCCGCTCCAAAAGGAGGTGTGAGAATTCGACAGTGTGTGTTCCATGCTTAAGATGGGCTGGTTCACGCGGTTGGGCAATGATTATTGTGAGGTCTTCAGCTCCTCCTTCTCCTACTATTACTGCTACTACTACTGCTGCTGCTGCTACTTTTAGGGACCTAGGCCTTCAGGTTCTAAGGATGGAGACAGCATCACCTGGAGGTGCAGGTAAAGGAACCACGTTCCTAACCTGACAAGCAGGACCCTGATGCCAACAGTCCTGACGCCAACAACAAGGCTGTTCTCTGGCCTGTGCTTGGCCATGGTGGGCCGTCCTGAGGGACGTGAGGGCACGACTGGCTCTGGGGCAGGTCAACGTGCTTACAGCCTCCTTAAAGGACTAAATGTCGCAGGGGAAAGTGTCCAGGGACTGTGCTTTGAAGGCACTCCCAGGCAAGAACTCCCTCTGAAGTCGAGTGTCAGGGCTAAGACCCCGGAGCCAGACAGCCTGGATCTCAATCCTGTCTGACACTGGAGGCATGAGCCCCTCTGGGTCCTCAGCATGGTGGTGAGTGTGAAGGATGACTCTGATGCTTCTGGGATGAGCTAGGGCCTCCCTTGTCAGATGGGGAGCTTGCTCGGGGGGCGCTGGGGGACGCTGCCCCTTGAAGCCTCTGGCAAAGGGGACAAAGGGGCTGTGGTTCTGCTTCTGCCCGGGGAGAAGCAGAACCCCCTCACCTTCCACCTGGGGAGGGAGGGATTGTCCAGGTGGAAAAGCCATTTCAGAAGCTTCACCTGGGGTGCCGGAGGAGCCCCAGAGGACCATGGGCCCCCCACAAATTTTGAGTGTGTGCACGTTCTCAGCAAGGAGCTGCAGCTCGTCTAAGGGTCTTGACCCCCACCCCCACCCCCACCCCCTGCAAACCAAGCCTGTTACTCTCCTTCTACCACTTTCTTAGTGAGACTTGAGGTTTCTCCTGGATTGGGAAAGAAACTTGAGTGACTGAAATTGCCCCGTGATTCCCCGCCAGCTGGCAGAACCCAAACACATGAAAGGCACTAAATCCTAGGCAGGAAAATGGAATGATTTCACAGTGGAAGGGTGTCCCTGTCCCCGCCCAGGAAAGGGCTGCCATTTCTGGCCCAAGACTGCTCCCCTTGGAAAGGCCTGCCTGGAAGGCCAGCCCTTGGCGGCATCTGGGGACACGATTGCAGAAGCGTGGCCCATTCCCTAACGCAAGCGTGGCTCCCTGTGCCTAGGCTACGTGTGTAAAAAATGTGGCTCGTGGTGAGCACCTGCTTTCCTTCTGGGAGTCTGGAATTTTGGGGTGTGCCAAGCAGAAGGTGCCTAAGTGTCCAGACCCCTGTAAGAACTGTGGGTGCTGATGCAGGCCGGGCGCGGCGGCTCGCGCCTGTAATCCCAGCACTTTGGGAGGCTGAGGCAGACGGATCACCTTAGGTCAGGAGTTCAAGACAAGCCTGGCCAACATGGTGAAACCCCGTCTCTACAAAAATACAAAAATTAGCCAGGCATGATGGTAGGTGCCTGTAATCCCAGCTACTTGGGAGGCTGAGGCAGGAGAATCACTTGAACCTGGGAGGCGGAGGTTGCAGTGAGCCAAAATTGCGCCACTGCACTCCAGCCTGGGTAATAGAGCAAGACTCTGCCTCAAAAAAAGAGAAAGAGAAAGAGAAGGGAAGGAAAGGGAAAAAGGAAGGTAAGGAGGAAAGGAAGGGAAGGGAAGGAAGGGAAGGAAGGGAAGGAAGGGAAGGAAGGGAAGGAAGGAAAGGAAGAAAGAAAGAAGCCCCTACCCCTGGCAATTGCTAGCACAGCACCTATTTCAACCCTGCGGGGGCACTTCTTGCCCTCTTTTTTTTTTTTTACTGTTTCTTTTCCACCTGTGCTGACCAGAACACACGCTCCCTGCAAATGGGAACCTGGTCTTGTTGACAGTGCTCAGCACATAGCAGCTGTTTAAAGGATTACGGAAGAAGGGATGGAAGTAAGGAAGGTCACGGTTAGCTGAAGGACATTGGGGAGCTGAGTCAGAGATGGAGATCCGCGTGCAGGAGTTTGGAGACATCCAGCTGCAATGCAGCTGCAACAAAGCCTCAGCCATCCTAACAGGCAGCTCTGGAGCTGGGGAGGAGGTGAGGAAGGTTGCTCCAGTTGACTCTTGGCATCCCAGCCTTTATCTCCTGCACAGGCCTTTATCCCCTGCACCGGCCAGCGTGGGCTGCAAGCTGCCTGTGGAGGGCGGCATGAATTTGGGAAGCCCACTGTCTCTGGCTGAAGGCAAGTCCAGGAGAAGGACTCAGCTGGAGCTGAGCAGGAGGAATGAGCTTCCCAGGACTGGAGCGGGTGACGGTGGACATCCCCCAATCAGGGCGAGGACAGCCTTTTCCCAAGTATTTCCTGCTACGATGTTTTCTACCTGGGGCGTGCAAAGCAGCAAGGGAAGGTGGGAAGGGAGAAGAGAGCTGGCTGAGAGGTGGGCAGGGGCGCAGCAGCTGCAGAGGCCCTTCCTGCACAGCCCACCTCGCCCCCAGGGACACGGATCTGGACCAAAGCCCCCTCCGAGGATGCTGGGAGGCTTCCAGAGCCCCGTCCTCATTTCATGAGCTGGCTGCTCTCCTCACACCCTCAGGAGCCATTTTCCCATCTAAGTGCCCATAAACATCTTGCTCAATCTGCTACCTCAGCAGACGCCGGCTCTTCTAGGAGACGCTTCATCTGCCTTCCCCAGAGGGGAGCATTTCCAACCATCCCCCTGTGGGGTCTCAGCCTGGGTTTAGGGCTGCCTGGCAGGGGCACAGGGGCTCCAGGGGAAAGGGGTGGAGGGCAAGTGAGATGACAGCTCCCATAGCACTTGATTTTCTCGTGGGGCACACATGTGCATGAGAGTGTGTGTGTGTGTGTGTGTCCGTGGAATGCTGCCAAAGCAATTTGGTTTCCAAGGAAACGGTGTGAAGGTGCGCAGCGGCTGCCCGCACTCGGCAAGTGAGAAATGTGTGTCAACCATAACCCAGGCTCCCAGCTGGAGCCCAGCCAATTACTGCCCACTTGGAGGAGCCAAAAAGGAGAGGCTGGCCCAGGACAGAGTGGAGGGGGCTCGGGGGCTACAGGAGACCCACACCATGCCTGGGAGAGGGCCTGGCTGGCCAGTCAGGCTAAGGGAGGGGCTGGGTGGCAGGGTGAGTATTAGTCGTAAGTCACCAACTCTCCCAGTGAAAACCACATCAAGCCCTGGCGCCCACCCACCCCTCCCTCTCGGCTGCAGGGGGGAGCCAGGCAGGCAGGCAGCAGGCCATCCCGGCCCCACTCCACCGCTAATTATTTTCCATGATGAACATGTTATTATGTCTTACACTCGAAATAATCAATTTGGAATCACCACTTTGATGAGTTAATGGGCACTTGGTGGGTGTCATTTGAGAATCTCTCTGCAAAGCACAGTTCTATTTTTAACAGCGGCTGCACTGGGTACGCAGAGGACATGCTAAGTGTGCATGCGCCCAGCTCCCGGGCACCCAGCTCCCGGGCGCCCAGCTCCCGGGCGTGCTCGCTCTCGCTCTCTTTTTCTCTTCCCCTGCAGAGGATCTTGGGCACAAGGAGGGCTGAACATTCAGACTTGGGCAAGACTGGTGTGCTCAGACAAAACAGCCATCCCAGGCCTGGTTGAGGGGCCACGAAAGTGACACCTCTCCTGCCCTCTGGGCCATGGCCTGTGGACTGGAGGTCGCCCAGGGATCAGCTCCACCCCACGGGCCCAAATCGCGGGTCTCCACCTGGCTGAGCCCTTGATGTGCCTTGGCCACGGAATCCTCCAGACATCCCTAGGTGGTAGATTTGATTGTTAGTTTCTTTTCACAGAGGAGAAAACAGAGGCCCTAGGATTTGAAACCAGAGAGTCTGACCCTGGCTCCCAGTGGCAGTCTGCATGATGTTTTCCAGTAGATGACCTAATGTTGATGAAATAAGTAGAAGAATAAAGAATTTCTTTTCTTTTTTTTTTTTTTTTTTTTGAGAGGGAGTCTTGCTCTGTCACCCAGGCTGGAGTGCAATGGCTCAATCTTGGCTTACTGCAACCTCCACCTCCCGGGTTCCAGCAATTCTCCTACCTCAGCCTCCTGAGTAGCTGGGACTACAGGCGTGTGCCACCATGCCCAGCTAATTTTTGTATTTTTAGTAGAGATGGGGTTTCGCCATGTTGGCCAGGCTGGTCTCAAACTCCTGAACTCAGGTGATCTGCCTGCCTCAGCCTCCCAAAGTGAAGAATTTCTAACAATAGATTTTTCTTAATTGCAAAGACAGACAATAAAACAATTAGATGTCAAGCAATACAAAGGACCATGGTCAGAGTATGCTAGAAACTCACGTCCACAGTCAGGTCAGCGATGCTATTTAAAGCTAAGCATTTGATTTAGAAATATAAGGGTAGACACTCAACAGCCGTGGTTTGCCATCACGGGCTCCCCTGTGCTGGAACTTGTTCCCATGTGCAAGAATTGCTTTGATTAGAAGCAACATTCTGCCATCCTGGCTAACACGGTAAAACCCCGTCTCTACTAAAAATACAAAAAAAAATTGGCTGGGCGTGGTGGCAGGTGCCTGTAGTCCCAGCTACTTGGGAGGCTGAGGCAGGAGAATGGCGTGAACCCAGGAGGCAGAGCTTGCAGTGAACCGAGATTGTGCCACTGCACTCCAGCCTGGGCAACAGAGTGAGACTCCGCCACAGAAAAAAAAAAAAAGCAACACTCTGGGTGTAGAAGGATGGGATGGAGCTAGAAACAACATTGGTAAGGGGCAGAACCGTGGAGGGGGGCTCTTTATTGAAGAGGATCCAGGAAACTGAGAGAAAGGAAGCCTGTCTCCCACCAGGGCACCCTAGCTAAGCTCCCCAGAGACAAGGGCTGGCTTCCGTCTTTGTGTTTGCCCTCGGCCCAACCCACATGGTCACTGAGTCGAGGCCATCTTCCTGCTGGTGTTGAGTGTAAGAGGCACCAACAGTCCCTAGGCCAACACACCACCTCCCCTGCACACTGCACACTCCCCAGTGTGGGCACCACCCCTGCACACTACACACTCACACCCAGTGTGGGCCTCTACCTGCACACTACACACTCACACCCAGTGTGGGCCTCTACCTGCACACTGCACACTCACACCCAGTGTGGGCCTCTACCTGCACACTGCACAATCCTCTTGTGAGCATCTACCTCAAAGGATGTGGCCACCTGCCCTTGACCTTCCCAACCTTCATAAGACAATACCTGTTGATCTCCTCTCTAGCATCCATGCCCTTTATGCCCTTTTCCCAACAGCCTCTGTTTCTCTCTCTCTTTTTTTTTTTTTTTTTTTTTGAGACAGGGTCTCGCTCTGTTGCCCAGGCTGAAGTGCAGTGGCACAATACGGCTCACTGCAGCCTTGACCTCCTGGGTTCAAGCCAACCTCCCACCTCAGCTTTCCAACTAGCTGGGACCACAGGCATGTGCCACCATGCTTTGCTTCTTAACTTTTTGTACAGACAAGGGGCAGAGGTCTCACTATGTTGCCCAGGCTGGTCTTGAACTCCTGAGCTAAAGCAATCTGACTGCCTTGGCCTCCCAAAGTGCTGGGATTACAGGTATGAGCCACCGAGCCCAGCTCAGCCTCCATTTCTAAATTGGGGATCTGTGTTGGTCTCAGAAGGCTGACTCCATCCCTGGGTCCAGGGATACAGCGCAAGACCCACGCTAAGCCAGTCAGTGAATTTCCCATCCCTTTGCCACAGGGAATGGGTTCAAAGGTAGGCACATCAACCAACCCAGACCAATTAGTGCGAAGCTAGGAACCTTTGCCTGAAACGCTGGAAAAGAGAAGCTCTCTGTTACTAGACATGACCCAAAACAGCAGGGAGCCCCAAGGAGCTGCCAGCAGCCACCTGAGACTTGCCATAGGCAGATTTTAGAGATGAGCACACACACGCACGCACACACACACAGACACACACACACACTAGCTGCCTTGGTTCTCATGCATCAGAAGGCCCTGGTTCCAGAACACACAGGCCCTTTTGAGGAAAGTGCCCAGAAGGTAGCTCCATTCCATCCTGGTCTTCAAAAGGTAGGCAGCAACAAAATCTGCTTTTTCCACCTGAGAACAGCAGAAAACATCCAAACAGGCCAAAGCACAGAGGCTGCCTATTGTAACCAACTTCTTAAGAAGCCAGAAGCTCCACTCCCAGCATGGAGATGCCAAGGGCTGCCCCTCTCTAAAGCAAATCCCAGCTCCTCGATGGTTCCAAGGGTAGAGAACTGAGTTCTCTTTATTCACTGGTAGGTTTCTGTGTTCTCTGGCCACATCCCATCCAAGAGGAAGGAGGAGCATGGAAATGCTTTCCCAGTGCCTCTCTCCAGGACTTCTAAGCCGTTCATCTGGCAGAGCTCACAAAAGTCATGCTCACAGGCTTGCTGGGCACTGAGGAGCTCACAGGGTTTGCAGAACCCATCAAAGCTAAAGAACAGCAGAACCTCCAGGGCACCTTTTCAAAAACTGAGGTGATCTTCAGGGGGAAGAAAAAGGACCCTGGGACCCAGAGAAAATCAGGTTTGCACTCGTCGATGTTACAAATTCTAGTGGTAGCAAAGGTGGGAGACCTTGAGTGCAATGGCGCAATCTTGGCTCCCTGCAACCTCCGCCTCCCAGGTTTAAGCGATTCTCCTGCCTCAGTCTCCCAAGTATTTGGGATTACAGGCACGCGCCACCACGCATGGCTAATTTTTGTATTTTTAGTAGAGACGGGGTTTCACCATGTTGGCCAGGCTGGTCTCGAACTCCCGACCTCAGGTAATCTGCCTTCCTTGGCCTCCCAAAGTGCTGGGATTACAGGCATGAGCCACCACACCCTGCCTTAGAATTTTTTAAAAATCTGATACTATTAAGTATTGGCTGAGATACAGAATTCTCATTCATTGCTGCTGGGAATGCAAGATGGTACAGCCATTTCTTACAAAGTTAAGCATACATGTACTACACAACCCAAGAGTCCATACTGGGACCATATGTTCCCATAAAACCCGGTATGTCAACATTCACAGCAGCCTTATTCATCTTTAAAAACCAGAAGCAGGTCAGGCACAGTGGCTCACACCTGTAATCCTAGCACTTTGGGAGGCCAAGGCAAAAGAATCACTTGATCCCAGGAATTCAAGCCCAGCCTGGGCAACAGAGTGAGACCCCAGCTCTACCAAAAATTTTAAAATTAGCCAAGCACGGTGGCACATGCCGGTAGTCCCAGCTACTTGGGAGGCTGAGGCAGGAGGATCACTTGAGCCCAGGAGTTTGAGGCTGCAGTGAGCTATGATCACACCACCGCAATGCAGCCTGGGCAACAGAGCAAGATCCTGTCTCAAAAAAACAAAACAAAATGAAACAGAAACATTCTAAACATCATTCACTTGGTAAACAGATAAACTGTGGTACATCCATACAATGGGATGCTACTCAGTAATAACAACAAACTACTGTTATACACACCAGCATGAATGAGTCTCAAATGCATTATGCTAAGGAAAAAAAGCCAGACTCAAAGGGCTACCTACCATATGATTCCATTTCTATGACATTCTGGAAAAGACGAAACTATAGGGAAAGATCACCGATGATTAGTTTCCAGGGACCAAGGAGAGAGGGAGTTTTGACTACAAAGGAACATGAGGGAATGTTTTGGGAGGAGCAAATGAACTGTTCACATCTTGATTACAGGGCTGGTTGAACGACTGCCTGCATTTATCAAAACGCACAGAACTGTGTGCCAAAATGCAAAAATTTTATTGTATGCAAATTATACCTCCATCACCCTGACTGAAAAGAACATGTATGGAAGTCAGTTCAGATTGAACTCATTAAAATATAAATTTGTCAGGGCAGGTGCAGCGGCTCACGCCTATAATCCCAGCACTTTGGGAAGCCAAGGTGGGAGGATTGCTTGAGTCCAGGAGTTCCAGACCAGCCTGGGAAACATAGTGAGACCCCCCATCTCTTTTAAAAATGTTTAAAAGAAAAAATATACACATTTGTCATAGCAGTATAACTTATTTATTATCAACAAACAGGACATGTGGATCAAGTAAGTGTGTTAATGTCAAGTAAAATAATTAACATAAGTCATACGCAAGTTATTTTTTAAATGATTTAGTCCGTAGATGTAGTGTTTAGACTTTCTATGCAGCCCCATTGCCTTTTCCCCTCCTAATGTAAAAAAA
Organism: Homo sapiens; assembly: GCF_000001405.40. Lineage (NCBI taxonomy): Eukaryota > Metazoa > Chordata > Mammalia > Primates > Hominidae > Homo > Homo sapiens. Next base: position 77,550,673 of record NC_000017.11, on the reverse strand, counting down.
TGTTGCTGAGCCGGGTGCAGTGGCTCATGCCTGTAATCCCAGCACTTTGGGAGGCCGAGGTGGGTGGATCACCTGAGGTCAGGAGTTTGAGACCAGCCTGGCCAACATGGTGAAACCCCATCTCTACTAAAAATACAAAAATTAGCCAGGCATGGTGGCGGTCATCTGTAATCTCAGCTACTTGGAGGCTGAGGCAGGAGAATCACTTGAACCCGGGAGGCTGAGGTTGCAGTGAGCCGAGATCACGCCATTGCACTCCAGCCTGGGCAACAAGAGTGAAACTCCATCTCAAAACAAAAAAAAAAATGTTGCTGGCAAGTTGAAGCTCTGCATTTGGAGGCTGGGGTCCCATGTGCCCATCCAATGCCTCCCATGGTCCCTGTTCTTTCCTGCCTAGAGGTTTGGGGCCATCACTGAGATGGCAGGAACTGAGGTTGGAAAGAGACGCCATCTCCACATGCCCACAGCCTCTGGTCATTCATGAGGGCTGATAAATGCGCATGGTGGGGTGGGCGGGGATCGTGATTGATAACAGCTACAGTGGAAAGGCGGGGGGAAGAAAAAAAGAGACAAGCCAAGGGAAAAAGGGGGAGAAACAGAGAAACAGTAGGCGGAGTGGTGTGCTGAGTGGAGGACAGTGTTGAAGCCACCTAAGTCGTGCCAGGTGTCACTTAGTGGCAGCCATCATGGGCCATCTACTCTGTCTGGATTATGTGAACAGACAGGCAAAGGGCTCAAGCCCTCCCCTCTGGGGCTCTTCCAGACTCATGAGCAAATAACCTAGCCATCCCTGCACTGCAAGTTAAAAGGGGTCGCCAGCCCTTTGACATTTATACAGCTTGACCGAAGATAAATAAACTCTCCTGTTCGTTTAAGGAAAGGCCTTCAAAGCCCAGAGCCCTTGGAAGAGTGCTTCTTCCTTCCACTTAGAGAAATTGACTCTCCCTCTGCGCCCTTGGTGCCTGGCCCGGGGGACAGGCCGAGGGCAATGCCCAGACTACTCCTGTCCGTGTGCGGGGCCCATACCCTCCTTGCCACTGTCCTGTCTGTGCTCCAAATATTAAGAGGATGCCCCATCACCTGGGAGGACGTGCCTCTGCCCTCCAGCTCCGCGTGGCAGTATTCTGCACAGAGCTAGCAACTCCTCAGTACAACAGGCGCTTGCAGGGAAACCACAGTCCCTGCACTGTACAGGAGGCCCCTGTGCACAGGTGAAGGACCAGGAGCCAGCAGAGGTCCTAACTTGGGAACTTGGAACAGACACACATGGAGGTTGGTCTTTCCCTGGGTGCCCGGTCTATGAATTGATAGGCCTAGAAGGCAGAGGAAGGAGACACCTAGAGTCCAGCATCCAGTTGAACTCAAGGGTCCTGTGGCCCTAGGGAACCCCCCATTTTTACAATCAACATTTTTTCTGCTTAATTAATTAAGCAACCTCAGGCAGGCTCTGCTATGGAGGAACTCCTTCCATTTCGCTGGTAAGGACTCTGAGGCTCAGAAAGGGGAAGTCTTGGTCTAAAGTCACAGGGTCATTAAGGGAAGAGCCAAGGCTCAAACCCAGAGAGGTGTGAGTCTGAAACCCACGTTCCCAAAACAGCACTCCTGCCAGGGCAGGTTCCAGAGAAGGTTCCCCGTCTGTGAGCGGGGCCAACTCTTTCCAGAAGCCTTGCCTGGGGGTCTCGGCCCAGGCTGTCCATCAGAGTCAACCGCAGAGCTTTGGAAATTCAGATGCTCAGGCTCCATCCCTATGGAACTGCCCTCCCAGGGAGCAGGCGTAGCTCCCACACCTGATTCTTAGCCAAAGGGGGAGCCTCAGGCAGTCCAGCCCCAACAGGTCACCAGTGAGCAAGCTTAAGATCCAGCCCCCCTACCCACCCACTGTATGATTCTGCAAAGGCTTACTCCACAGGTGCAACGCCCCTGCAGGGCCCTCCCCTTTCCCTAGCACCAGCCAACTAGACACACCTGCTCGTTCCAGCCAAACTCCTCCACCTTGAAGTTGGCTGACTGGTCTCCATCTCTTCAAGGACCCTAGAACCCCAAAGCCCGGTGAGGAAAGGGACCAGAAGAGAGACCAGGCCGGCCAGGAGAGGAGGAGCTGGGCATTGCACAGACCTGGGAGAGAAGAGGCTAATTCCGGGGTGGGCCGTCCGCTCAGGAAGGGAGACGCTGAGGCCATGCCGCATGCGCCAGAGCTGGTGGGCGGGGCCTGCCGTAGACCGCCCACCTGGGGAGGGGGTGGGGCACGCCGTCAGGCTCACAGGTGTTGTTGGCAGCTGGGCAGGAGGTGCAGAGGCTGCAGGTGGATACTGCCAGGTAAGGCAGGGTCAGGAAGATCCGACTGCTTCCATCTGAACTCACATCCTGCCCCCTAATATCTGTCAGAGGTCTTTAGCCTTGCAGGCAGAGGCCTGGCGGTCACCAGGCCACCAGTTTCTTCTCTGGTGGCCAGCACAGAGCTAACATTCCTGCCCTGGAACAGGCATCACATGGGAAATAACCTCCAGGCACTCACCTGGGGCCGTGTCTTCTTTGAGCCAAGATGAGGTCAACAAGTCACCGGTAAGCAAGCTTAAGATCCAGCTTGGCCGGGTGCGGTGGCTCACGCCTGTTAGTCCTAGCACTTTGGGAGGCCGAGGCGGGCGGATCACGAGGTCAGGAGATCGAGACCATCCTGGCTAAGACGGTGAAACCCCGTCTCTACTAAAAAAATCCAAAAAAATCAGCCGGGAGTGGTGGCGGGCGCCTGTAGTCCCAGCTACTCGGGAGACCCCATCTCTACCAAACATTTTAAAATTAGCCGAGCATGGTGGCGCATGCCTATAGTCCCAGCTACTTGGGAGGCTGAGGCAAGAGGATCACTTGAGCCCAGGAGTTTGAGGCTGCAGTGAGCTATGCTTGCCCCACTGCAATGCAGCCTGGGCAACAGAGCAAGATCCTGTCTCAAAAAACAAAACCAGGCTGGGCATGGTAGCTTACGCCTGTAATCCCAGCACTTTGGGAGGCCGAGGAGGCTGGATCACGAGGTCAGGAGATCGAGACCATCCTGGCTAACACGGTGAAACCCCATCTTTACTAAAAAAAATACAAAAAAATTAGCCGGGTGTGGCGGCCGGCGCCTGTAGTCCCAGCTACTGGGGAGGCTGAGGCAGGACAATGGCGTGAACCCGGGAGGCGGAGCTTGCAGTGAGCCCAGATTGCACCACTGCACTCCAGCCTGGGCGACAGAGGGAGACTCCGTCTCAAAAAAAAAAAAAAAGGATCCAGCTCCCCCACCCGCTGCAGGATTTTGCAAAGGGTCACCCCACTCCTGCAAGGCCCTCCCCTGCCCCTAGCACCAGGAAACCACACATGCTGGGGTGGCACAAACACTCCTGTACCTCAAAACTTGCATAGGAAAACTTACAGAAGCAAAAATGGAGGCCTTGAGACAAGGAAAGAAATAAGAGGAAGCATCTAGAAAGCCGGCAGGTTTCTTGGTGCCGTCATCAGCACAGCCACCCTGCCACTCATGCCCGGAGAGCCCCTTCCCTCCAGCCGGCTCCACTAGCATTCTCAGCCGGAGCTGAAAGAGCTCCTACCTTTCTCATAGCAGAGACTCACTCTGTCCACAAGGAGGGAAGCCATCCAGAATCGTCCTCCCTCTCCCGCTGGGGAAGCCCCCACTCTCCAGCTGCCGCCCCACCCCCCACCCCCAAGAACGCAGCTCGCTCCAGTCTCCAGGCCTTTGTTCTGCCCCGCTGTGGCTTCTGCTCAGCCCCTCCCAGTGCTGTTTCCAGCCCCACCCCACTGCACTGCATAAGCCCAAGGGAAACTCCCCCACCCTCATTAAATCCCAGCTCTCCCTGGAGGATTCCTGCGTTTAAGGCCCAGACTCCTTCCTCCAGTGAAAGCTCCGAGTCACCCCTGGTGGGTGCATGCACTGTTTAAAGTTGAACTCCTCAGCTTTGTCATTAAGTTTTCATGCCTTAGGCTGCACGCTGTGGCTCACGCCTGTAATCCCAGCACTTTGGAAGGCCGAGGCAGGAGGATCACTTGAGGTCAGGAGTTTGAGACCAGCCTGGTCAACATGGTGAAACCCCATCTCTACTAAAAATACAAAAATTAGCCGGGCACGGTGGTGGGCGCTGTGGTCCCAGCTACTCGGGGAGGCTGAGGTGGGAGGATTGCTTGAACCTGGGGGCAGAGGTTGCCGTGAGCCGAGATGTTGCCACTGCATTCCAGCCTGGGTGAAAGAGCGAGACTATGTCTCAAAATAAATAAATAAATACGTTTTTGTGCCCTAGAAATTGTTAATATTTCTCTTCTATTTGTGTGTGTCTTGACTTCCCAAGTGAAATGCAAACTCTTCAGGGGCAGGATGCATGTCTTACACAGTTCAGTTTGGTCCACAGTGTGCAGTGCATTGACTGATGGTCAGTCAGTCATTCTGAATTGCCTGTTTGGATTCCTGGTCAGTTTTTCTCACAACAATGCCAACATGTAAACAGGTGTGTGGATTCCTTTTCTACTGCTGCCGTAACAAATGGCCACCGATCCAGTGGCTTAAACTAAAACACATTTATTATCTTACAAATTCTTTTGGCCAGAAATCTGGCTTGGGTCTCACTGCACTCAAGTCAAGGCATCAGCAGGGCTGTGCACCTTCCGGAGGGTCTAGGGCAGAATTCACTTCCTTGCTGTTTCCAGCTTCTGGAGGTCACTCACATTCCCTGGCTCATGGCCCCTTCCTCTGTCTTCAAAGCCAGCAACATTGCTTCTCTCTGACCCTTCTTCTGTGGCCACGTCTCTAACCACAGACAGGAAATGTCTACTTCTAAGGATTCATGAGTAGGTTAGGTAGCAGGATAATCCAAAACCATCTCCTATCTCAAGATCCTTAACTTCGTCACATCTCACATCTGCAAAGTCCCTTTTGCCATGTCAGGGGGCACAGTCACAGGTTCTGGGGATTGGAATATGGACACCTTTGTGGAACCCTTACTCTGCCCACCACAGTGTTCTATGAACACACAAAAATGGGGTAGGTGGGCTCAGTGATCGTACAAATGTGAGAGTCACTCCATTAAGCAAATTTAAACACAATTTCACATGGCAGGACTGCTCAGAGCCTGTATTATGCTAATAAGCATGGTGAATTTTCAAGACAGGCTTATAGTGAGCAGCCTTTTGCAAAAGTTTGGCTGCACACATGTGGCCCCAGAACCCCTTTTTGTTTAGATAACCATTGGCACCTCCATAAGAGAGCTTTGCAGGCCCACCGGGTTAGGAAATACGGTGCTGGAGCTTCCCACCCGTTCTGTCTTCCCTATTCCCTCCCCATCCCAGCCTTCCCAGGCCCCGTAAGATCTCCCCCAAGGCCATATCATGTCTGAGCTCTGGAACTCCTTGGACGGAACCATGGCTTGGGTGAAAATAGTAACTTGAACCTTTCATTCTAACTGCCAATCAAATTTCATTTGGAAGTGGTGAAAATGCCCTGTGTTGAAGGCTCTGGCTGACCCAGATATGATGGGCTCCCCATGACAAGCCAAGATCCCTGTGCCTCTGCGTTAGTGACTTTGACACAGGGACTGCTGGTCCCCGGGGATGAGGTTAAGCTGCTGTTGAGTCCCTGACCTTCCAGGTAACATCATCCAAACCAAACTCACAGGACATTTTGAGAGGTTCTCCTCTCAACAAAAATGCCTCTCAGACCTGCCGAGAGAGCCCTCAGAACAACTTCCTCATCTGCTTCCAGCCACCCTTCCTCTAAGGATCGGTAGGGGCCAGAGTTTGGGGACACACTTATGCTCACGCACACGTGAAACCCTAAAGCCAGGGCAGCTGCCTCTCTGAATCACCAGCCTTTTGTGCTACACCAACCATCTCCAATCTGGAGGATAATAAAGGCTGTGCTTTGTAATCTCTCCATGGCCAGATTCTTGCCTCTATGGGGCACTAAAAGAGATCTTCTAGAGCGTTCCAGAAGCCATACCTCTGCCTATATATGATGTCAGGATCAACTGGGACTGTGTCTACTGCAACTGACATCCCATCCTTTCGAGCTCTTGATTGGCTCGTGCAGTTGTCCATAACCAGCCCCAGGGGGCCAATAGAGTGATGGTCTGTGGCCCGCGTGGGGCTGCTCTGGCTGATGGCTACTCGAGCAAGTGCCCAGGACTGTGCACAGACATGGTGTCCACACACCTAGAGACACATCGGAGTTGCAGCATTTCCTGCTGGAAGGCAAATGCATTGCCCTGACCTGGTTCTTCTTTGCCAAGGAAGGGAATGTGTGAGCTGAATCCTGCAAGGTAATAATCGTTGCAAGGCTGTGGGATGCTTGAGGGCATGTTGCAGGCCCCAGCCATTGGCCAGGGGTCTGGTTCACTGATTGATGAAGCCTCCCTCCTTGAAGGGGCACTGGGCAAGACGCGTCCTATTTGTCAGGAGTTTGCATTCACAAAGAAGGACTAAAGCAGCTTCTCTAGGGCAAGCTCCTTCCAGGGCTGAGGCCAGCCGAGACCATGGGGGGAAGACCCCAGACTGTCTTCATGGTGAAGAGAGACGTCTGCTCCGATTTGCACAGGGAGTTTTTTAGCATCGGGAACAAAAGCAGCGTTTCTATTCCCCAGTCTTCACAACAGCAGCTTACCATTCCTGGCACATCTCTGTCCTCTGCTTCCTGCATTTTAAAACCTGGGCGAGGCAGTTAGCAGAAACTCCACTGACCGGGGGTCAGGGTCACGCTCCACCCTGACTCTGTTTCAACAAGCCCTATGAACTTGGGCAAATCTGTACATCTCCCTGAGCCTCGTTTCCTCTTCTATAAAGTGAGCGGGATCGGGCTACGGATTTCCGTGGTCTCTCCCGGCTCCGAGGTCTGTGCTTTCATTGCTAATACCACCCTACCTATTCTCCCCGAGTCCAAATCCGGAAGAAAATAATATGCTGCTTATAAAAATGCTGGTGTTTTCCAAAGGGACTCTCTCATTCCCTGGCATCCTTTTATGGCGCTATTTTCTACCTGGGTCTCAAAGCGCCTGGGGAAAGAATTGTTTAATCTCATTGTGTGGCATCGTGATTATTAGCTGCACTTTGGCCATTGAAGAAATTCAAGCCATAAATAATAATGATGATTATAAAAATAATAACAGGCACAATCCCCTCCCCACGTCAAAGCGCTGGCTTTTTTTTTTTTTAATGCCACTCTGTGCCAGAGGCCTTCAGAAAAAGAGTTAATTAATATCCCTTGCTGTGGACTAATTCTCATTTCAACATGTGGCTGTCATTTCCCTGTCATCATGGCTGATTTACAACAGGGTTTAATTAAATTCTCTGTACATTATTCAGCATTCTCCAAAGACAACACCAGAGAGGCCCGGGGTATTTAAAATGTCACCTGCTGAGACATATCACCTCTTCCTAAATAAATATGACAGTGATCAAACTTTGGCTAATTACAGTGACTTAGTTATTTGTTTGTATGTTTTAATATTTAATTGCTTTCATGTTCATCCAATTACTGAGCCACAGCAAATAGAAATTAACTTTTTATCAGCGTGACTCAGCCCAGCTCATAAGCACTCCAAAGCCTCAATACAATAGGAACTGCCCAAGCTGAGGATCACAGCCATGTTCTCAGCTCAGTGGACGGGGCCATTAAATTAAGGGAGAATCCTCACGGCTCCATCCCCGTTCCCAGCCTGCATGGGGCTGCGGGCCCAGCTTCCAGGAGCATCTAACTCAAAGCCAAGCAGCTGAGCGAAGGAACGCAGGCAGGGCTTCTAATTCCACACTGACACCCGATGGCCACTCTGTGCAACTGCCCCGGGTCCTTCAGATACTTAAGATTCCTGGGGAGATGAATAGGAACTCCTGGGTACACAGAAGTGAGAGTTTTTGAGTTCCCATATCAGTAACCTAAGTTTCTCCTCACCAGGGAGGCTCTTTCTTGATGGTCCTCCAGCTTTGAGGGCCATCTGCTCCTCTGGAGACGTCCTGGCTCCTTCTGCCAAGCTTCCTGGGACAAAGGGGACACCTGAGGGCTGGTTGAGTGCCTGCTGTTTTTAGAAACGGGAGCCAGGATAGGAACACAGCCCATCACCACCCGTCTTCTGATCAAATGCATTAGCCAGTCCTCAAAATCGTCCACCACGCCCTTGAAAGCCAATTCCTCTGATGTTATCTTAAAAGCTCCCCCTGGCTCTCTTTCCCACCCATCGTTCCAATACATCATTGACATCTTGACATCCACTCTTCTCCCAAGGCTAGCCTGGGCATGGAAGAATTTCTGCAGAATTTTAGAAATAAAAAAAAGAGGAAGAAGTAAGCCTTTCTGGGAAGCTTCAGCAATTCCAAATGGGATAAGCAAGTTCTACCTCCAGCCTAATCCCACAGCCTCATGGGATGTTGGCTTAAAATGTTCAACTTTCCAAAAATAAAAAATAATCTTTCCACGCACTTAACATCTTATCTCTCCTGCTCAGCTGTAAGCTCCTTAAGTGGGGGTGGGGAGGCTCAGAAACCAGAAGAGAGGCAGCTGGGGTAAGAGCTGCAGAAAATGCTGGCTGACCAGCTCTCTGTGGAAGGGGCCATGCCTGGCCTTTGTTGTTGTTGTTTTTAATAAGTACTTAAAACAAGTTAATAATATTTATATAAAGTAATATTTCTCCTATGATTCACTTTCAATTTATTTTAGAAAAAAATATATAAGTGTACCCAAAATTCCAAATCAATTTAAAGTAAGAACTCTCAGTTTTTGTCTAATACATCTTATTTTATCTTATTTTGAGACAGAGTCTTGCTCTGTCGCCCAGGCTGGAGTGCAGTGGCTCAATCTCGGCTCACTGCAACCTCCCCTTCCCGGGTTCAAGCGATTCTCCCCCTCAGCCTCCCAAGTAGTTGGGACTACAGGCACGAGCCACCATGCCCGGCTAATTTTTGTATTTTTAGTAGAGACAGGGTTTCACCATGTTGGCCAGGCTGGTCTCAAACTCCTGATCTCAAGTGATCCGCCCGCCTCGGCCTCCCCAAGTGCTGGAATTACAGGCGTGAACCACCACACCCGACCCAATAAATACTTTAACGTCCAAAAAAAATTAAAAATGGTTGGAAGAGTGTTTCTTGATAAATATCAACATTTCTTCAACGTAGTTGCCTGGTCTTTGTAAGGAGTGTGGCTCACTCGGGGCAGCCGGGGGTCCTACAAGGAAATGCATTCATTCATTGAGCAAACAACCTCTACCGTGCGCTAGTGCACTAGGTATGGATTTAGTGATGATAGAAACAACCACCACAGGAAGAGACAAGGTCCCTGTCCTTGTGGCGCTGAAGCTGGAAGGAAACTCACAGATAATTCCGAGTGGGTGAGCTGAGGTGTGGGGAGGAGACGCGGAGACCGCAGGGGCGACCTGCCTGGTCTGAGGAGCTGGGAAAGGCTTGCCTGGGGAGGCCGCATGTGAGCTGACAGCTGAAGACAGACAAAGAGCCTTTTTCAATTAACAAAGAGGAAGAGGCCTCGCGGAAGATTTTTCCTGGGGGCTCAGAGTTTATGCAAATTAACCCAGCCCAGAACGAGGAATTCTAATTGGCCCCAGCAGGTGCCTCCTCGGCAGGGTCGTCCTGCAGTTGGGCACCTGTGTGAACGTCTCCATCAGGGTCCCCGAGGCCAGCACTGGCTGTCAGACCCAGTCTCCTCAGACCCGGAGATTTTTACCTGAAATTCACATTGAGTCTTCACTCCCCGTTCCTTTCGAACTAACTCCCCCTGACAGGCAAGTCCTTATAGAAAGCGACAAAGCTTCCAGTCCTGTGGCTTGGCTGAGAACGACTGAGAAACCAGGATGGGAAGAGGCCAAAGAGGACACAGTGGACTGAGCTGGGCTGGGCATCGGGGAAGGCTGGACCTCAGGGTCGTCAGGTCCCTGCAACGCGGGGCTGGCTCCGACGGTCCCTCTGGAAGGCGAAGCACTGCTGCACTAGTGAATTCATCCAGTGCATCCTCACAGAGCCCACCAGAACAAGGCGGTGGCAGGACTGGGGTCAGGGCTTCCCTTAGGTGCCACACGTTGTCACTGCCAGGATGAGGCATGGGAGCTCTGGCTGTGCCCACTTAAGCCCATCTGGAGGAGCAGGAAGTGCCACACCTAGAAGGTGGCAGGTGTGTTGAGGATGTGAATAAAGGTCAGCAGAGTGCCACAGGGAAAGTCAGCTGATGGCAGTGGGGACAGGGGTCCGGGTGGAAGGAGCCATTGGACATGGCTCATGGCAAAGCCAGCCTGGTGCTTCGGAGAAACTGGAGCGCAAAATACACAACAGAAGGGGCAAGAGAGGAGCCGCCCTGGCCCTGCAGGTAAGGATGAGCCTTCAAGCCAGATTAAGGAGTCAGGCTGTATCCTGAGGGCAAAGGAGAGCCACTGCAGGCTTTCCATGGAGGAGTGAGGAAACTGAGCACAAAGTAGATGTTCTTTAAACACCTTTGAGGCTGGGTGTGGGGGCTCGTAATCCCAACACTTTGAGAGGCCAAGGCAGGAGGATCATTTGAGGCAGGAGTTCAAGACCAGCATGGGCAACATAGTCAGACCCCCATCTCTACAAAAATATTTTTTAAAATTAGCCGGGCATGGTGGCATGTACCTGTGGTCCCAGCTACTCTGGAGGCTGAGGCGGGAGAATTGCTTGAGCCTGGGAGGTTGAGGCTGCAGTGAGCCAAGACTGTACCACGGCACTCCAGCTTGGTGGACAGGGCAAGACCCTGTCTTGCTACCTAGGAGGGGCCCACCAAGATTCACCTCCTAAGCAGAAACTCAGGTATGGTTGAAAGGGGCTTATTAAGGCTAACAAGACTCTCACCCCTATCATTCAGGAAACTCTAAAAGTTTTAGAAGCTCTTCTACCAGGAACAAAGTCCAAATATATATTGTTTATTATATCACAGTATCACATATTATAATCCCTAAGTTAGCCGCTATTAAAAATGCAAAAGTACAGCTAAAATGCCAATAAACTAATTAAAATGGGGATACCAAAAAATATGATTAACCTAAAAGAAGTCAGGAAAAGAGAAACAGGGAAACAAAACAAAACAAAAAAAACAGAAGGGACAAAAAGAGAACAAATGTCATAATGGCAGATCTAAATCCAGCTACATCTATAATCACGCTTAACAGAAATGCACTGAACATCCCACTTAAAAGGCAGAGATAATCTGGCTGAATAACACTGCAAGATCCAGCTATGTGTCATCTCCAAGAGATACATTTTATTTTTTGTTTTGTTTTGTTTTTTGAGACGGAGTCTCGCTCTGTCGCCCAGGCTGGAGTGCAGTGGCGCAATCTCGGCTCACTGCAAGCTCTGCCTCTGGGGTTCATGCCATTCTCCTGCCTCAGCCTCCCAAGTAGCTGGGAATACAGGCACCCGCCACCATGCCTGGCTAATTTTTTGTATTTTCAGTAGAGACAAGGTTTCACCGTGTTAGCCAGGATGGTCTCGATCTCCTGACCTCATGATCTGCCCACTTTGGCCTCCCAAAGTGCTGGGATTACAGGCGTGAGCCACCGTGCCTGGCCGAGATATATTTTAAATATAAAGACACAGACAGACTAAAAATAAAAGGATAAAAAAAAGTATGACAGGCAAACAATAAGTGCAAAAAACAGGTGTGGCTATGTTACTGTAATAGGCTCAAGACAAAGAGTATTGCCAAAGAGATAGAGGGAGACTGCATAATGACGAAAGGATATGTTTATTGGGAAATCCTAACAATCTTAAATGTATATGCATCTAATAACAATTTCAAAATAAATAAAGCAAAACCTGTCAGAATTAAAAGGAGAAATAGACAAATCCAAAAATTACAGTTGGAGATTTTAATACCTTTCTTTCAGCAACTGACAGAGTCAGTAAACAAAAAAAATCAAAAAATCAGTAAGGACATTGAGCATTCTAACAACTATTGTGACCTAATTGATATTTAAGGTCCACTACACCCCGTGATTACAGAATACATGTTCTTTACAAAGGCACGTGGAGCCCTCACCAAGATAGTCCATATGCTGAGACATAAAATAAGTCTGGACCAATTTTGAAGATCAAAATCTCACAGAGTATGACCTCAGATACAAAGGAATTATATAAAAGGAAAACATCTGTCTTAAGCCAAACCATCTGAAACATGCCCATCCAAATTTAGGGAAACTCATACAGCCAGATAAATAGACACAAATGTAATTTTATTAAGATCTTACATTAATATTCGTTCAGATTAATGTACACTGCCTCTCCCCAGCTGCTCTGAATCTCTGTGGTTTTGCCAGCCCCACCAGCCAAGTCTGCACTGAACCTAAAGCTCATTATCATTGTGACAACCTCCCATCACCTGCTGCTGGCACCTCTCTTGTGACACCCATTATTCTCTCTCTTGTTTTGTGATGGGGTAAGACAGCACATTCCTGGTCCTTTCTCCCCGACTGTCAGCTCCTCAAGGGCAGCATCAGGACCCGACACACGGTAGGCACCCAAAGGGCATGCTGCATGAAAGTGATTGCCGGCCGGGCGCAGTGGCTCACACCTGTAATCCCAGCACTTTGGAAGGCTGAGGCGGGTGGATCACCTGAGGTCAGGAGTTCGAGACCAGCCTGGCCAACATGGTGAAACCCGTCTCTACTAAAAATACAAAGATTAGCTGGGCGTGGTGGCGGACGCCTGTAGTCCCAGCTACTCAGGAGGCTGAGGCGGAAGAATCGCTTGAACCCGGTAGGTGGAGGTTGCAGTGAGCCGACATTGTGCCACTGCACTCCGGCCTGGGTGACAGAGAGAGACTTGTTCTCAAAAAAAAAAAGAAGGAGAAGAAGGAGGAGGAGGAGGAGGAGCAGCAGAAGAAGAAGAGGAAGAGGAGGAGGAAGAAAGTGATTGTCGTCATCATCACTGCCACTGTCACCATCATCATAGGATGACACCAAAGATCCCATCTCACTTAATGCTCCAGTCACTCAACCAGGGCAATCCCCACCACTCCTGAAGCACACAGATCTAGTGTTCCTAAGCTTTATTTCACATTCAGTAAGAAGCAACGCATCACCCCACCATAGACCCACACAACTGTCCTTCATTGTGGCAAGTCACTGGCACATGTTTGTGAGCACTTTGTTAGAGCTCAAGGTCAAATGAGGGCTCTAAGAGCCTAGAAATTGGAGACTGGCCTCCAGACTCTGTATGACCCAGATTGCAACTTCCACTGACCCAGGGGTGCTTGACTTTTTGGAGGGCAATATAGGATCTGGGATGGGATCCGCTGTCCAATGGCTGGGGCTCGAATCCTAGTTCTACCACTTCCTAGCTATGTGACCTTGGGCACTTACTTGAAATAAACCTCAACTTCCCCATCTGTAAAACAGGAATAATGCTAGGACCTAACCTCATGGATTATCTCATTCAGTGCTCCTGCAGCTGTATGAGGTTAGGTCCTAGAATTATTCCTGTAGTACTAACACTTTTAATCGTTCCCAATACCCTTGTATGGTGGCTATTATTCCTATTTTAAAGTGATGAGGCCGGGCACAGTGGCTCATGCCTGTAATCCTAGCACTCTGGGAGGCTGAGGCAGGTGGATCACTTGTGGTCAGGAGTTTGAGACCAGCCTGGCCAACATGGTGAAAGCCCATCTCTACTAAAAATACAAAAAAAAATTAGCCAGGCATGGTGGCTCATGCCTGTAGTCCCAGCTACTCGGGAGGCTGAGGGAGAATTGCTTGAACCCAGAAGGCAGAGGTTGCAATGAGCTGAGATTGTGCCACTGCACTCCAGCCTGGGTGACAGAGCAAGACTCCATCCCAAGAAAAAATAATAATAATAATAATAAAGTGATGGATCAGGGGACACCTTGTGCAGC